>NC_000017.11:20188080-20491111 GCF_000001405.40 Homo sapiens | reverse complement strand
TATTAATCATAAAATAAAATTTCTACATGAAACTTTCAGCCAGCACTGTGAAATGTGTGGCCGTTTAGGGGAGGGGAATGAGATAGGTCCCATGAAAGCAAAAGAATATAAATAGGTAAAGCAAAAGCTAATGCATTTTTTATAATAGCCTGACCATCTTTTTATCCCAACATTGACTATCCTTCTAACATTAAACAATTATTTTTAAATAAAAGTTGGAAACCTACATAGAAGAAAGTCATGATTCTAAAAAGGCCAACTTTTAATCTTACATTTTCCTTTCTAGTATAGAACCTACATTTCCTAATAGAAAACCTTGGACTTGCCAGTGTCAGCTACTGGAATGAGGTGTTTGTCCAGTGCATCCAGCACCTTGCCACAGATTAACTGTAGCTCAGTCTCAACCTGAAAAAATAAAAATACATTTAAAAAAATCAGATTGTTGAAGTCTAGAAATTCTGTAAATTATTACACATTCTATCTACCTCTGATTTTGAAGAAGAGAGCTTAGTATTAAAGAGAATTGGTTTCCCTCTCCAAACTCCCTTCTTCCCTTTTGACACAAAAGCAGAGAAAAGCTGCCTCTCGGTTATAAAAAGTATCTTTTCCTTTCCGCATGCAATTAAGTGCTACACACACACACCACCCCCACCCCAGCACCCCCTCACAGTCCAACTGCAGAATCACCAATGACTGAAACTGAACACTGATGCTGCTTGGTAAACACTGGTCAATTACATGAATCTTTCACAAGGTAGCAACTATTGTGTCCATTTACTTGGGAAAGCAGAAGCTAAGACATTTGCTCAAAGATCATCACCTTAAAAGAACTTAATAAGCAGAGCTAGGATTTGAACCCAGGCAGGGTGCAAGGGACAGAACAAAATTCAAACCCAGGCAGTTTGCCTTCAGTATTTACATTCCTAACAACGTTCAACAGGCAATCCCTTTAGTGGAAGAGATCCAAAACTAGTTAAGATACCAAAAATCTATGGACCAAAGTAACTATTGCCACTCATCTCTATTCATTTATAATGCTGAAAAGGTACAGCACCTCTAAACGCACATAACCCAGCTTGCTTCCTTTTTTTTTTCTTTTTTTTTTTTTTTTTTGAGACTGAGTCTCACTTTGTCCCTCAGTCTGGAGTGCAGTGGTGCGATCTCGGCTCACTGCAACCTCCGCCTCCTGGATTCAAGCTATTCTGGTGCCTCAGCCTGCAGAGTAGCTGGTATTACGGGCACTTGCCATCACAACTGGCTAATTTTTGTATTTTTCTTTCTTTTTTTTTTTTTTTGAGACAGACTCTCGCTGGTCGCCCAGGCCGGAGTGCAGTGGCACGATCTCCGCCTACTGCAAGCTCCGCCTCCCGGGTTCACGCCATTCTCCTGCCTCAGCCTCCCGAGTAGCTGGGACTACAGGCGCCCGCAACCATCCCCGGCTAATTTTTTGTATTTTTAGTAGAGACGGAGTTTCACCGTCTTAGCCAGGATGGTCTCGATCTCCTGACCTCGTGATCCGCCCACCTTGGCCTCCCAAAGTGCTGGGATTACAGGCGTGAGCCACCGTGCCCAGCCCCTGATTTTTGTATTTTTCTTAGTAGAGACAGTTTCACCGTGTTGGCCAGGCTGGTTTCAAACTCCTGAACTCAGGTGATCCGGCTGCCTCAGCCTCCCAAAGTGCTAGGATTACAGGCATGAGCCACCACGCCTGACCTTATCACAGTTTTTTTTTTTTTTTTTTTTTTAAGAGACAGAGTTGGCCGGGTGCGGTGGCTCACGCCTGTAATCCCAGCACTTTGGGAGGCGAGGCGGGTGGATCACGAGGTCAGGAGATCGAGACCATCCTGGCTAACACGGTGAAACCCCGTCTCTACTAAAAATACAAAAAATTAGCCGGGGATGGTTGCGGGCGCCTGTAGTCCCAGCTACTCGGGAGGCTGAGGCAGGAGAATGGCGTGAACTAGAGAGGCGGAGCTTGCAGTGAGCCGAGATCACGCCACTGCACTCCAGCCGGGGCCACAGAGCAAGACTCCGTCTCAAAAAAAAAAAAAAAAAGAGACGGAGTCTCACTCTGTCTCCCCGGCTGAAGTGCGGTGGTGCGATCTTGGCTCACTGCAACCTCCCACTCCTGGGTTCAAGCAATTCTTTTGCCTCAGCCTCCCGAGTAGCTGGACTACATGTGCACGCCGCCACGCGTGGCTAATTTTTTTTATATTTTGGTAGAGACGGGGTTTCACTGTGTTGCCCAGGCTGGTCTTGAAATCCTTAGCTCAGGCAATGCGCCCGCCTCAGTCTCCCAAAGTGCTAGGATTATAGGCATGAGCCACTGCGCCTGGCCTATCACAGCGTTTTAAAAGTGAAAAGTTATGTACATATAAATATTCCTTACATGTGTATCTACATTATTAAAAACCATAAACCAACTGAAGTATAAATGGGGGAACAGTTTAACACACATCAGTAAGACTGAAACTTGTTTATGCTAAGAGAGAAAACATAAAATGATGAGTGCTAGGAGAATAACTGTTAAAAACATGCCCATTGGCCTGGTGTGGTGGCTCTTGCCCTGTAATCCCAGCACTTTGGGAGGCCGAGGCAGGTGGATCACCTGAGTTCAAGTGATCAAGACCATCCTGGCCAACACGGTGAAACCACGTCTCTACTAAAAATAGAAAAATAGCTGGGCATGGTGGTGGGTGCCTGTAGTCCCAGCTACTCAGGAGGCTGAGGCAGGAGAATCTCTCGAACCCAGGAGGTGGAGGTTGCAGTAAGGTGAGATGGTGCCACTGCACTCCAGCATGGGCAACAGAGAGACACTCCATCTCAAAAAAAAAAAAAGAAAAGAAAAGAAAAAAAAAAGAATTCTATTGCCCAGATTAACAAACTAATTTTGTGCCAACTGCCTTAATGAAGATAAAATAAATGAAATAAACTACTAAATTTAGTGCAAAGGAGCAGAGCAGACAATCTATTAATCTGGTAATTTTGTTAAGAATAACGATAGCTAATATTCATGGAGAGCTTGTTATGAGCCACGTCCTATCCTAAATATCCTACTTGTTTTAACTTCATCCTAGCAACAAATATATGAGATGGATTCTAAAACTCTCTTCACTTAGAAACAACTGGGGCCTAGAGAGATTTCTCTGGCCATATGATGCTGTTTGGTAGCATTTTGCCTCCAGTAGTTTCTTTCAGAATTGGGGTCAGTCCTCTCAAACCCCTTTGCTGGTTTATCAACTAAGTTTATACCCTCTTCTGAATCCTTTGTTGTCGTTTCAACAACGTTTACAGCATCCTCACCAGTAGAATCCATCTCAAGAAACCACTTTCTTTGCTCATCTGTTAAAATCAACTCCTCACCTGTTCGCGTTTTCTCATGAGCTTATTGCAATTCGGTCACATCTTCAGGCTCCACTTCTAATTCTAGTTTTCTTGCGAGTTCTGCCACATCTGCCGTTCCTTTCTCCACTGAAGGCTTGAACCCCTCAAAGTCATCCAGGGTGGTTGGAATCAATTTCTTCCAAACTCCTGTTGATGTTGATATTCTGACCTCCTCATGAATGTTCTTAATGGTATCTAGAATGGTAACTCCTTTCCACAACGCTTTCCATTTACTTTGCACAGATCCATCAGAAGAATCACTATCTATGACAGCTTTAGCCTTACAAAATGTATTTCTTAACTAATAAGACTTGAAAGTCAAAATCGCTCCTTGAACCACGGGCTTCACAATGCATGCTGTGTTGGCAGGCGTGAAAACAACATTCCTCTCCTTGTACATCTCCATCGGAGCTCTTGAGTAACCAGGTGTGTTGTCAAAAAGAAATAATATTTTGAAAGAATTCTTTTTTTTTCTGAGCAGTAGGTCTCCACAGTGGGCTTCAAATATTCAGCAAATCATGCTGTAAACAGATGTCTTCCAGGCTTTGCTGTTAAGTGTACAGAGCACAGGCAGAGTAGATTGAACATAATTCTTAAGGGCTGTAGCATTTCTGGGATGGTAAACAAACAACGGCTTCACTTTAAAGTCATCACCAGCTATGTTAGCCCCTAAGAAGACAGTCAGCTGTCCTTTGAAGCTTTGAAGCCAGGCACTGACTTCTCGTTTCTAGGATGAAAGTCTTAAATGGCATCTTCCACCGGAAGGTGGAGGTTGCAGTGAGCTGTGACTATGCCACTGCACTCCAGCCTGGGTGACAGAGACAGACCCTGTCTTAAAAAAAAAAAAAAAAGACACATACACAACATTGATTAAGTTCATCCTCTTATATCACTGAGGTTGTAAACAATTACAATAGCAACATCAAAGATCGCTGATCGCTATGACAGATATGATAATAATGAAAACATCTAAAATACTGTTACCGAAATGGAACACAGAGACACAAAGTGAGCATATGCTGTTAGAAAAACAGCACCGCAAGACTTGCTTGACACAGGGTTGCCACCAACCTTCAGTTTGTAAAAAAATAATATCTGCAAAGTGCAATAAAGCAAACACAATAAAATTTGGTAGGCCCGTACGTGAGATTTCTTTGTATTATTTCTTTTTGTTTTTCTTTGTAGAGATGGGGTCTCACTGTCACCCAGGCTGGAGTGCAGTGGCACCATCACAGCTCACTACATCTTTGAACTCCTGGGCTTCAAGGGATCCTCCCGCCTCAGCCTCCCAGGTAACTGGAATCACAGGCATAAGCCACCACACCCGGCCTCTCTGTATTATTTCTTACAACTGCATGCAAATCTATAATTAACTCAAAACAAAAAGTTAAACATTTATTAAGTGTTGACCAATGTACCAAATGACAATAACAAAAACCCAATTCCAACTTAGATTAAATATAAAGCTACATACTTAAGTAGTATACAACTGTGAAGCAGCATTTTAAAAATCAGATAACCATGTAGAAATACATTTCTATCTAAATAAACTCAAGGCATCAGACTAGAAAGAAATGTAAAATTACAAAGCCAAGCATTTCACACAAATCGTCAGAAAGCCAGCCAGGTACACTTCATCATTTCCACTATCTGCTTTCTATAAGATCTGAAGATATAATAGCATTTGTCTTGTATCTGTTCTCAACCCCAGAGGTCAGAACCAAACTAGCTAATAAACTAGTCTAACTGCTATACTTTAGTTAGAAAATAAACTCATTATAATTTGTACTCAAAGACAATGTTCCTGAGGAATTGGAGTTGAGATGGACTCTAAGGAACATGTCATTACATATATTTCTTTATATGTCATTACATATAAAGAAAATTATTTGAAGTGGTTTGTGGCACACAGATAGAATCCTTGTTCTATGTAATGAGTGCTGGCTTAAAAGGTATGCTTTCTGGAAATGACATTTTGACCAATTTAAATCATATTTTACATGTAATAAAACTATTTTCTATTTACATGAATCAAATAGTCTCATAAAGCAAACACTTACGTCTCCATTTATTTCCCACTTTTTGCACAAAATTGGATTTTAATAGAGTAGGTTTTCTTAAAAGGATAAATGCTCACTGAAATTGGTCATTTTATATATTTGAGGCTGACAACATATCCTCATATTATGGTAATTTTATAGCAATATTGTCAAAGAAAACAGTGTTTTCTGGATTCACTTGAAAATGAAACCAACCTAAAGAAAACAAAAATTATAATCCCAAATATGCTACCCTATAGAGGAAAGGGTGTTTCTTCCCCTTAAGTCCCCTTATACATTAGTCATCTTTCTTTTATTAAAAGTCTTAAAATATCCTCTAAAGCAGATTTCAAAATACAACATTCCTGAGTCCTCAGGAGCCCTGCTCACAGAAGGGATCTTTAACTTACAGGAAGACGATGCTGACACTAGCTTAAGCACGCATTCAGCACACCACAGTTACAGTGAATCACACAGGAATTCCACACACATTCCCTACCCACTGTCAGCCTTAGTTTACATAGTGGCGTCAACAGAGAAAAGCCAGTGGTTCCTAAACGTCTTCTCAAATTGCCCAGTCTCCAGGTCCTTGCTCATTTGGCTAAGACTGAATAAACAAACACCATTCATTAAAATGCCTCCTGGCCAGTGTGGACACAACGACAGAGTGACTCCATACCGATGGCATCATCTAGTTAAAATTAAATTTAAACTTATTTTCCTTTGGGGTATGAAATATATAATCAAATGGAGTTATCCTTCGTATGTAAGTACTTGATAACAGCCCTGAGGTGTTCTATAAACTCATCTAGAGCCTGTAATTAAGAAACAAAATTCTGTTTGTCTCAAGACCAATGTAAACTAGCTGAAAACAATAAGCTACATTTCATCAGCAGTTATCATGCTGAGGAATCACTAAAACCATATCTAAATAATTCTCTTTTTAAAAAATAACTCATTTCCCTTTAAAAAATAACTCATTTCCCTTCACACACACACTGCAAATGGCACACATTTCAAGAATAAACGTGATTTCAAGCATATATCTTAAAGCAATTTAAACCAACAAAATGTAAGAACTTGGCAAAATCACTTAGATAATATCTAATTAGAATCCTCTTTTAAAACAACAGGAAAGTAAGTAAATAATAAGCAAATAAATAAGAAAGCAAGTAAATGAGAAAACAAATAAGCACGTATATAATTAATAAGTAAAAATTTAAAAATCAATCCCTTTGCAAGCTGCAATAATTAATGAGGTTGTCACTAACCAATCAGACCATTTACATCAAGCATTGTGGTGAGACAGTCTTTCAGTTAGTATAAGAGTAAACAGAAATGGCGAAAAACTAATTCTTCACAATACTAGGATTTAGTTAAATTGAATTCATTTTATAGGTGGGTAACTATTCGTAGACCTTGAAGTTCTGAAATACAGAGTTAAAATAAGAGAAAGCTTTCTGGAATCAATAATATTCTAGTTATTGCTTAGTTGACTCATTGTGACATGCTTCCAACCTGGGCATCAAACAAGGATACACATCAAATCGGACTCAGTCTGGTTGGCTCCTTGCGCTCTGTAGCCGTGGTGGCAGCAGCAGCAGACGTCGGCGGCTGGGCTGCCAGGAGCAGTTCCACTGGGTTTCACTGTCCGAGACTTCCTTTGGGGCACTCCAGCAAACCAAGGTGGAGTACGAATGGAAATCTGATAAGCAAGGGCTTCAGCAAATCCTGCAGCTATTGAAGGAGTCCCAGTCCCCAGACACCACCATCCAGAGAACTGTGCAACAATTCTAGAAACTGGAACAACTTAATCAATATCCAGACTTTAGCAACTACTTGATTTTTGTTCTTACAAAATTAAAATCTGAAGATGAACCCACAAGTTCATTGCGTGGTCTCATCTTGAAGAATAATGTGAAAGCACACTTTCAGAACTTCCCAAATGGTGCAACAAACTTCATTAAAAGTGAATGTTTAAATAATATTGGTGACTCCTCTCTTCTGATTAGAGCCACTGTTGGTATTTCGATCACAGCTATAGCCTCCAAGAGAGAATTGCAGAATTGGCCTGACCTCTTACCAAAACTCTGTAGCCTGTTGGATTCTGACGATTACACCACCTGTGAGGGAGCATTTGGCACCCTTCAGAAGATTTGTGAAGATTCTGTTGAGATTTTAGATAGTGATGTTTTAGATTGTCCTCTCAACATCAGGATTCCCAAATTTTTACAGTTCTTCAAGCACAGTAGTCCAAAAATAAGGTCTCACGCTGTTGTATGTGTCAATCAGTTTATCATCAGGACTCAAGCTCTGATGTTGCACATTGATTCTTTTATTGAGAAATCTCTTTGCATTGGCTGGTGAGCCAGAGGTATGGAAAAATGTGTGCCGAGCACTTGTGATGTTGTTCGAAGTTTGAGTGGATCGCCTGCTCCCTCACATGCGTAATATAGTTGAGTATATGCTACAGAGGACTCAAGATCAAGATGAAAATGTGGCTTTAGAAGCCTGTGAATTTTGGCTAACTTTAGCTGAACAGCAAGTATGCAAAGATGTATTCGTAAGGCATCTTCCCAGGTTGATTCCTGTGTTAGTGAATGGCATGAAGTACTCAGATATAGATATTATCCTACCTAAGGGTGATGTTGAAGAAGACGAAATGATTCCTGATAGTGAACAGGATATATGGCCACGTTTTCACCGATCAAGGACAGTGGCTCAGCAGCATGATGAAGATGGAATTGAAGAGGAAGATGATGATGATAATGAAATTGATGGTGATGATACAATTTCTGACTGGAATCTAAGGAAATGTTCTGTTGCTGCCCTAGATGTTCTTGCAAACGTGCATCATGATGAACTGCTGCCATATATATTGCCCCTTTTGAAAGAATTACTTTTTCATCATGAATGGGTTGTTAAAGAATTAGCCATCTTGGGTTTAGGAACAGTTGCTGAAGGTTTGCATGCAGGGCATGATTCCTTGCTTGCCTGAGCTTATTCCTCACCTTATTCAGTGCCTCTCTGATAAAAAGGCTCTTGTCCGTTCCATAACATGCTGGACTCTTAGCCGCTATGCACACTGGGTAGTCAGCCAGCCACCAGACACGTACCTGAAGTCATTAATGACAGAGTTGCTAAAACGCATCCTGGATAGCAACAAGAGAGTACCAGAAGCTGCCTGCAGTGTCTTTGCTACCCTAGAAGAGGAGGCTTGTACAGAACTTGTTGCTTACCTTGCTTATATACTTGATACCCTGGTCTTTGCATTTAGTAAATACCAGCATAAGAACCTGCTCATTCTTTACAATGCCAGAGGGACATTAGCAGATTCAGTAGGACATCATTTAAACAAACCAGAATATATTCAAATGCTAATGCCTCCACTGATCCAGAAACGGAACATGTTAAAGGATGAAGATAAAGATCTTTTCCCTTTACCTGAGTGTCCATTTTCAGTTGCCACGGTGCTGCAGTCTGGCTTCCTTCCATACTGTGAACCTATGTATCAGCATTGGGTAAACCTAGTACAGAAGACTCTTGCACAAGCCATGCTAAGCAATGCTCAACCAGATCAATATGAAGCTCCAGATAAAGATTTTATGATAGTGGCTCTTGATTTACTGAGTGGCCTGGCTGAAGGACTTGGAGGCAATATTGAACAACTGGTAGCCCGAAGTAACATCCTAACACTAACATATCAGTGCATGCAGGATAAAATGCCGGAAGTTCGACAGAGTTCTTTTGCCCTGTTAAGTGACCTCACAAAAGCTTGCTTTCAGCATGTTAAGCCTTGTGTAGCTGATTTCATGCCAATATTGGGAACCAACCTAACTCCAGAATTCATTTCAGTCTGCAACAATGACACATGAGCAATTGGAGAAATCTCCATTCAAATGGGTATAGAGATGCAGCCTTATATTTACCCTATGGTGTTGCACCAGCTTGTAGAAATCATTAACAGACCCAACACACCAAAGACGTTGCTAAAGAATACAGCAGTAACAATTGGTTGTCTTGGTTATGTTTGTCCTCAAGAGGTGGCCCCCATGCTACAGCAGTTTACGAGACCCTGGTGCACCTCTCTGAGAAACATAAGAGACAATGAGAAAAAGATTCAGCATTCCGTGGAATCTGCATCATGATCAGTGTGAATCCCCATGGCATAATCCAAGATTTTATATTTTTTTGTGATGCTGTTGCATCATGGATTAACCCAAAAGATTATCTCAGAGACATGTTCTGTAAGATCCTTCA
This sequence comes from Homo sapiens, assembly GCF_000001405.40. Lineage (NCBI taxonomy): Eukaryota > Metazoa > Chordata > Mammalia > Primates > Hominidae > Homo > Homo sapiens. The sequence continues at coordinate 20,481,428 of NC_000017.11, read as the reverse complement.
TGGATTTAAAAATCAAATTGGCAATGAAAATGGGAGGCATTTCTCTGACCAGTTTCCTCTTCCCTTAAAAGAGCATCTTGCAGCTTTTTATGGTGTTTAATGTAATACACTTAAGCTGCAGTCCCAAAATTAGGGGTCCTTCAGTCTTGGAGACTATGAGGGAGCCTCTGCACCCAGGGAAAATGCTACCCTTCATGGGGGGAAGGGTAAACCACTAGGGAATACAGTATAATCTCAACCCTACTGGGAGGGGCGGGGGGGAGGTGTTGCCATCACTGTATTAAGTTGATGTTGGGAAACGTTTTAACATCTGGAGGCTTTGTGGGTGGAAATATGTCTCCAGTTACAACTCCACAGTGGACGTGAAGAGGGGGAAAAAAAAGAAGAAAAAGAAAGAAAGTGTGGCCGGGCACAGTGGCTTATACCTGTAATCTTAGCACTTTGGGAGGCTAAGGCAGGTGGATCTGTTCAGGTCAGGAGTTTGAGACCAGCCTGACCAACATGGTGAAAAAAATACATCTCTATTAAAAAAATACATGCACACACACAAAAAATCTAGGCATGGTGGAGGGCACCTGTAATCCCAGCTACTTGGGAGGCTTAGGTGGGAGGATCACTTGAACCTGGGAGGTGAAGGTTACAGTGAGTTGATATCATGCCATGGCACTCCAGCCTGGGCAACAGAGCAAGACTCCTGTTTAAAAAAAAAAAAAGAAAGAAAGAAAGAAAGGGATGGGGGAATGCTTCATTAATGCAGTTGTTTAAATATATTGTGATTAATCCATACAACCAAACTGTAAAGATGTATCTTAAAGAACAAGGCACCTCTCTGTGTACTGAAATGTACTGTATGTACATTTGTACTGAAATATAAGCATAAGCAAGTATGTGCTGTCTATGTATGTGGAAAGAGTCTGTAATGCATTAAGAGGAGAAGGCGTGCATTAAAGGAGGTATTTCCCATTTTGGAGGCAGGGAGGAAATTCTGGCATGCATGTGTGTGAGAGAGAGTGCATTAGAATATGCGCAGAAAACACATCTGCGAACACATAGCGCAAATGCTTACTAATGGAGAGCAGGGGTGCTGGCCAGCTTCTACTCTGTTGTGTGTTTCCATTGTGTTAGACTTACTGATAATGAGTTCATGTGACTTTGTAATCCTAGAGAGGGGACAGCATGTGTGAAGGTCTGAAGCAATAGAATGCATTAGGGAAAATACTAAAATTGGCCCAAAAAGGAAAAAAGGATGGCAGGAAGAGATGAGAGTGGAGAGGAAGGCGGCAGGCAGATGGCCCAGGGTAGCCTACGCTCTGCCAAGGAGTGTGGGGTTCATCCCAGTGCAGCAGGCTTTCTTTGTCCTCACTGGCAGCTCCTCTCAGCCTATGAGGCTGCCTCCTTGTCTTCTGCCCACATCTGACTGTGGGAGTTTCTAATCTAATCGCTTAGGAGGCCATCAACTTTACTTAGGGCTGAAGAATGTCTCATTCACTCAATAAATATTTACAAGCCCCAGCACAGTGGCTCACGCCTGTAATCCTAGCACTTTGGAGGCCAAGGTGGGAAGATCACTTGGATCTAGGAGTTGGAGAGCAGCCTGGGCAACATAGCAAGACCCCATCTCTACGAAAAATAAGAAATTAGTCAGGCCTGGTGCTGCGCACCTGTGGTCCCAGCTACTTGGGAGACTGAGGTGGGAGAATCGCTTGAGCCTGGGAAGTCAAGGCTTCAGTGAGCCGAGATCTTGCCACTGCACTCCAATTTGGGCAACAAGCAAGACCTTGTCAAAAAAAAAAAGAAGGAAGGAAAGAAGGAAGGAAGGAAGGAAGGAAGGAAGGAAGGAAGAAAGAAAGAAAGAAAGAAAGAAAGAAAGAAAGAAAGAAAGAAAGAAAGACAGAGAAGGAAGGAAGGAAAGAAAGAAAGAGAAAGAAAGAAAGAGAAAGGAGAGGAGAGGAGAGGAGAAAGAAAATATTCATAAAGAGAAACTGGAATCCCACAGGCTCAGTCCTGATGAGGGTGGTCCTGCTTCCTCATCTCTTCTCTGTCTACACTGTCTCCTGTGACATCATCCATGTTCCTGGCTGTGTAAAGCATCTTCATGTGCCCCTCCCACGTCCTCTCTCCTGCTTGGTCTCCCTCTAAGCACAGACTTGGGAATATAACTGCCTCCTTGGCACTTTCATCTGATAGGCATCTCACATCAAAAACTCAACTCTGGCTTATAGCCACCCGCCAATCTGCTCCTGTTTTAATCTTCATCTCAGTAAACAGTGCTACCATCCACCCTGCTGCCCAGGCCAGACACCTAGGAGTCTTCTTTTTTTAATTAATTTATTTATTTGAGACAAAGTATTGCTCTGTCGTCCAGGCTGGAGTGCAGTAGCACGATCTCATCTCACTGCAACCTCGGCCTCCTGGGTTCAAGCAATTCTCATGCCTCACCCTCTGGAGTAACTGGGATTATAGGCGTGTGCCACTATGCCTGGCTAATTTTTGAATTTTTAGTGGAGATGGGGTTTTGCCATGTTGGCCATGGCTGGTCTCAAATTCCTGGCCTCAAGAGATCTGTCCACATCGGGCTCCCAAAGTGCTGGGATTACAGGTGTGAGCCACCACACCCAGCCTATTTTCACTCTCTTAATGATGTCTTTGGAAGTGCAAAAGTTTTGAATTTTGAAGAAGTCTAATTTATCAATTTTATTGTGATCTATCTATCTATAGAGCTATACATACAGACATTTCCTGATTTACAATGGTTCAACCTACAATTTTTGACTTTACTGTGGTATGAAAGCCATATACATGCAGCAGAAATCATGCCAAGTACCCATAAAACCATTCTGTTTTTCACTTTCAGTACAGTATTCCATAAATTATGTAAGATAGTCACCACTTTATTATAAAATAAGCTTCGTGTTAGATGATGTTGCTCAACTGTAGGCTAATGTATGTGTTCTGAGCACGTGTAAAGTAGGCTAGGCTAAGCTATGATGTTTCATAGGTTGTGTATTAGATGCATTTTTAACCTGATATTTTCAGCCTACGACGGGTTTGTTGGGATGTAACCCCATCATAAGTCAAGGAGCATCTGCATATAATGTTTTGTGTGTGCATATATTTTTAAAGTCTAGCTGACAGTATTTGGTAATGAATTAGATTTCGGGTAGAGAAGAATTAAGAATGATTCCAGTGGTTTTGGTCAAGCAAGTGTCTAAGATGGGGGAAGCCTACAGAAGCAGGAAGTTGGGGATGGGGGATCAGGAGCTCTGTTCTGGATGCACAGAGTTTGAGCTTGTCTGTTAGAAATCCACGCAGAGATGCTGAGAGGCAGGTGGAATCTGGAGTTCACAGTCATTTGATAGATTAGGTGGCTGAGTGAGGTTGCAGAAGACCAACAGGGGTGAGAGGGTGGACTGAAAGGAGGAGAGAATCGAGGCCTGCCCAGGGCCTCTGCACTTAGAGGTTAGACAATGAGGTAAACCCAGCAGGAAGATGAGAAGGAGTGGCCAGTGAGGTGCAGTTAATCTTCCTGAACATCAGTTTCCTTGTAATAACTAGGCAGCAGTCATGAACAGTACTTCCCTCATAGCGTGATGGTGAGGTTCCTGGAATGTGCGCTAAAAGTGCTTAGAGCAGCACCTTGCATGTAGGAGCTGCTCAGCGCATGTTAGCTAAACATGAGAATCTTCTCTCTAAACCTTCTAAAGAATTGTCAGACCTTGCCTGATGGCCTTAGCTATCAGGAGAGAAAATCTACAGAGAAACTTGGAGCCCACCTCAGCCAGGTGGCCTGGGCACTGTAGGATGCCAGCTGCTCAAGGGGAGGACTGGGCACTGCACTGAGTCTGCTGCCCAGAGCCTGGCACCATTGGGCTGGCTGAGGCACACTGCCAAGCCAGCAGGTTTGTGCAACAGACTTGGCTCCCAAAAGGGAGGCCCAGAAGGCCCAGACACCCTCAGGAATAGGGCCTGGCTGAAGACTGTGATTAAGGAGGTTTGAGTTTCAAGTCTGGTAATTTTGTTATTAAACAGAAATGTGACTTCATTTACATTCCTGAGCCTCGAAGCCTGGACTTAAAGATGAATCCCCAGTGGGTGAGGCTGGGTACCAGAAGTGGCTACATATTTGCAGAGCCCACCGAAAATGGAAATGTGGATCTCTTGGTCATGTGTCATGAGGGATGTCAAGGCAGTTATAGCAGAGCATTAAACCAAGTGTGGGGCCCTTAACACCGGGGCCCTCTGTGACTGCACAGGTCGTAGGCCCATGCAGCTAGTCCTGTCTAGCCCTGCCTGGTTTCCATCCACAATGAAGGAGGACAGAGTCTGGAAGGTTGAAGAGGGAGGCACTAGACATTCGTGGGTAGAGAGACCACTGTGGCTACAGTGTGGAGAATGGGTCACGGTGAGCAGGAGTGGTCAGAGCTGTTGGAGCTTTATGCTGAGATGGGATGAGGTCTGCCCAGATGGGTGGGGAGGGGACAGGAGAGGAGTGGGACCCTCTCTCTGGGGAGGTTGCCCTGCGGCTTCCTGTTTCTCCCTGTTTCCTGCTCATTGGGCCTTTTCTGCCTTCTCCTCAGGAATTCTCCTGGGACTGCCATTCTGGGATGTGCATATTCTTTCATTCCACTCCCTTTTGTAGAGATGGAAGCTCCCCCACTGGTGTGGGGCTGAGAGCAGATTCCCCCCCATTGACAGAAACGAAGACACCACAACCCCTCCCTCACGGCACCATTGCTATCCCTTCGGGAACTGTGGCTTGAGATGTCCTGTTGAGTCACTTCACACCAGCCTCTCACTGGCAACCTTTGAATGTCTATGACATTCAAAGACAGAAAAAGTAGGCCAGGCGCGGTGGCTCACGCCGGTAATCCCAGCCCTTTGGGAGGTCCAGGCGGGCAGATCACCTGAGATCAGGAGTTCGAGACCAGCCTGGCCAACAAGGTGAAAACCCGTCTCTACTAAAAATACAAAAATAATTAGCCAGGCATGGTGGTGGGTGGCTGTAATCCCAGCTACTTCGGAGGCTGAGGCAAGAGAATCACTTGAATCCAGGAAGCGTAGGTTGCAGTGAGCCGAGATCACGCCACTGCACTCCAGCCTTGGCAACACAGTGAAACCCCATCTCAGAAATAAATTAATAAAAGGGAGGTTCTCTAAAAAAATTCTTTATAAGTTGCATTATTCAATTCTGTCTTTGTGAAAATTAAATTAAATTTAAAAAGTTATATTGTACTTCTTCTGTCTTTGGTTTGTTTTTTTGTTTGTTTGTTTGTTTTGTTTTGAGACGGAGTTTTGTTCTTGTTGCCAAGGCTGGAATGCAATGGCGTCGTCTCAGCTCACTGCAACTTCCACCTCCTGGGTTCAAGCAATTCTCCTCCCTCAGCCTCCCAAATAGCTGGGATTACCGGAGTACACCACCAAGCCCAGCTAATTTGTGTATTTTTAGTAGAGTCCAGGTTTCACCATGTTGGCCAGGCTGGTTTCAAACTCCTGACCTCAAGTGATCTGCCCACCTGGGCCTCCCAAAGCGCTGGGATTACAGGCGTGAGCCACCGCATCAGCTTTTTTTTTTTTTTTTTTTTTTTAAGAGATGCTAGAAGTGTGGAATTTTATGTGAAATCTCCCAATTTTCAGAAGTTGGCTTACATTTTTAAAACAGTTTATAGGACAAACAAAACAAGTTTGCAGACTGGAATTGGCTGCAGGCCACCAAGTTGCAGGTTCTGACAGCTCCACTGTCACTGGGAGGCATCTGGAGCTGATTCCAAGCTGCTACGCCCAGCATCAGGAAGTGTCAACTGTATGTTCACCTTCCAGCTTTTGGCTGCCACACACTGTGTGCTCTAGTTACATGCTCTGACCCGCCACAGACCACGGTGGCTCTCCCCAAGGCCCAGAGTCCATGATGGGAGCGTGACATGGTGTCAGTGAGATTCAGTAGAAAGGGGGTCTCCCCCAACAGTGCAGCGAAAAGCAACAAGAGTTGGGGTGGGGACGTGGGGAACAACATGCTCACATGCAGGGCTCTGAGCTCTGTCCGCTCTGCCTAATTGTTCTTCTCTTGGTCATTGGACAGCCCCAGCCCCTGCAGTTCCTGCTCTCCTCAACAGGGCTGCCCAGTGAGAACCGGACCCTGTCTGCTAGTCTGCTAGAACACTTTACCTTCACAGATGCAGGATTAAATACCCTGGCATCACACAGTGAGGATGTTATTTTCAAGTGTCTTTCAACCCTTCTGATGACCTCAAGAAGAAAGGCTAGGCCAGGTGTGGTGGCTCAAGCCTGTAATCTCAGCACTTTGGGACACTGAGGTTGGAGGATCGCTTGAGCCCAGGAGTTTGAGACCAGCCTGCGCAACATAGCGTGACCCTGTCTGTAAAATAAATTAAATAAATAAATAAATAAATAATTTTTTAAAAAGAGAAAGGCTCAGGTTGATGCCAGTACCTCCTCTCCACCGGTGTTGATTGCATTTTTTTTTTTTTTTTTTGAGACAGAGTCTTGCATTGTTGCCCTGGCTGGAGTGCAATGGCTCACTGCAACCTCCGCCTCCTGGGTTCAAGTGATTCTCCTACCTCAGCCTCCCAAATAGATGGGATTACAGGTGCCTGCCACCATGCCTGGCTAATTTTTGTATTTTTAGTAGAGACGGGGTTTCACTATGTTGGCCAGGTTGGTCTTGAACTCCCGACCTCATGATCCACCCTCCTCAGCCTCCCAAAGTGCTGGGATTACAGGTGTGAACCACCATGTCTGGCCACATTTTTTTTTTTAAGAGATGCGGGTCTGTTTCTGTCACCCAGACTGGACTGCAGTGGCTATTCACAGACATAATCATAGCATGCTACTGTGTGGAACTCCTAAGCTCAAGCGATCCTCCTGCCCCAGCCTCCCAAGCAGCTGGGACTACAAGTGCACACCACCACGCCTGGGTCTGATCTCACTTTTAACACAAAAAGGGCAGGCTTCAGACTCAGAACTTTGGGTTGACCACATTATCCCATCTGGAATATAATAGCAGTTGAGGGGGAAGCAGGCTCAATTCAATCAGGCCAAGCACCTGCATTCTTTTAATTATGTACATTGCAGAGACAGAGCAGGTGTGTGGATTCTGGAGCAAAACAATGGGAGACTGTAAGTGAGTATTTTAGCTTTTTCTTCCTGATACCTTTATATACACTTGCAGAGTTACCACAGCAACCTAGCAGTGATTGCCTTCCTCCCCCCACCTTTTTTATGTGGTAAAGTGTACAGAATATAAAAGTTATCATTTAAACCATTTGGAAATGTACAAATTACTAGCATTAAGTACATTCACACTGTTATGCAACCATCACCACCATCCATCTCCAGAACCTTTTCATCTCCAAATGAAACTCCCATTAAACACTAACTCCCCTTTCCCCAGTCCCCTGAGTCCATGGGGGACACCAAGACAGCCCTCAGCCCCGCTACGGGTTCCTGCACCTCCTGGAACCTCCGTCTCCTTGTTGATAAGGGAAGTGGGATCTTGCTACTTGGCAGGCTTGTGGTGATGACCAAATCAATGAAGTGTGTGAAGCACTTAGCACATAAAGTGAATGTTCAAAGCCTGATGGCTGCCCTCATCCAGCCAGGATCTGCACCTCCCTTCCAGGATCACTAAGTCCATTCCCAGAAGGGAAGCTGTGCATTGATTGCAGTGACCCGGTGATGCCTTCTTTCCAGCCCACGTGAGCTCTGGCAACGCATCACGTTCAATGCTCGCAGCATGTGGACGGCCCGTGACAACACTCTAGTTTCCAGTGTGAATGTAGATTTCCACTTCCCGCCCACATCCCACCTTTAAAATTGTTGGTTGTTATTTCAGTCAGTTTCTAGGCTGGGAGGCAGAGCCGCACTGAAGAAGTAGACACACCCTTCTCAGTCACCTTCTCATCACCAAGTAGGAACTGAGCATCTACTGTCTTTCTCCCTTGAGCAAATGGCTGGACAATACGCCTCAGGAATAGGGCTCATCAGAGGGAGGGTGCGGGAGGCCTGGGTTCTGAATCTTACCCATCTCTCCTTCGTTGGGGTATTGAGCAAGCCTTTAGTGTGGAAGGAAACAGGTCCTGAGGTGTGCAGGAAGTGGCCTGGGATTTTCCATATTTCTGTAACAGCACAACTATCACTGCAGCCAGGTCATTTATGATGGCCGCTGGGAGGACACTGAGAAGCAGCTGCTACCTGTGGAAAGAACTGTAGGATTTTAGTTGATGAGAACCACTGAGGGATATGGCTGCCAAAATAATAAAATAATCTTAGGTGACATCACTGGTGGTAGAGTGTGTAGAAACAAGGGAGGTGAAAGCCCACACTGCAGTGTGTTGGTCAGATTCCTTGGGGGACAGGGTCTAGGTCCGGCACATGCCAGGAAGCCTGGCCAAAGGGAGAGATGGTCACTGACTGCCTACTACGTGGCAGGATCATGCTAGGTGCTTCACATGTGTTCTCTCATTTCACATCAGGGAAGTCATGTGAGAAAATATCACCCCCATGTACAGAAGGGAAAACTGGGGGTTACTGCAGTGAAGTAGCCTGCACAGCATCATCCCGCCTGGAAGTGAAGGAGCTTGGAATTGGGGCCAGGCCTGGCTGACTCCCAAAGTGTGTGCCCTTGTTGGACACTGGGGCTCCCCTAGAAGCTGGCGTTCCACTCTTTCATACCATGTTGCATTCTTCTCTGGGGATCCCCAGATACAAAAGAGAATGGACTCAGTGTTCCTTCCTGTTCAGCAGAGCAACCCCCACCCCTCATTCCCTGCCACCCCTCTGGAATCAGCCCTGGATGAGAGTGAGTTGATAGGACTAGGAGCTGAGCTGTGCCATTCTGGGCTTCCCACCCCCCAGGCACAGAAAACAGTGATCAAAATGAAACCACTTGGCAGAACCCTCCTCACTCCCTAGGGACAGAGTGCAGTCACTCAGGCCCATGTTCCCTGCAAAGACGTTGAGGTCCGTGAAAGTAGGTCCATCCCATGAGGGGGCATCTGAGAAGAGAGGTGGGGTGGTGCCGTGGTGAGCAGCACAGACTCCATTGCGGGACTGCCCGGGCTGAGTCCCGGCTCTGGCACTTTGCCTCTGTGTGACTGTGGGCAAGTTGCTTCACCTCTCCGTGCTTTTGTTTCTTTCCAGGTAGAATGGGGATTATTATTTGTGCCTGCTTCATAAAACTGACATAAAGTTAATTGTAAGACACCTAGAATGATGTCCAGCACATAAGCAACTATATTAACTTTAACAAAAAATCTTGGCCGGGCACGGTGGCTCACACCTGTAATCCCAGCATTTTGGGAGGCCGAGGTGGGTGGATCACCTGAGGTCAGAAGTTCGAGATCAACCTGGCCAATATGGTGAAAGCTTGTCTGTACTAAAAATACAAAAAATTAGCCGGGTGTGGTGGTGGGTGCCTGTAATCCCAGCTACTCAGGAGGCTGAGGCAGGAGAATCCTTGAACCCTGGAGGGGGATCTTGCAGTGAGCTGAGATGGCACCATTGCACTCCAGCCTGGGCGACAGAGACAGACTCTGTCTCAAAAAAAAAAAAAAAAAAATCTCTGTGCACTTCCTCCTTGAAGCCATGTAGCCCAGCTGTATATCCATCTTACCCTTTGGAATATGAGATGCTTAAGGCTGGGACTATGTCCAATTCTCTCTGTACCCCAGTGCCCAGAGGAGTCCAGCACTTACTTATTGTCTGCGGCAGGCATTGAATTTTCCAAATATTCCTGGTCCCAGGTGCTCTTTCAACCTCTTGCTGCCTCCTGTCTGGAGGTGAGGTCTCTTTCCCCTCCCCTTGAGCCTGGGTGGTGCTCATGTGATTGCCTCAACAAATAGAATGTGGTGGAAATGGCACTGGATGGCTTCTGAGGCTAGGTTATAAAAGGGATGTAAGTTCCACCTGGCTCTCACTGGGAATGCTCACCCGTGGACTCCAGCCACCATATTGTGGGGAAGCCCAAGCCATGTGGAAAAGCCACTTGCAGGTGTTCTAGTCAATGGCCTCAGCTAAGATCTTAGCCAAGAGCCAATATTAAGTGGTAGACCTGTGGTATTAAGAACATTCATGCTGTTATACAATTATCACTACCATCCATCCGCAAAACTCTTTTCATCTTGTAAAACCAGAACTCTATGCCTATTAAATGATAAGTCTTCATTCCCCCTCCTACCAGCCCCTAACCACCATTCTACTTTCTTTTGTTGATTCTGGCCACTCTAGGTATCTCAGACAAGTGAAATCATACAGTGCTTTTTCTTTTTCTTTTTTTTTTTTTTTGAGACAGAGTCTCATTTTGTTGCCCAGGCTGGAGTGCAGTGGTGCGACCTCAGCTCACTGCAACCTCTGCCTCCCAGGTTCAAGCGATTCTCCTGCTTCAGCCTCCCGAGTAGCTGGGACTACAGGCACTCATCACCGCACCTGGCTACTGTTTGTAATTTTAATAGAGACGGGATTTCACCATGTTGGCCAGGCTGGTCTTGAACTCCTGACCTCAGGTGATTTTCCCACCTTGGCCTCCCAAAGTGCTGGGATTACAGGTGTGAGCCACCGCACCCGGCCTACAGTGCTTGTTCTTTTATGGCTGTTTTATTTCACTTAATGTTCTCAAGGACCATCCATGTTGTGGCATATGCCAGAATTTCCTTCCTTTTTAGGGCTGAATTGTATGTCTGGCCCACATTTTGCTGACCACTCATCCGTTGATGGACACGTGATGCTTTCACCTCTTGGCTTTTGTGAATGATGCTGCTACAAACGTGGGTGTTCACATGTCTCTTTGAGTTCCTGCTTTTGGTTATTTGGGGGATATACCCAGAAGTGGAATTGCTGGATCATATAGTAATTCTATGATGAGGTTTTTGAGGAACAGCCACGCTGTTTTCACAGGGTTCCAGTTTACTCACATTCTGGCCAACAGTTGTTATTTTCTGGATTTTTTTTTTAATCATAGGCATCCTAATGAGTGTGAGGTGGCAGACTCCCTCAGTCTCTAGGGCAGAGAAGAGAGAGCCTCTGAGAAGGGTCTGTGACTTTGAACACTAGAGCTCTGAGCAGGAACATTCCCGAGGGCTGCTTCTAGTCTCCTGAAGACCAGAGCTAACCACTGGGAATGGATTGTGGTGACTGAAGGGTGCCGAAGTCAGAACTCTCAGTGGCCTGGCACTGTGCCTCGAAGTGCCTCCCTACTGTGTTGATTAGTCTAAAAACATGTCAGCCTTTGGGTATGACCTTACTGGGGCCCCTCCAGACAGGGCATGGAGCAGAGGGCCCTCCTTTATGGGCTGGACTCACTAGTGAAGCTGCTTAACTGTGACTCACCTCCAAGGCTCAAGGTGATGCTAAGGTGCTAAACTGCTGGAACTCTTAGCTGTGCCTGTGTCTCCTTGGGCTCTGGGAGATTTTTTCTTTTAGCAGTATTTTATGGCGATATTGTCTAGGTAGAATAAAATGTACAGATCCTGGTTTTCTGTTTGAGTTTTGTTTTGTTTTGTTTTGAGACAGGGTCTTGCTCTGTCACTCAACCTGCAATGCAGTGGCACGATCATAGCTCACTGTGGCCTCAGCCTCCCAGGCTCAAGCAATACTCCTGCCTCAGCCTCCCTGTAGCTGGGACTACAGGCATGCACCACCATGCCTCACTAATTTTTTTGATTTTTAGTACACAGAAGGTCTTGCTATGCCGCCCAGGCTTGTCTCAAACTCCCGGACTCAAGCAATTCTCCTGCCTCAGTCTCCCAAAGTGCTGAATTACAGGTGTCAGCTGCTGCACCCAGCCTCAGCCTGTTGTTAATGGATGTAAACACCTGTGGGACCACCACCCAGAACCAGATCCAGAACATTTCCAGCCTCTCGAAGACTCCTTCGTGCCCCTCCCAGTCAGTGACTCCCAAGGGTAACGCCACTCTGGCCTGTTGTTCAACTTGACTCGAATGGAATTCTCACAGCATGTGTCTGTTTGGATCTGGCTTCTTCCGCTCAGTTGCAAGGCTCATTGACGTTTCCTGTGGCCTAGCTCCTTTTTATTGCTGAGGGCCACCCTGTGGTGTGAAAACCACAATTCATTTCTCCCTTCTTCTGTTGGTGACTATTTGCATTGTTACCAGCCTGGGGCTATGACGAGTAAAGCTTTTAAAAACAGACAAATATGTTTTCCTTTCTCTTGGGTAATTTTTCAGAAGTAGAAAAGCCAGCAACTTTGAAGTAGATATTTGACTATATTACAACTCACCAAGCAGTTTTTCTTTCTTTTTATTTTTTTTATTTTTTGAGACAGAGTCTTGCTCTGTTACCTAGGCTGGAGTGCAGTGGCGTGATGAGGGTTCACTGCAGCCTCGGCCTCCTGGGCTCAAGTGAGCCTCCCACCTCAGCCTCCCACATAGCTGGGACCACAGGTGTGCACCACCACACCTGGCTAATTTGCCTTTTAAATTATATGTAGAGACAGGGTCTTCCTATCTTGACCAGGCTGGTCTCAACTTCTTGGACTCAAGTGATCCTCCCGCTTCAGCCTCCCAAAGGGCTGGGATTACAGGCATGAGCCACCACGCCCTGCCCATTTTTCTAAGTTGGATTATTTTACACTCAAGTCTGCTATGAATGATAGTTCCAGTTGTTCCATATCCCAATCAATTGGTGATTGCTACAAATGACGTGACGTGATGAAAATATTCCTGGTGTTCGAGAGGATTGCAAAGAATTTCCCTTCTTTTCTCTCCTTTCTGCTCCCCTTGTACTGTCTACTCCTTAACTTGGTCAAATTCTACTTGATCCAGAACATAATGGGATGGTGAGTGCAGACGACACACACGGCCTCAGTCTATGGGAACATCTCAAAGGAGTTCGTCTGCAAATTCTAGTGCATCTAGGCAGAACACAGGAAGGAAGAGAGGTGCAGACTCACGTATGGCCTGGGGCACCTGCCATCCCCTCGAGCCTGTATGGTCCTTACCCGCCCATCCCCAGCTTGAGTTCTGGGCCTTCTCGCCAGCACATCGTTGGGACCTGGTCAACTTCAGGTAAGTTTATTTCATGGCTCCCTCTCCCCTCTGCAGCCTATCCTGTTATTCTCTGTTTCAGCCAATTATTTCCCCTAACTAGGTGCTGAAGCCAATTAAAGGCAGTTCATGCCATATGTTCCTTCCCACTCCCATGTCACTTGAAATGTTCTATTATGTCCAAGACTTCTCTCCCCATCCTAAAGCTCACAAAATAAGGATGGAGAAGAGAAGAAAGAGAGATTCACTGAGGGGGAGGATCAGAAGCTCCTGGGCACCCCATACTCTAGAATAAAAATCTTCATTATAGTGTTTTTCATGCAAAATATTCCCTTCTACATAATTATGTTTTAACATGAAGAATAGAAATTTAAAGAGGAGAAATACTTCTTGAAGATTCTGAGAATCTTCATATAGCTCAGGCTGCCACGAATTAGCTGTGTGACCTGGGGCATGTCCCTCAGACTCTGAGCCTCAGCTTCTCTATATGTAAAATGGGTTGAAGCCGCCCTTCCCCACAAGCACCCTGTGCACAGGCAATGCCCAGCCCCATTATTTTCTGGAACCAGTGGCCAAGCATGCTTAGGACACCCAGCCACATACTTCTGGGCAGTGTCATCTGGCAACTCACTGTCATGTCAGTGTGGTCAAGCATTGTAGACCTCTATGAACCAAATATGCTTCAGGCTGGGGTTGAGCACAGGAGAGGGAGGAGGGAAAGGTCACTGGGGCTGGGAGTGCCTACTTCCCTCTATGAGTGTCACCCCAGTTCACCCAACACCCTACCTTTCTCTCTCTGGACCCACTTCCTCTTGCTGCCGGCTCCTCCCCATTGAATAACAGCCAAGTTGCTTTGGTTTCTATTACTTTGTTAAGTCATTCCTTCTGCAAAGGACTGCCTGGCAGGTGTGAAAGGCAGCGGTGGCCACAGAGGCGGTGGAGATGGCCTTCAGCGGTTCCCAGGCTCCCTATCTGAGCCCAGTGAGTTCCAGGGCCGTGGGCACAGGGCTGCCTCAGCCAGGGGGACACAGTTATGGGGCTCTGAGGAAGCAACTCCTGGGTGGCAGGAGACAGGGGTGGGGGCATCCCAAAGAGAACACAAGCAGGGCAGAAATGTCAGTGGGGGTCGTCCTGGCACAGCTGTGCCATGCTGAGCTCACTCATGCCTGGAGGGATGCTCCTCCCATGAATCATGGGTTTGACAGTGTTGGCTGAGCTGTCGTGTCCTGTCCTGTGCGCTCAGGGGAAGAGGTGTAGAGTGGGATGGTTTGTGTAAAGAGGAAGCAAGCATGCTTCTGGGACAGTAAGGATGCTACCCGGCATGGTAGTTAAGGGTGCGTACTGTGGAGTTGGCCTCCCTGGGTCCAGCTATTTACTGGCTGGTGGTCTCTGGGCCTCAGTTTCCATATCTGTGAAGTGGGAATAATACTTGAGCCCCCCACTCCCAGGGTTGGGATATGGATTAAGGAAGTAGTGTATCTAGAGTGTTTGAACAGTGCCTGACACACTGTAGGTGCTTTGGGAGTGTTTCATGTTATTGGGAGTCTGGGGGCAGCAGGGAAGGCCTCCCGAGGAGGTGTCTGTGCTCTGAAGGGTGAGGCGGAGTTAACCAGGCATAGGCATGTCAGGGCATCTGTAGACGGACAGTCTCAGAGGTGACGGAGGCAGGGACTGTCCCTGCAGTGTGGGGTCAGAGGGCTGCAGGTGCCTTGCTGAAACTCTGTGAGGTTTATGAGTCCCCTTCATTCACGGAAAATCCAAGGTTCAGGGAGGCAAAGGCCAGTTGCCAAATGCCCCCAGATGGGAGTGGCAGCCCCAGGAGCCCAGGAGCCTTCAGGGGTGACTGTGTCCTGGGCTGGGTCCTGTCACAGGATCTCACCCTGCCTTGGCAAAGAGCTTCCCGAGGGGCTGGAGTGGGTGGGCTGATGGGCCCTTCCTGAGTGGGGAGACAGAATGGGGAGGGTGGGCAGAGGCAGGGTGCTGAGGGCAGGGAAGCTGCCAGGGGCCACCTCAGCAGAGGCCAGGGTCGGGCTTGGGTGCCCTCTGGTGATACTGAGTCCAGAATGAGGCTGCCTATGTTCTGGTCTGCAGAGCTCAGCTCTGCTTTCTAGACTCCAGAGAGGAAGAATGGAGAAAGGAGGCCTGTTTCCTCCTGGCTGTCACCAATGACCCCTCAGCCACCCTATGGAAGCCCCCAAGGTAGAACCTGCATAGAGGGAGTGGGGGAAGCTGGAACGGGCTGCCGGTGTTGGGCGAGCCTTAGAGTCAGCGTATGCCACCTTGAGCATGTCACCCCGTTTCTGGTTTTCTGCCAGAGAGGGGATCCCAGAGCTTCTTCCAGGTTCTGACATATTATTATTCTGGTAACTGGTTTTTACTTTCTAATCTTTGGATTCAGAAGGAAAATCCTCCTATGCACATCAGAGAGTTTGAGAGAGTTAAAGCGGGGCCTTGGAGCTCAGACAAGAAAGACGATCAGTGCAGCCCCCACAGGTGTCCAGAGCTCCCCTCTACCCTACGGGGGCTCCCCTGGGTTGGGACACTTGAGCCTCACTCGGTGACCCATCTGGCAGTCGGAGCCACGCTTTCTCCACATGCCGACAGTGGGGGAAGGTCACGCGGTTCACTGTCCTGCTGAGGAGGGCTGAGTGCCATGAGGGCCTGGCTTGGAAACCTCACTCCCACTTCTTGTCTGGCCTCATCTAGCCCAGCCTCTTTGGAGGGCTGGGGGGAAGCTGGAACCACCTGCTGTGTGGCCCAGGAAGCACTGCGAGAGCCAGGAATAAGGACGTTCCGAGCTTCCTCATGAGAGGAAGCCTGTGTGGTGGTTAGAAGCGTGGGTGCTGGGGTTCAAATCCCAGCTCTGTTGCCGACCAGCTGTGTAGCTTTGGGCAAGTGACTGAACTTTTCTGTGCCTCAGTTTCCTCATCTGTAAAAGTGGCCGGGGTTGCTGTGAGGATAAATGTTCCCGGTCACCCCCAGAGCCCTCATGGACACACATGGATCCAAATGCCACAGCAGCCTTAGCTGGCCAACTTAAAACAACACATTTGTGCTTACAGTGTTGGAGGTCAGAAGGCTAAAATCAAAGTGTCATGAAAGGTGGCCAGCAGGACCGTGGAGCCTCTGAGGCAACAGGGCACTTTGGCTAAGGGCCACGTACTGGCTCCAGCTGGCAGGCAGTCTCGGCCAGCCAGGCTGAGCTCCCTACTCCTGGGGCCAGGCCTTGGTGTCCTCTGGTGATGCTGAGTCCAGAATGAGGCTGCCCACATTCTGGTCCGCAGGGCTCAGCTCTGCTTTGACTTCCAGGTAGGAAGAAGAGGGAAAGTCCCCGGTCTCTGGGCACAACCAGGAACAGAGAGCAAGTTCTGACTCAGCAGAGGGATTGATTTGTTCCATGCAAAGAGCTGCACTGTCAAGGCCGACATGGGCCAGAGGCTCAGCACATGGCATCGCACCCCGTCCTCTCAGAACGCTGCCAGCCAGGGACTCAGCACATGGCATTCCACCCAGTCCTCTCCAGAATGCTGCCAGCCAGGGACTCAGCACACAGCATTGCACCCAGTCCTCTCCAGAACACTGTCGGGTGGTGTTACTGCCCTGCCATTCAGAGGAGGGAAGTGGGGCACAGGCAGGTCAAGTGACTTGGCCAGTGTCAGAATTGCTAGTGTACAGAGCTGGGAGGCGAGCCCAGGCCCATGGGACCACAAATCCAACACAAAAATCCATCCTCCTGCACCCTACGGAGCAAAAGTAGGTCCAGTTGTTTTCCTGGGTTTCCTGGACACACGGATCTAAATTCCACAGCAGCCTTGGCTGGCCAATCTTAAAACAACAAATTTGCTTTCTTAATGATTCTGGAGGGCAGATGTTAAAATCATCGTGTGAGCAAGGTTGTTTCCTTCCGGAGGCTCCAGGGGAGAATCTGTTTCTTTTGCTTTTCCAGCTTCTAGAGGCTGCCTGCCTGCCTTGGCTTATGACCCCTCCTGCCATCTTTAAAACCAGCAGCTTTGTCTGGGTGCAGTGGCTCATGCCTGTAATCCCAGCACTTTGGGAAGCTGAGGCAGGAGGATCTCTTTAGCCCAGGAGTTGGAGACCAGCCTGGGCAACAAACTGAGACTGTGTCTCTACAAAGAATAGACAAAAATTAGCCAGGCATGGTGGTGCATGCCTGTAGTCCCAGCTACCTGGGAGGCTGAGGTGGGAGGATCGCGTGAGCCTGGGGAAGTGGAGGCTGCAGTGAGCTGAGATCATGCCACTGCACTCCAGCCTGGGTGACAGAATGAGATCCTGTCTCAAAAAAAAAAAAAAAAAAAAAACACAACAAACAAACAAACAAAACCCCCAAAACCAGCTTCTTGCTTCTGTTGTCACATCTCTTACCTCTGACTTTGATCCTCCTGCTCCCTTTTATAGGACCTTTGTGATTACATTGGGACCACCTGTATAATCCAAGACAATCTCCCCATGCCAAAATTATGCATTTAATCACATCTGCAAAGTCCCTTCTACAACATATTCACAGTTTCCGGGGATTCGAATGTGGATGTTTCTGGGGGGTCGCCCACTGATAACCAGTATTATAAGTTTCTTGTAAATCCTTCCAGAGATATTTTATCTATAAATAAATAAATGCAAGTCCATAGCCTTCCCCTACCCACTTTTTATGCAAATGGCATTATTCCATATCGGTGCTCAGAGTTTTCCTCTTTTTCTTTTTTCTTTTCCGTCTTCTTTTTCTTTTCTTTTGAAAGCTACACAGAACTTATTCTATTATATGGAAATACCCTAATTTATTTCACCTTTTCCCTGTTGGAAGACTTTTAGGCTCCTTCCAATGCTTTGCTTTATAATCCTTTGTGTTATAATGCTGCAATGAATAACCTTGTTTGTTGGATGATATTCAATTTAAAATCTCATTTTTCAGGACAGGCATAGTGGTTCATGTCTGAAATCCCGGCCCTTTGGGAGGCCAAGACAGAAGGATCACTTGAGCCCAGGTGTTCAAGACCAGCCCTGGCAACATATCGAGACCTGGTCTTTTCAAAAAAATTTGAAAATTAGTGGGGTATGGCTTGGTGGCCTGCACTTATTTGGTCTCAGCTGCTCGGGAGGCTGAGGTGGGAGGATTACTTGAGCACAGGAGGTGGAGGCTGCAGTGATCCATGATCACACTCCTCACTGCACTCCAGCCTGGGCAACAGAGTGAGAACCCATCTCAAAATAAAATAAAATAAAATAAATAATAAAATAATCTTGTTTTTCAGAAATTGGGGGTGCCATTTAAGACATTTTGAAACCTCACAGAACTTTTTTGGGGAACTTGTTGCCTTGGAGATTAGCCTGCCCTGTCCTGCCCCCATGACCTGTACTTGGTCTTTCTCCCTCCTGGCTTCCTTAGTTAAGCCTTGTGTGGACTTGCGAGCCCATGTCCATCACTCTCTGCCTTCAATTCTAGGTGCTGTGGTGTGAATACGCTTGAGTGGAGGCCGCATGCTTCCCAGGAGGGTGTGTATTTTCAGCGTTGTCTCTCATGATAGAATGAAAGGCTCTGGAGGGAATCACAGGCTGCCACAAACAGGCAAGGGGAAAAATCTTCCACAGACGTGTTTCAGGGACAACAGGCTTCCCAATCCTAGCCCATGCTGGCCCATAACTGGATCAGGCTGACTCTCCTTCCCCCACACCGCTGGTGTAGACAGGGACAAGAAAGAGAAGTCAGAGACACAGAGAAGCTGTGATTTGCTTGAGGTCACCAAAGTATTTAATGGCAGAGTTCAGACCTGACCTGAGGGGCAAGAAAAGACAACCCCCTCAAATCCATGGGGAGCAGAGACTATCTGGATCAGATCTCAGATTGCCTGGGGCTTTCACGGTGCCAGGTGTGTACACTGAGCTAGGATGGGTTTCCCAGGGTGCTGTGTGGTCACATAACTCAACAATACAGACCAGAAAGCAGTGACCAGTAGGCTGAATTTGGCTAGTGGGTGTTTTCTGTTTGGCCTACACAGTGTTTACTTTAACTTGTTATTATAGGAAATTCAAACATGCAGAGAGAATTGTACCATCAACAACACACACCCATCACTCTGCTCCAACAATGATCAACTCAGGCCTATCTTGCTTCATCCTGTACCCTCCCTCGCTTGCTTCTCTTCCCACCTTCAGATATGCGGAAGCAAATCCAGAGATTTCATTCCATTGTAAATATTTCATTGTGTATCTCTACAATGTGGGAATTTGGGGAGTTTCATTTGAGACAGGGTCTCGCTTTGTTGCCCAGGCTGGAGTGCAGTGGTGCAATCGTGGCTCACTACAGCCTCGACCTCCCAGGCTCAAGTGATCCTCCCACCTCAGCCTCCCAAGTAACTGGGGTTAAAGGTGTGCACCACCACATCTGGCCAATTTTTTTATTTTTTGTAGAGATGGGGGTCCCACTATGTTGCCCAGGCTGGCCTAAAACTCCTGGGCTCAAGTGATTGTTTT
Organism: Homo sapiens; assembly: GCF_000001405.40. Classification (NCBI taxonomy): domain Eukaryota; kingdom Metazoa; phylum Chordata; class Mammalia; order Primates; family Hominidae; genus Homo; species Homo sapiens. Next base: position 20,461,926 of record NC_000017.11, on the reverse strand, counting down.
ACCTCAGCCTCCCAAAATGCTGGGATTATAGATGTGAGCCACTGTGCCCAGTCAGGAACTTTTACATAATCCTTTTTGACAAAAGATTTCCCCCAAGAAATTAGAAAGTTTTACAAAAAAAAAAAAAAAAAAAAATTCAGGTTTCTGTCTCATCTTAAAAATTTGGAAGTTCTGCCAATACTAAGCCCAGATGGTAATCATTGGTTAGTGCTGAGAAGATGTTGACTTTTTAGATGAGGCGTGTGACGTCTACTTTGCCACAGTCCCCACCACTCCCTACCTGGCCATCTGACTCATACACATCACCTGCCTGGCTTCTTTAGGCATTTAATTTGTGTAGGAAATTGACCTAAAGGAGATATTAGAGAAGACATTAAAAACTTGAAGAATGTGAAAATCAGCCATGAGATAGAACTGTGCTTTAATGCAGGTTATAGAACCACACCGGATATGAGGCATTTCGGAATAAACTTTGAAGATTGGAAGTACCAGTTTGTGAATTTTGCTCAGAGAGACCAAGGTGGGGGTGGGTGACAGTGGTGAAGCGTCTCCTCTGTGCCAGTCTCTTCTACCACAGGCTTTTTCTCACAAAATCATCAATCATATGCAGTAGGAGAAACACCTTCCTATTTTACAGATGAGGAAACTGAGGCAAAGAGAGGTGAAATAGGCTTCCCAAGGCCACTCAGGTCAGGAGCAGCAGAGTTAGGATTCAGACCTGGAGTCCGCCTGACTCCAAAACGATGCATGCCTCACCATGGCCCATAGCTCCTTTAAAGAGGCGCGGAAGAGAGAATTTGACAAAGTGCTTGCCCACGGGGCCTGGGATGGGTGGGGAAACTACGCTGGGGCTCGGGGCTGCGGAGGGCATCTGGGAAGAGGCTCTGCTGAAGGTGGTCAGGAGGGCAAAGGTCATGGTGGCCATTGTTATATGGTGGTGGTGGGGAGAGGTGCATGCCTTCTTCTTGACACTCTCTGGTGACCCTCTCGGTGGAACCTGCAGACCCTTGATGGGTCCCTTTGTTCCCTTGGGCCTCCTGAGTCCCCAGCCAGGGCGCTGGGCACTTTGCTGGGAGCTTGGCATGGGGTCCAGCAGCCCCATTGCTACCTAGTTCCTTACCAGCCCAGGGCGTCTGCCTGCTACTTCCCTGCCTGGAAGGAAGGCCTTCCGCCTGGAGCGTTCCTGGTGTGGCCTCCGCTGCCTCTCAGACTCTCACACAAGCTCAGCTCCCTGTCGCGTCCTCTCAGGGCCAGGATTCTCCTTATCACAAGCTTAGACTGTCTGAGTAACTAATTGGATTTGTGTCTGCCTCCACACAGGACCCTAAGACCCGTGGGGCTGAGACTCCTTCTGTCCTGGTCACAGCTGCACCCTAGCCCCTCGCATGGTGCGGTCACACCCAGGCCAGCCACTGACTAGCCCCGAAGGGGAGCAAACAGGAGGCCGGCCACCTGACTGAGGCCCCATGTCTTCTCCCTGCAGGCCGTCCCCTTTTCTGGGACTATCCAAGGGGGTCTCCAGGACGGATTTCAGATCACTGTCAATGGGGCCGTTCTCAGCTCCAGTGGAACCAGGTGTGTGTATATGGATGGAAACGTTTCACTCCAGCCTCGTCCCTTAGTAAAGCCACTGTGCCTGTGAGCCTCGGTTAGTTCAAACAACAACATCCAAGCTCACGTGCCTGGCGCAGGGGAGACCCAATGCATCCTTAACCCATGCCACAGGACAGCACTCCACAGGCACAACCTGCACCCAGGGATGCCATTAACCTGGACTCCAGGATGAATGGGGCCCTGGGAGCTGAAGGTCTAAGGAAGGAGTGGGATGGTCAGAGTTGGATGATTATGTTCTGGGCTGAACCTTGCACACTGTGACTGAGAGTTGCAAAAATCAAACTTCCTCCGTTTCCCATAACTGCTTTCATCCACTCTGAAGCTCTCCTTCTGCTGACATGAAAATACTGAAAATTGACATCCGAAGTAATTTGGTCTCTTTCGGTTTCAAGGCCTTTTCTGGAAACTACTAAGTCCATTCAAAATACTAACATTGTATCAGGGCTGTTTCCCACCCCTTCCTCCCTCCCAAGGTGGGCTGTCTGGGAACAGAGAGGAGCTCACGTGGCTTGTCAGTGGCTGGGAGGGCCCCCGACCCTCACGCAGGCCTGGCTGACCCCTGCCGAGGCATCCTGACTGGGTGGCACAGAGGTGTGCAGCTCTCTCCTGGTTTAGTGAGGGACCACGGGTGGCTGCCTGCTGAAGTCTGCGGGGCCCACAGAAGAGCCTCTGGACTCATGGCTCTCTCTCGGAAGCCTCTCTGCCTCAGTCCCAGTGGACCTCTCTTAAGACCCTCTGGGCCTCGTAGATGCCAGCTCAACCTCAGCTCCGCCACCTAGATTCTTGATGACCTCCTCCGCCATTGCTATCCTGCTGTCGGACTTCTCTGAGAGCCTGCAGTGCCCCCAGGAGATGCCAAGGGCAGGGAGGCCCTGATCCCCCTGAATCCTCCAACCGGGGGAATCAGAACCATGCCTCTGATCTTCCACCCCTTCCTCTTTCCCTCTCCCTCTGTTTCCCCCACCTCCCAGCACCAGGAGGGCTTCCCACTCCCATCCTGTTGCACAGAGACAGATCCTACCTCAGAGGGCCCTCTCCTCTCAGGAGCTTTCTGTCTCTCCCTTCCTTGGGGCAGGAATTTCCAAAGGGCCACAGGAATGAAGCTGAAGGTCTCCAAAGGAAAAAAATACATGCAGTGATATTTCAAATGCAATCTTCTCCATTTATTCATTTAATTAATTTATTTTTTTCTTTAGAGACAGGGACTTTTTTCTTTCACCCAGGCTGGAGTGCAGTGGTACGATCATAGCTCACTGCAGCCTCGACTTCCTGGGCTCAAGGGATCCTCCCATCTCATCCCCCAGAGCAGCTGGGACTATAGACATGCATCATGATGTCTAGCTAATTAAATATATATATATATCTTTTTGTTTTTTAAGTAGAGATGAGATCTCGCTCTGTTGCTCAGGCTGGTCTTCAACTCCTGGGCTCAAGTGATCCACCCACCTTGGCGTCCCAAAGTGCTGTGATTACAGGCGTGAGGCACTGCGCCCGGCCCCGATTTCACATGCTCTTTACATTTGTTCTCTTCTTTCGCACTTAATCAGGCATGTGCTGGCCTCCAACAAGTGTCCACTGGCACAGAAGCCTCTCTCTTCTAGGTGTGCTTAACAACTTCCATCTTTGTTACCAACTGGTAATCACTTTCCAGGACCTATGCTTCTTGTTTGCTAATGCCAGCACTTTCCCTTAGCCATTTTCTACTTATGTTTAGAAAATCGTGCTGTAAAGGCAAAATGCAATAATCGCACAAAAACACATTGGATCCAAATTAGAGAAACAAAAACGATGCCAACCAAGCAGTCTCTGCCACGCAGGTTGTATGCAAGATCCCAGACAAACACAGGGCAGAGGCACCGAGGCCCTCCTGTGCCTGTCACTGGCAATAATCCATGCCACAGAAGACTATTTGCTTTTCCTGGGCCTAGGTTTGCTGTGGACTTTCAGACGGGCTTCAGTGGAAACGACATTGCCTTCCACTTCAACCCTCGGTTTGAAGACGGAGGGTATGTGGTGTGCAACACGAGGCAGAAAGGAAGATGGGGGCCCGAGGAGAGGAAGATGCACATGCCCTTCCAGAAGGGGATGCCCTTTGACCTCTGCTTCCTGGTGCAGAGCTCAGATTTCAAGGTAAGCAGGAATCCCCTCCCCACCTCTCGCCCACGGGACTCCCAGCCCTATCAGGTGAATGTGAATGGCCTTTTAAGTAACCACTTTAATTGACATTCAGCCAGAGTGACACCACCATACAGATAACATGACCATTTCCTTGTAAGGGTGTTACCCATGGCTGTGTAGTCTCCTTACGCACCTTCACCTGAATCTACAGGTGCACCTCCTGCTTCTTTTACTCTGAAAATAAGAACTAGAGGAGTCATCACGTTGCTGTTAGGTGTTGTGTGTCTTTGAATTCCAAGCTCATTCCATTCCTCTGCTATCACCATACCTCCTCTCCAGGTCCCTGGTAACATTTATTTTTCAGCGACATTGTTCCAGCCTTTATCCAGAGTCTATTACGGTTATAGTTCTGTAAGCACATTGCAAATTACCTTTGCAAGCACAGTAGGTCTCTGGGCTTGAGAAGCCGGTGGGTAACTCAGTCTGAATATGCTTATCTGAGATAAGGATGTTCCCATCCATTCAGTATGCAACCCGATGTCACCTCTCCTCTGCTCCCCGTGAGCATTTTATGCATATTTAAATAATACCCCTGCAGTCCTAAAAAGGAATGAGATCATGTCCTTTACAGGAACATGGATGGAGCTGGAAGCCGTTGCAGGAGCAGAAAACCAAACACCGCAAGTTCTCACTTATAAGTAGGAGCTGAACGATGAGAACACATGGACACAAGTGGGGAAACAACACACACTGGGGCCTGGTCGGGGACGGAGAGCATCAGGAAGATTAGCTAATGGATGCTGGGCTTGATACCAAGGTGAAGGGTTGATCTGTGCAGCAAAACACCGTGGCACACATTTACCTAGTTAACAAACCTGCAGATCCTATACTCATACCCTGGAACTTGAAATAAAAGTTGAAGGGGCTGGGCACGGCGGCTCACCCTTATAATCCAAGCACTTTGGGAGGGTGAGGAGGACAGATGGCTTGAGGTCAGGAGTTCAAGACCTGCCTGGCCAACATGGTGAAATCCCGTCTCTACTAAAAATACAAACATTAGCTTGGTGTGGTGGTGGATGCCTGTAATCCCAGCTACTCGGGAGGCTGAGGCAGGAGAATCGCTTGAACCACTGCACTGCAGCCTGGCTGACAGAGTGACACTCTATCTCAAAAAAAAAAAAAAAAAGTTGAAGGAAAAATAATAAATAAATGAAACCCCAGGAAATTCAGTTTGGTTCCTGAGCATGGGCTCTTTCTGGAACAATATGGCCTCCTAACCAGGCTGGAAATCGAGGAGTGAGAAGAAAGGGGAAGGAAACAACCAGAAGAATGGAAAGCCCGACTGGAGCCCAGTAGAGACTCCGGTTGATGCACTTCGGGCCACACACACGTCCCTGTAACTGGCCCCACACTGAAGACCAGACTCAGGTCTTCATTTTTTAGAAGGAGGGACCAGGAGCTCAGGGGTGGTCCCCATCCCGGCCTGGGGCACCTCCCCCGAAATACGTGCTCTCCTCTGGCAGGTGATGGTGAACGGGAGCCTCTTCGTGCAGTACTTCCACCGCGTGCCCTTCCACCGTGTGGACACCATCTCCGTCAATGGCTCTGTGCAGCTGTCCTACATCAGCTTCCAGGTCAGACTGTCCACCTGGCACCGGTCCCAGGGGCTGGGATGCAGGGCCCAGCTGGGGGGACCCAAGCCAATCTCCTACCCAGGTCACTCTGGGGACAACCTCTGCTTCCCTGTCCCAGTACCTGCCCGCCCCTTCTCCTCTGTCACTCTGCCCCTCCTTCTGTGTCACTGTCTCTGTCTGGAACACCTGCCTTGGTCTCCCAGACTCCTCAGCTGCCCCTTTCTCTTCATCCGTCAATTTCCATCCTGGTAAGGAGGGCATATTGTTCTAGAAAGAGCCCAGGCTCAAGAACCAAACTGAATCCAGTTCAAATTCCCAGCTCTGCCATTCGTCATCTGTGGGATCTTAGACAAGCAACTTTGCCTCTCTCAGCCTCAGTTTCGTCATCTGTAGAATGAGCATGGTCATTGCCTGGCCCCCATGGGTGGTTGTGTGATTCATTGAGGAGACAGATATCAGAGGTCACACAATGGCGCCCCTGGGCCCACACCAGGGTCTGTGTGACCTCTGTGTTTTAAAAACTTTGAATGCGTTGCCAACATCTAAAAGGTCAGGAGACCCAGGTATGGTGGTGGAGGTCTGCAATCCTGGTTACTCAAGAGGCTGAGGCAGGAGAATCGCTTGAGCCCAGGAATTAGAGTTCTGCCTGAGCAACATAGCAAGACCCCATCTCTAAAATCTTTTTGTTTGAATAATAAAATAAAATAAATAAAACTAAAGAAGGTCAGGAGATACCAACACCACGTGAAAAATGGGAAGATTAGGGTATGCTGGGCCCACATTCCCACAGGGCACCGGCAGCTGGATGGGAGCTGCTGTTACCCTTTTGGCATTCGAGGGAGCTCCCTGAGATGAGCGAAGTGCACAGTAGGCCCTCAGCAAATCTGGGCTCCTCACCCTTTGGTCCTCATCTCTCATTCCCTCCTTCCCTGACTCTCTCCCCTGCGGGTGGAAGGGGAGGGAAGAGCTGGAGGGAGACTGTCCCCCTGCGCTGCTCACCGAAGCCTGGCCCTTTCCGCTCTCGCCTCCGTGTGGCCCTAACCCCCTTGCTGCATCCCCCTGCCTGCCTGTTCTCTGCCTCCTGCCCCTGCATCTGCCTTTCGGCTTCTCCTTGGCTCTATTAATGCTTCTCCTCACCGGCCGGTGCCTTTTGTTTTAACAGAATCCCCGCACAGTCCCCGTTCAGCCTGCCTTCTCCACGGTGCCGTTCTCCCAGCCTGTCTGTTTCCCACCCAGGCCCAGGGGGCGCAGACAAAAAGTGAGTTCAACACAGAGGCCCTGGGTGGCTGAGCAGACAGCAGGAAGGACCGAGGGTTTGAGAGGCTGGCCCCAGCCAGCAGGCCACCAGGGCCTATGGGCCACATCTTGCCCACTCAAGAGTTCCCTGTCTCTGTCTGCTGGGCACCCAGAGCCGGGGACCTGGGTGTTGCCCTGGATTCTTCACTACCCTTTCTTTATGTCTCTCCAAGGCACCAACATATCTCCCTCCCAAAGCCACCGATGTGGCCCAGGCCTCTGGGATTCCTCACCATGACTACAGGGGTCCAGTTCCCCACCCCCCACACCCAACCGCTGCCACAGTGACCTTCTTATAAGCAAATCTGATCACACTCTCTCCCTGCTTAAAAATCTTAAAAGTCCCCAGCCCTTCAAACAAAGCCCAAATTCCCCAGCAGGGCATACGAATTCCTCCCCAGTCTGGCCCCAGTCCACCTCCTTGCCTCACCCCCAACCCACGAAGCTCATGCAACCTCCACGGCTCACTCAAGGCCCTCTCGGGCCACCATGCTTTTGCATATGCTGTCCCTGGTCCCGGAAGCACCCTCTGCCAGCCTGCCCTCAGCACACGCCTAATCGCCCTTCCATGCTCTGCCAAAGTGTCGCTCCTCTGGGAGTCCTCCCTGCCCAGAATATTGTTGGATGCTCCCCCCATGCCCCCACGGAGTCTGTACATATCTGTGCCATGCCAGTTCACAGCACCCCATTGTAACTGTTTGCGTGTCTGTCCCTGTCACTCCACCCCCATCTCCCTATGCCCATGAGGCCCCAGAGGGCTGGGACTGTGGGTCGTTCATTTGCACAGTGCCTGGCACTCACTAGGGACTCGAAGAATGGATGAATGTGGAATGTGGTTTTCGCAGCCAGGGAGAATGGGATACCAGCCAGGGCAAGAACAGTCTACTGGGTGGGGCAGGATCCACGACAAGGAGGTGGGCAGCCCTTCCTCTGGCCACTCAAGCAGTGGGGACTGGGAGGAGGGGCGCTTTGTCTATGTAGCCTTTTTATGGCCCATGATGGTACAGACAGTGCACCTGCCTCCTGCCACGCTGACTTCAGGACTGGTGGAGCCCCAGGGAACATTCGCAGGGCAGCCAAACTTTGGCCCTGGCCCTGGCGCTGGCCCTGGCCCTAGGGATGACAGAAAGTGTGCTGGATGCAGTCAGACAGAATTGGCTGCCATTTTGGATTTGATCCCTTCCACCCGGGCAAGCTTGGGCAAGTTGCTTAATCTTTCTGAGCCTCATTGCCTCACCAGGGACACAGGAGCTGAGGCTGCTTCCCTCTTTGGAAAGCACTGAAGCCCAGGACTCGGCCCACAATAGGCCTTCAACAAATACCACTTCTCAGCTTACGGGTGAAATATGGCACCGGAAGTAATGCTCTTGGCTGTGGGAGCTACAGACAGCAATGAGGTCTCTATCAAACCCAGCCTCCTCTCTCTCGAGAGGAACCAATGGGGATACCCTACCCCTCAACCCCAAAGCCTTGTGCACCTGAGGGTAAAAATCTGGGTGCCACGGGCTCAGGAAGGCTTGCTTGGGAGCAAGAGGGAGGTGGGTGTGTCTGGGGAGGCATTTCTGAGCACAAGAGCCTCCCTGGAGTTCTGCCATCGTCTCTCCCCGTTCTGTGGTGCCCGCAATAACCACCGTTCTGACTCTCCTCACCCCTCCAGCCTCCCAGCGTGCGGCCTGCCAACCCAGCTCCCATTGTAAGTCTCTTGCTTTCTTTTTGGATCCTCTTGATTTTGGCTCTTCTTCTGGGCTAATGGAGGATGCAGGGCCAGGCATTGGGCCTCTCCCATCGGGAGTGGGGAGGGCAGAGGCCAGGCCCTTGACCATCTACCCGGCCTGGCGAGGTTGGTGGGTGAATGTGGTTGGCTGGCCGTGATGGAACAACCTGAGTTGCCACTCCATGGGCAGCCACGGAAGACCATGCCCCACGTTCACTTCTCTCACCTGCAAAGGGAGGCTAGGCTGAGAGACGTTTCCCCGAGAGGAAAGATGGGCCAGAGCCACCAGCGTCCCCATCTGTCTTCTCCAGGGTTCTAACCTTTGCCTCTCCCTCGTCCCCTGGACCCACCCTCCGTGGGGTCTGTGGGGCCACTGGGCTGGTTATGCCCCTGGAGGGTGCCTGCCGTGTGGCACCCTCTGGTGGGAGCTGGGGTGGTCTTTACTCAGGAGAGCCTGGGTGAGACCTGGTTTCTTTCTTCCAGACCCAGACAGTCATCCACACGGTGCAGAGCGCCTCTGGACAGATGTTCTCTGTAAGTCTTCAAGTTCTGATCAGTTCACAGCTGCACAGTGCCCTCCTTCCCCAAGAACTAAACTCCCTAGAGCCCTAGAGTTGGGAAGAAAGCGGTTTAGCAAGGAGGGTGGGGACATCTGGGGCTGAGTCCTTGGCTCAGGTGACATGTGGTTAAAACTATCCTTGGGACAGCAGAGATTCTGGATTTATCCAGTGGTGGAAGAGGCAGGTTCCCTAGAGACTGGGAGGGAAACTGGTCCTTCTGTCACCAAGTGGGGAGTGCAGTGGCCCCAGCACCCAGATGTGAGGTTCCTGGCCCTGCCTCCTGGGTCCCCGGGATGTCACTACAGATCACAGGCTTAAGCTCTTCTCCTGCTGGTGCAAATCAGGCCGGGAACTTAGCATTAGTGGGGCTGCCTGCGGAGGGGCTGAGGGGCAGGTGACCATGGTGGGGTCTGGGAACACGGCAGGAAGTTCCAGGAAGGCTAACATGAAAACGGAGGTTTACGGGAGAGTCCAAGGGCCAAAGGCTCATGAGGTCAGCCTCACAGTGGAGCCCCCTCTAGAATGCGTGGGTGCGCGTGGGTGAGTGCTCGCGCACACATGCGCTCTCCCATTGAATTTCCTGGTTTCTTTTCAGCAGACTCCCGCCATCCCACCTATGATGTACCCCCACCCTGCCTATGTAAGTGGTTTCTCAGGGAGGGCAGAGGTTCTGTTTGTGGTGGGCAGGCTAGGGATGAAGGGCCGCTACGGGGGGATCCGCTGGCCTTGAAAAATGAAAAGCGAAGGGCTTTCAAAATGGTAAGCTGAAGGGCTTCAAAGCGTCCCAGTGAATTAGAAGACTGTGGAGAGGAGCTTTCAACCTTAAAACTGTCGTGTCAACGTGAGCACATTGCATGGCCCTCCCTTTTCACCCCACGAGTCTTTCTTTCTGTGTTTGGCCAAATTTCCTTTCATGACACTAATCTAAGCCCATTAATTTGAGGAGCACCGGAAAGTTTTCCTTTGGCTTTTATGGAACCAAGTAAAGATATCGTGGGCTTCTTCTCAGCTGACAGCCTAAATTCATGGGAAATGGTACAATCTTCCCCTTCCATGTGGCGGCTGCCCTGGCTGCCACTGGCTGACCTGTCCCCGTCCTTCTGACAGCCGATGCCTTTCATCACCACCATTCCGGGAGGGCTGTACCCATCCAAGTCCATCATCCTGTCAGGCACTGTCCTGCCCAGTGCTCAGAGGTAAGCCAAAGGCTCCAGTGACCTCTGGGAAGAGAGAGCCCTTCAAGGTAATTCCAGCCATTCCCCTGGCTTTTGGCAGGCTGGCGATGATGGGGAGGAAATGGGGCTCAGAACTCAGTGGACAAAGGTCCAGGTAGGCTGCCCACCGCAGGTTCCACATCAACCTGTGCTCTGGGAGCCACATCGCCTTCCACATGAACCCCCGTTTTGATGAGAATGCTGTGGTCCGTAACACCCAGATCAACAACTCTTGGGGGTCTGAGGAGCGAAGTCTGCCCCGAAAAATGCCCTTCGTCCGAGGCCAGAGCTTCTCGGTAAGGCGCCGCAGCCTGGAGCTTGAGGAGGCTCCTATGGGTACACGGGGAGGGGGTAAAGGAGGTCTGGGGCACCTTGAACAGGATGGAAGCTGATGCCTCTGGGATGAGGGCCCAGAAGAAAAGGTGGCCAAAAAATTATTGTCATTATTATTAATAATTATTACTGTCCTGCATGAAGGAAGCGTTGGGATCTGCTTTTTTAGATGAGGAAAGAAACTCACAAGTGCAGGTTACTTGCTTGCGGTCACACAGTCAGTAAGTGTCAAATCAGACCCAAGAAGGAGGTGTTATTCATTTCTTCACTGACTCATTCAACGATTTCACTGTCGCCCGCTTTGTGCAGGAAGCACTCCACGTGCTGGGAGCGCAGTCATGAAGCAGACACATAGGGTCCTTCCTCCAGAGAGTTTACAATTTAGCTGGGGGAAGGAACAAGGAAACTAAAGCATGAACAGATTGTTGCAGATAACAACAGTGCCACGCAGAAAGCAAAACAGAGCGATGAGATAGAGCGAGCCTGGGAGGGGCAGCTAGGGCCAACATGCAGAGGTGCGGGTGTGGCCTCTCCAGGAACAGCAGCAGGCGTGCTCCGCCCTGACTACACATTCAAATCACCCAGAGAGCTTACAAAGAACATATAGGTGCTGGGACCCCAGCCCAGGCCAATGAGGCGGTCAGCCTGGGCATTTGTATTTTTAAAATATGCCTGAAGTGATTACACTCTGCAATCAGAGTTGAAAATGACTGATGTAGGGCTTTGCAGCCATGGAGCCAGGGAGCAACATTCTTTGATTTGTGGACAGCTGTGTGACCTCGGGCAAGTGACTTAGCTACTCTGTGCTTCAGTTTCCTCATCTACAAAATGGAGCTAATAATCATATGAATCTCCTAGAGCTGTAAGAATGGAATGAGGCAGTATCTGTAGCACGCTTAGGACAGTGCCTTACACATGGCATGTGTGTTAAGAGTGTCAGCTATTGCAAAGGGCAGGAGGTTTTAACATTTGTACCCTGACTGCCTCATGGAGAAGGCATTGGGGTGGAAAAGACAAGTTAGGAGGCTGATGCTGCAGGAGCCCAGGCCCAGAGCACTCCTGTGTGCTGGGTCCGAGGGATACAGATGGCACAGGCCAGTGCTCCTGTCCCTGATGTCGTGGGAACAGTATTCTAGGCCAGGGAACAGTACAGGGGAAGGAGCACGCACAGCCTGTTTAGTGAAGAGCCGGTCGCTCAGTGGGGATAGAGTGCAGGTGAGGGGCTTATTAACAACTGAGGAGGGAGGGAGGGAGGGAGAGAGGAGGCTGCAGTGAGGGTGGAGGACTTCCCAAGTGTAGTGCAAACGGCATAATCTCTGCACAGGTGTGGATCTTGTGTGAAGCTCACTGCCTCAAGGTGGCCGTGGATGGTCAGCACGTGTTTGAATACTACCATCGCCTGAGGAACCTGCCCACCATCAACAAACTGGAAGTGGGTGGCGACATCCAGCTGACCCACGTGCAGACATAGGCGGCTCCCTGGCCCTGGGGCCGGGGGCTGGGGTGTGGGGCAGTCGGGGTCCTCTCATCATCCCCACTTCCCAGGCCCAGCCTTTCCAACCGTGCCTGGGATCTGGGCTTTAATGCAGAGGCCATGTCCTTATCTGGTCCTGCTTCTGGCTACAGCCACCCTGGAATTGAGAAGGCAGCTGACTGGGATTGTCTTCCTCAGCCGCAGCAGCACCTGGGGCGCCAGCTGCTGGAATCCTACAATCCCAGAAGGCGGGCACAGCCAGGGAGAGGGGAGGAGCGGGCAGTGAAGATGAAGCCCCATGCTCAGTCCCCTCCCATCCCCCACGCAGCTCCACCCCAGTCTCAAGCCACCAGCTGTCTGCTCCTGGTGGGAGATGGCCTCCTCAGCCCCTCCTCTCTGACCTTTAACCTCACTCTCACCTTGCACCCTGCACCAACCCTTCACCCCTCCTGGAAAGCAGGTCTGATGGCTTCCCACTGGCCTCCACCAACTGACCAGAGTGTTCTCTTCAGGGGACTGGCTCCTTTCCCAGTGTCCTTAAAATAAAGAAATGAAAATGCTTGTTGGCACATTCATGTGGGTTGACTGTGGCTTCTTTAATTCATTTGGAGACATTTTGGAATCTGTGGAATCAGGCGGAGGGGCTGCTGAGAGGAGTGGGATGGGAGAGCATGGACTCCCTTTGGGCAGGGGGTCCTGACCTCACACCTCCTAATTAAAAAAGGATTAATGGCCGGGTATGCTGGCTCACGCCTGTAATCCCAGCACTTTGGAGGCTGACGCAGGTGGATCACCTGAGGTTGGGAGCTCATGACTCGCCTGTCCAACATGAAGAAACCCCATCTCTACTAAAAATACAAAATTAGCCAGGCGTGGTGGTGCACACCTGTAATTCCGTCTACCTGGGAGGCTGAGGCAGGAGAATGGCTTGAACCTGGGAGGTGGAGGTTGCAGTGAGCCGCGATTGCGCCATTGAACTCCAGCCTGGGCAACAAGAGTGAAACTCTATCTCAAAAACAAACAAACAAACAAAAAAACGAAAAACGAGCTGGGCATGGTGGTGGTGGCGGTGGGTATCTGTAGTCCCAGTTACTTGGGAGGCTGAGACACAAGAATCACTTTAACCCGGGAGGCAGAGGTTGCAGTGAGCCGAGACTGCACCACTGCACTCCAGCCTGGGTGACAGAGCAAGGCTCTGTCAAAAAAAAAAAAAAAAAAAAAAGGAAGCCAATGCATGGGCTCCTCTGGTGGCCACAGGGTCTAGAATTATCAGGTCTCAGGGATGACTCCACCAGGGCAGTGTGGAAGGGAAATGTGGGGTTGAAGCCCCCACACAGAGCCCCCACTGGGCCAGTGTCTAGGGGAGCTATGAGAAGAGAGCCACCGTCCCATGAGGGTGTTGGAGAAAGCAGGCTGGGGCTCTAGTCTTTTGGGCAGGAGTCTCGGACACAGGAAAGGTGGTAATGGGGGACCCCAGGAAACAGCCCCATGCCTCCGAGATGGGAGGCGGGCTGGGGCAGAGCCTGTGAGGGCCACAGCAGGGCCAGAGCTGGCTCCTCGGACCTGGCATCCCAGTGGGAGGAGGTGGCTTGGGGAAGGGGTGTCAGGAGAGGCCCACCCGAAGCACCGTATGGGTGTGTGTTCCATTGTGGGTCTCCCTGGCAATAGGGTTAGGACTCGCATGAGAAAAGTGGCTCAGTGTCCATGTGTGGGGTTCTGCCAGCCACTGAGCCACCGCCAGACAGCCCAGCTCCGCGTCAACGTGATGCCAACACATCCTGCTTGGCCCAGCAAGAATCCAGTTCCTCAGGCCCCCGTGTAGTCCTCAGAGTGGCGGCGGCAGCAGCGACTGAGAGCTTGTTGGAAACGCAGCATCCCGCACCCCACCCCACCTGCGAGATCAGAGTCTCTGTCTTCACGGGACCCCAGATGAGGCCCGCACATGAAAGCTGGGAAGCCCTGGTCCGGAGCGGACTCCTGGCCGTGTTGCTGAGATGCACGGCTGCCACGCAGGGCAGGGCACGTCTGGAGCCTGAAGTTGGCACTGCACCTTCTCCTGCCACCTGAGACGCTGCTGCTGGAAGGAGGAGGGGAGGGGGAGGGTCCTGGGCCTGGCCCAGGAGGCACAGGCCAAACCCCAGCTGGGAGCCACGTGTTGCCAGGACCCCAGAGGCCGCCACTGAGCTCCTTCCTTGGTTCTGACCAGGAGAAGGAAATGGGTCTAGTCTCTTAAAAAGCCTTCCCTGGCTGTCTCCAAACCCAGGAGGGTCTTCAGTCCCTTGGGCGAGGATGCTGTGGCCCACACTCGCTTTGACACCCTGTGTTCCCAGAGGCCACATCTGTACTGGCCAAACTCACGTGAGACAGGTGGCCCCAGAGCAAAACCTTTCTAAGACAGTGTCCAAGAAGAAGCTCAAGACCTTCCCTGAAGCTCTGGCCTCATATGAGAATCCCACTCTTGCCAGACCCCGCGTCAGATCCTTTGTGTGGGAGGCAGGCCTGTGCCGTCCACCCTACCGCAGGTCTTTGGACCAGCACGAAGCTCCATCTGCTGCTGTCACACCTGGCAGCCATTTCAGAGGAGCCGTGGCCTGCCTGGGGTGTCCCTCTGTGGGGCATCTGTCCAGGCTGCGACACCCACCAGCTCCCCACTCTATAACTGAGGGCCACATTCCCTATAAAACATCCCCCACCAGCTCCCCCAACAAACACACACACAGTGTGATTAAAGTAAAATTCAACTCATGTAAATATCTCCATCAGGGAATCATACAGAGAAGACCCAAGGGGCCATTAGGAACAGACTAGGGTGTTCGTTTTTTAAACAGAGGCATAAATAATTGTACCCATGGCAGTTAAATACACAGTGGTGTGACGGCACTTCCTGGTGGTCACTTGAAGTGGTGCACTCAGCAGCGGGTTCCATCTTTCACCCACTTGCCAGGCCTGGCATTGAAGATTTCGTCTCCAAGGGACCAGGGAGGCCCCAGCTTGAGAGAGGAGGCTCCGATCAATCCAGGGTGCTACTTGGTAGGAGGTCAAGTAAAGGGCTTGATGGGGAACGAGGTGAGAAATAAGACGTGAGGCTGGGGGATATCACTTTCCTCCATCTCCCCAGGCCCTGTGACCTCGGATAATGCAGAGCTGGCTCCATCGTTAAGTTCTGTGCTGGCAGCTTTAACCCCTCCTGTGGGCCCTCAGAGTGCTGACATCTCCAGGCTGCTGGGCTGCACCGCCGCCCTGTCCTTCTTTGCCTCGTAGGGAAATACAGCACCAAAGATATCGTCATGGAAGTGCTTCTGGCTCTTTTAGGTAAAAACAGAGACCAATGTGTCAAGTCCAGGCTGGAATGAGCCCCTGGGGTTGCCCAGCTTCCTTATCACATGGACCTTCATGAGCCATCTGTCTTCCCAACTGTTATACTTTGATTGCGCTTGAATCTGGTTTAGACCCTAAACCCGCTCAGCACCTGCTCTGGAGCAGGCCCTCTAACCATTTCCAAAGCTTTACTTGGCATTCCCATTTCCTGCCCTGTGCTCATCCCCCACCCAAGATGCTCCAGGAAGTGTGAGCTTTCAGATTAACACATTTGGGAAATGCTACATCCTTTCTTTCCTCCCAGCCTTGAAGGGTCCCGATGCACAGCAGCACGTTGAAGGCCCCCAGAAGTCTTGTAGTAAAGCAACGTGCTTGCCTTGGCTTAACTAAGCATGTCCTAGGCTATTCGACCTTGTAACCTTTTGGATGCCAAACATCTACCGACTCATTTAACACATTTGGGGAAATGCCTGTTATCTCCTCACTGTTCTTCAAACACGCCAGCTTAACTCCCACCCCCGGGCCTTTGTATCTGCTGCCCTCTCCAGAACAGCCCAGAGTGTTTCCTTCAGTATCCACGGGGCTCCTCCTCACCATCTCAGGTTTATTCTCAGACGCCGCCTTCCAGCTCCGCCTTCCCTGGCCACCCTATTTAAAATTACACTCCCCAGTGTCCCCTGGGCTATTTCCTGCTGTTTTTCTCCGAAGCACTACACCTCTTCCTTGTTTGGGTTTGTCAGCCCCAGTGGAATGTAAATAATTTTTGCCTGATTCATTTACTGCTCTATCCCTAGCACACAGTAGGTGCTCAATAAATATTCAGTTGAATGTATGAATGTGTCTTAGGGAGAGTATGGAAGTCACAATCACAGGCTTTGGAATCAGAGAGACGCAGACTGAACTCTAGGCTCTCACTGCTGTAGACCCCATAGGCCCCCTTCCCTCTGTAAAACAGGGTGCTTCCCTCATAAAGTCCTCGGCAGGACTGAAAGAAATGTCACATGAGAATCCTTGGCAAGCACTTGGCCCAGTGTAAGCCCTTGATAAATATCACTATTATTTTCATCAATAAAATGCAAGCCCTTCCTGCTGGGAGGATGAGGGTGAGCAGACGCCAGCCTGTGTGTAAATAAGAAGTGTGAGGTTCACACGAGGCTGACGGGGGGCAGCCTTGCTCTCCCCTGTGTTCACAGCCTTGCTTTGGCCACACAGATACTTTCTGAAAGGGGGGTTTGGGGAGAGGGCAAGTAGACTCTCTTGCTCCCATTCCACAGATGGAAAAATGGAACACATTCACCTGACTTCTCAAAGCTGCCAACCAGTCCAGGATGTGCAGTGGGGCCTTCTGACAGCCCACCCAGCTCAGATCCCAGCCACTGCTAAGATTCCCTTGGGGTCCAGAACTTTTCTGGGCCTGACTCCCCTGGGTCTACCTGCCACCCCTGGTCCTGGCTCCAATAGCCTGTGCCCTTGGCCAGGACCCTCAGCCCATACACCCACTATTACACCTTGAGCTGAAAGAAATAGTCCTCGACCTGCTCCTCATTCAAGTTCAGCTAGGCAGCCACCAGCTGCTAGGGTGTGGGCCACATCCCAGGCCATGCACACAGCCCTGCAAACATAGAGGTGGCCCGGCTCCTTGTGGAGCACACGGAGCACCTCGCTGGCCAGCTGCTGCTGCAGGATGTCCTGAACACAGACCTAAAACCAGAGGAAACGGTGGGTCCAGTTCCCGGCCACTGGAGACAAGGATTGCAGGCAGGACTGCTGGCCTCAGGGAGTTGGGGAGAGGGCACTAAGGGCTGTGGAGTGAGTCCCCTCCCAGCCACGACCTTGCACAGGTCCAGGCTCAGGAAGAGGAGGAGCACAGATGCTCTGGGGGCTGGGCTGGGAGTAGAGACATAAATGCTGGACACAGGCCTGCCCTCAAGGGGCTGACTGTCCAGTGGGGCTCCCAGACTGTCTCTGAATTTGCCATGCTTCAAAGAGGCATCAATGAAGGCAGTCCCCCTGCCCAGGGCTCTGCCTACACCCCTGAAAAGTATCCTCTCAATGCAGACTGTCCATCGGGTCCCTGCAGGGTACGGATCCCGGGCTTCCCAGTTAGAAGGTCCAGGAGTCAGTCGGGGACTCTCTGCTCCTGCTCCACACAGCATGCCCAGTGGCCCCAGCACTGGGCACAGAGCACTGGGCCCGAGAGGTGCCCTGATGGCAACAAATGTGTGAGAGCCGAGAGTCTATTCTGACACCTCAGGCTCAGAGGGCAACGCGGCCCTGGGGGCAGGTGAGCCCGTCTGAGGGCCATGGTGGAAGCATCGGCCGCCCTCCAGCCTTGCTGGGTTTGAACGTAGCCGGCCTGGACCACCTCTCCCAGGGGAGCCACCTGTCCCGGGGGCCTGCGGATGACCTTCAGCAGGCTGGGCTCTGGGCTCAACCCGCCTGTGACCTAGGTTAGTCCTGAACCTCTCCGGTCCTGTCACTTCTCTTGGAAGAGAGGGCGTAACAGTCTTCACAGCCCCACTCTGATGGTTGTGAATTACCTGCATTTTAGAGCTCAGGAGCTGCAGGCTCAGGGAGGCGAGGGGCCTGTGGGGACCCCGGGCTCACACTGGAGCCTGCGTTGTGTACTGCTTCACCTGCTTTGAGGCTGCATTTACCTTGGGCTTGCCAGGCAGGCAGGAATAGGCTGTGGGCACCGCAGGCAGCACCCCCTTCCGAGCCATCTCCAGCATCTCCTCCTGGTAGATGTGGTCCTCATTTGGGCTGCGGCACTCGAACACCGGGGTCATGCGGCCTCCCTGCACTCCTGCAGGAGTCCCGGGCTGTTGTTACCATGTTGGCCAGCAGGGCGCTATGGCTCAAAGCCGAACTGGAATTCTCACTTCACTCCCACAAGTATCCTAGCTAGTTAACAGCATTATCCCCACTTTACAGATGAAGAAACTGAGGCCCAGGGCATTCCAATCACTCATACATAGTCACACAACTGAAAGTGCAGATGCAGGATTCCCTCAGCCCATCGGAGGTCAAAAGCAGGGACTTTCCCGTTACCTCCACTCCCGAGAGAGGGAGCCCCGGTTCCAATGCCGGAGACAGGAAGGCGGCCGTTCTCACCCACATAGGCCCCACACAGGGAGACAAACTTGGGAGGCCTTCCCTCCAGAGAGGTCCAGGAACCGTTTGTGGGGCTACGGTTCTGCTCCTAGGCAGGCGCTGGCCTCTGGTACCCTCCCACCTGGGAAGCCTCCAGCCACACCCTTTTGCTGGGAGTCATGGAGCCGCTGCTGCCAGAAACTGAGGAAGGGAGGGATGCCTGTGCCAGGCCCGATGAGGACACGAGGATGGGAGGGGTCCTCGGGGAGCCGGAAGCCGCTGGCGCTGAAGAGGACAGGAGAAGAGGGGGCCAGTCCTCAGACACCCCGGGCCCACGCACACACAGGACGGCTGGGGAGCTGGGCCTGTGGGGAGCGGTCGTAGCGGGTGGAGAGCAGCTCCTATTTGATTTCCCACGCCCTGCAGGCGGCTTCACTTCTGTCCAGCCACCAGCACCTCCCCCAGGTCCTTCTGAAAAAGGGCCAAGCTCACTGGACTCTGGGCCCTTCCAGCTCTGCTGTCATCGCTGTCTCTGCTAGAGACAGCCACACCAGTGTGACCCCAGTGTCTTCTTTGTGGGCCAAGGAGCCCCGAGCGGCACCTAAACCCCAGATCCCTCCCTTTCCTCCCCGAACCTCCAGGGGTCGGCGGTCCCACAGGGGACAGAGTGGAAGGGGTGCTTACTTCCGCACAAAGCAGGACACTTGGTCTTGGGGCTTCAGTTGTTGAGCCATGTGCCGCAGACGCCGTGGTGCAGGGGACCCTGGCCATCTGCAACGATACCACAAAGTGACCAACGTCCCCCCACTGCCCATGCGCAAACTGTACCAGCTGCTCCGCCCACACCACGGCCTCCTTGGACGCCCCCACTCAGGCACTCTCAGGACTCAATGAGCAGCTCTTTGTCCTCCTGGTTCTGAGATCCACCCGCTGTGAGCCCAGAGCTGAGGAAGGTTGAAAGGGACTTAGAGAGGTTGCGAGTTGCTCCATCTTCAACGCAGAAAGTGAGTCCCGGAGAGGAAGAGTGACTTGGACAAGGTCACTCAGGTCATGGTGAAATCAGGACAGCTCAGCTTCCCTGACTCCTACTCCAGTGCTCCTTCCAAAGAGTTTCTCCAGGAACACTCCCAGCTCACCACTGAGCTCCACTGACAGCAGCAGGAAGTGGCCCCTCGGGGTGGCTACTGCTGTGCGTGCTCATGAGCGTGGCCCTTGCTGGTTGCAACCCTGGGTGGCGGATGAGCTCCGCGCGTTTCAGCCTGCTCTGGCACCTCGCTTTCCTCCTCAGTTGCCCCTCCTGGGCTGGTAGAAACCCAGGAGGTTTCTCTGGGTTGCATTTCTTTTACAATGGCCCAGCACTTGCTGGAGGCCTCCAACCAAACTGCAGAGGTCCCCCTGGTTTTCCTCGGGATTAAATTTTGCTCTCACAGGACGTGTCTGCCTCTCCTCTCCTGGTCTGGGTGGGTGTTCTCTAGCAGGACAAACAGAGTCTCTGGCCAGTTTTTAGAAACTGTGTTTTTGTTTCCTAGACAGAGGGCTCAGAAGTATAGGCAGCTCCCAGCTTTGCCAAACCAAGCAACACTCAGTTACAGAGGGCAGGGCGGGGGGCAGAGGCCAGTGGTGGAGCCAAGACCACCTGAAAGAGATGTTGGCCTACCACTCTATGGCAGCGTCACCCCCTCTTCACTGTCCTCAGTGATGCTGACCTTTCCTTCTTGGCTTCTGGACAATGAGAATCATCTAATTATTTCTACACTCATCTCTCCACTGCTGCCTCTAGATGCTCCCTGAGGGCAGGGCTGATGTCTGTTGTATTTCCACACCTGCCCCAGTGCTGAGCACGGAGAGATGTGAAATAAACCGTCACTGAATGAGCTCAGTGAGTGAGTGAACAGCCAATGCAGAATCTCCCCTGCGTTCAGGCTGCACAATCAGGAAGACTAAGGACCACTGGGCTCTCACCAAGGGTTGGGTGCTCTCCAAGTCTGATCTCATTAAATTGTCTCAAGAGTAGTGGGACAGTGGAGTGGTGGAAGACTTGGACTCAGCAGTTAGACCACCCAGGTCCAAATCTCAGCTCTCCACTTACTCACAGTGTGACTTTCTGTGCCACCTGTAAAATGCACACAGTACCTACCCTACATGGTAACTGATCATATACATACAGAAGGCTTGGTTTACTGCCTGGTTCATAGAGCTGTCTCCCACATGCCTCCTATTACCATTAGCAACTCTGGGCTGTAGGTGTTCCCTCCCTCCTTGAACTGATGAGGGAACTGAAGGGGCAGAGCGTGACTGCTCCACAGCCTCTGCCCCAGGCTCACCTCGAGTGTGGTACATGAGCACGGCCACAGTCAGGTGGATCGCTGTGGGCGTGTGATCCTGGGAGGAGCTGATGGAGTAAAACCTGGGCTTCAGAATGGGGAGCAGGGAGAGCAGGAAGCCAGCAGACACCTGCAGGGATGGGAACTCCTCCAGCAACTCCAGGAACGTGGGGCTGTTGGTGAACTTCCACTTGCTGTACTCTGAGGACTGAAAGCCAAGGGTGATGTGAGCGACTCAGGGCGCCTGCCCTGCTTTGGGGAAAAGGCTGTCACAACCCAGTATTCATTCATTTCTTCACTCACTCAACAAACAAGTCCATGTGCCAGGCACTGTCCGGGGTGCTGAGACTACCAAGCTTAAGAAGAAATAGTTCCTGTCCTGGAGGAACTCAGTCCGGTACACTTATCTAACTTATGTGACTTCCACTGTCAGCAACTCATGGGCTGGGGTCAAATCTTTGTTGAATGGCACTTTCCCCAGCTGTCGTGTCCTAGGCAGTTTGGGTGGTAGGTGGGCAAATCATTAAAAACAAATCAAAATCTCTAGTGAGAAAATCTTTTTCATTGTCTTTCAATCTTCCCGAATCCTTTGAGGGGTCTGTTGCTAGGCTAGGCTTACTCTCAAACCCTTGTAAATCCGTCCCTCCTGCCTGAAAACACTCTCCCTCAGCCCCTGCTTTTATCAAACAGAGCAAAAGCAGCTCTCAAGCTCAGAAGGTTTACCACTGTAGAATTTAATGATATTGTTTTGTTTTATTGCATTTATTTTTGTGATTACTTTCCATTAATGGCAAGTGACATTATTTTTCCATTTAGAGTGATTTAAAATTTTTCTTAAAACACAGGTAATCAAATTTTAAAAACTGAGTTGATTTCTATGAAAATATTAAGTAATGGTGTAGGTTCTACACAAATATGACACTATGGAACAGATGGTTCCTGGAATTTGGGAAATGTTGATGGGCGGCGTTCCCTAACCTGACACTGCTTAGAACGTTGATGGGCGGCATTCCCTAACCTGGCACTGCTTAGAACGTTGATGGGTGGCGTTCCCTAACCTGGCACTGCTTAGAGCGTTGATGGGCGGCGTTCCCTAACCTGGCACTGCTTAGATAGGGGAGACACCTCTGAACACAATAGTGTTTGTAGTGCCATTTAGATCTACTGGGTTCTGATAACTCATGGGTCTTTTTTTTTCTTTTTAAATAAATAATTACCTTTTCTTGATCACTATTGTGTAAAACTTGGAAATACAGAAAAACATGTAGAATAAAAGAAAATATAGAAAAATATATAGAATAGAATGAAAAATCACTCATCATCTCGCCACTCAGAAATAACCACTCCTAGTATATTGGTAAATGTTTTTCTCTCTGTGCACCAACATAGCTGTTATTATAGTACATATATTTTATTTTTGTAGCCTGTTTTATTTCCTTAACCTCATAGTATAAGCATGTTCCATATCATTCAAAATTCTTTATAAACATGGTTATAAATGGCTGTAAGATATTTAATGTAGAGAAGCCTCATAATGGATTTAATCATTCCCTAGCTGTTGGACATTTAACTATTCTCCAAATGTTGGGTTGTTTCTGGTTCTGTCTATTATCATGTTGTGATGAATATATTTTTGTTTGTTTGTTTGTTTGTTTAATAGACAAGTCTTACTCTGTTGCCCGGGCTGGAATGCAATCATGTGATCATAGCTCACTGTAGCCTCAAATTCCTGGGCTCAAGCAATCTTCTTCCCTCATCCTCCCAAAGCACTGGAATTACAAGTGTGAGCCACGGCACCTGGCCTGAATATTTTTATGCACAGCTCTTTGTCTTTATTTTAGATGGTTTCCTTATAGTAATTTCAGAAGTGGCATTCCCAAATGGGAAGATTTTGTAAGGCTTTTAGGATACGTATTGCTGGACTTTTTTTAGAAGGATGAAACATGAAGGTATTCAGATCCCCTGGACCTACATGATGGGACATACCCTAATTTGTGTGTGGGGTGGTGTTGTCACTAGAAAGAGCTCAGACTCTGCTACATTGGGCAAGTTACCCAACTTCACCAACTCCTGTTGGTGCAGGTCTGAGTAGTCACTTCCCAGAAATCCAAGAGTGACAGTTCTTCACAGCTAGGCTAATGAGTGCTCATATTTTAGCTTTAAAAGTACAGATGTGGGCTGGGCATGGTGGCTCATGACTGTAATCCCCGCACTTTGGGAGGCCGAGGTGGGTGGATCACTTCAGGTAAGGTGTTCAAGACCAGCCTGGCCAACATGATAAAAACCCATCTCTACTAAGAAAACATAAAAGTTAACTGGGCATGGTGATGCGTGCCTGCAGTCTCAGCTACTTGGGAGGCTGAATCAGGAGAATCTCTTGAACCCGGGAGGCAGTGCTTTCAGTGAGCCGAGATCGTGCCACTGCACTCCAGCCTGGGCGACAGAGCGAGGCTCCAAAATACAGATGTCATTAACTTCAGTTTGTGTTATTTCCCTTTCACGAGAAGGGCTCAACAAAAATATTTGGGAAAACTACTTGTCTCAACAGCCTAAAATGCTTTTTTTGTAGCAGAAGCAGGAAAGGTTTGACCAAACATACCTGACATTAGGAAGAAATGCAACAGGCACTCATGCTTCCTGGTGTCCACGATGCATGTGCCAGGAGCCGAGCAGAGGGCCTGGTGTTGAGCATTTCTAATCTTCCCAAGCAGCTTTCCCCACCACGGATTACACAAAACATTGGTTCTGCAGGATGCTAACAGGTATTCCTTGCAAAAAGGAATTTTGTTGTTTAGAAAAACTGAGTTAATGAAAGTGGAACCCATTCTTTTGTTATTTGAGAATTCCCAAGATGAGGATATGATATTGAGCATTTGCCAAACTCACTTGATAATAAAAACCTTTTCCATCTCATAGGATTGATGTCCCAAAGACAAAACTTTGAGAATCACTGCTGACAACAAGCTTACAATATAATATTTCTCTTTGTATCTCACAAATAGGAAAGCTGAGGTCAGGTAAATTGACCAAGATAGCAAAACCTAGTGATTCAAGGACTCAGGGTCAGAACCCAGAGCCACCTGACCTCAAACCCATGTTCTGTTCCACTCTCTCCCCGAAAGGGGCTCAGACTGTAGGGTGCCCCTGACCCAAGTGAGTGCCTGAAGCCAGAGGGCGAATATGAAATCAATATCAGAGCTTGAATAGAGAATCCCAAACTGACTGTGTTGATCCTGGAGACTGGGCCACACTAGAAACTGATGCAGGGTGAATAAGCCAAGGAAATGAGCAGCCTGGAAGCTGAGCATGAGGAAGGCAGTTGGGATAAATTTTGGGGACTGCATGGACTGCTGTGTCATGGAATCAGCTGGCTTATGGGGGAACAGGATTCATCTCTTGTACCTGGGGTAAGGTGGAGAGAGGAGGAGGAATAATATTCTATTTGAGGGCTGCCCAAGAGTCTCCTCTTATTGCCTCGCAGCTCTTGACTACGTTAATTCTCCATGCCTCCCACTATGAAATCATCAAGTATTCTTCTGTCTCCTGTTGTCCCCAAAGTCTCAGCCTGGGCTGTTTTCTTCTAGGGCTCTGCTTTTCCACACCTTTAAAACCTCTCCACGTGCATTATTCTGGCTTCAGAGGTGTGGAAGAAATGGATTCTGATAACGCAATAGCATAATATCTAAAGCACTGCTGGTCCATGCACTCGACAAAGATTCATGTCCCAGTTGCTGGTCTAGGCACCACAGATACATTAGTGAGCCATCCGGACACAAATTCCCGGCCTCATGGCATAGCCCTTCGCTGAGGGAGAGACGATAAGCCAGATAAAGAAGTCAAATGTTAAACAGTGATCCGCAATAAAGAGAAAAGGGGGAGGGGCCTGACATTTCAGATTGGGTGTCCAGAGGGCCTTACTGAGAAGGGGCTTTTGAATTTCCATCACAGCCTTTTGAGCAGAGAAGGGATTTAACATTTGCTGCACTTCTGGCAGCTGACAGGCATTGCACACTTACATATCCCATATTTTCTTTTCCTCTGTAACTTAACAGATGAAGACAGTGAGGCTCCAAGAAGGCAAGTAATTTTTCCTCATTAGAAACTTGTTCTGACACCAGAAAGCCCATGCTCTCTCTGCAATCTCACACTCTCTTCTTGAAATAACCAGGCCAGCCACTATGTTACTCCACTTTATAGGAAAGGAAACAGAGGCCAGAGAACCTTGGAGGCCTGCAGAGCTGGGACTGGGGTTCATGTCACCTAACGCCCAGTCCAGTTTTCTTTCTGCTTTAGTAGACTGGGAGCAATGAGTATAGGATTGGTTTTTTGTTTTTTGGTTTTTTTTTGGTTTTGGTTGTCTTTTGTTGTTGTTGTTGTTGAGATGGAGTCTCGCTCTGTCACCTAGACTGGAGTGCAGTGGCACGATCTCGGCTCACTGCACCTCCACCTCCTGGGTTCAAGCGATTCTCCCACCTCAGTCTCCCAAGTAGCTGGGACTACAGGTGCGTCCAGCTAATTTTTTGTCTTTTTAGTAGAGACAGGGTTTCACTGTGTTAGCCAGGATGGTCTCGATCTCCTGACCTCGTGGTCTGCCTGCCTCAGCCTCCCAAAGTGCTGGGATTACAGGCATGAGCCACCGTGCCTGGCTTGTTCTTTCTTTTTTACTGGCGTACAGAAAGAAACAAAAGACTGAAGGGCTTGTCAAAACTTCTATGCATGTGAAATGATAGAAGTTGACTTAACAAGAAGCGGCAGTGACCAAATGACTCAGCACCCGATTGCACCGCACCGGTCTCTTGAACAGCTGCGAGGAGACTAAAGCCTTCTAAACGCTTCTGGTGGAAGGATGGGCCACAGGCCAGCAACATGGGCAGGACCTGGGAGCGTGTTAGATGTGCAGAATCTCAGGCCTCATCCCAGACCTACTGGATCAGAATCCACATGCTAACCAGGTGATCGTATGCATGTTAAAGTGTAAGAAGCCCTGCTCTGACTGCCCCATCCTGTGGTGCAATGAGGCTGGGTGTCCCCACAGAGCAGTCAGGAAGCCTAGGTATAGTTATAGGAAGACTCATGCCAGGTAGGACTGCGGAGCTGGGGTGACATGGGCAGAGGCCTCTGCAGAAGCTTAGCTCTGGTTCTCCCAGCAGCGGCAGCTCATTTTAGAGGGACTGAAGGGGAGGGTATGGGATGGTGGTGTTTCTGTTTCATTTACTGTCCCATTGAGACTAGGACTGGTGGAAGAGATGTTCTCTATGACCTGCTGAAACCTGAGAAGGAATCTGCAGGAATAAACAAAGCCTTTAGAGCTTACTAATTCTGATATTTGGAGGCCTTTGCAAGGTTTAATTCAATTTATTATTTACTGATGACCTACCGTGTACCAGACATTGCACTAGGTACTGGGAATACAAAGGGAATCAAATGTCCTAGTGTTGTATTGGGAAGGGAGTGTCACATTCTTGCATGTGTCTGTGTTTGGGGATGAGATGAGTGAGGGGCAGGCCTGCAGGGATAGAGCAATTGCATACTCGGTGTCACCTGGGTCCCGAGGGGCAGGACGAAGGACAGATTAAGGAAGGCTTCCTGGAGGAGGTGGCTCCTAAGCTGTCAAGTAGGCTAAGAAATGCTCTATGCATGGGCTACCCACTTCCATACACTCGCCACACACACTCACTCAGATGCACTCACAAACTCCCACCCACACTCACACATCTGCATCCACACACACACTCACAGCATGTATACCTATTCCATCCACACACACACTCACATGCACTCACGATCTCCCACCCACACTCACACATCCGCATCCACACACACATTCACAGGCATGTATACCTACTCCATCCACACACACACTCACATGCACTCACGATCTCCCACCCACACTCACAATGCACATCCACACACACACAGCATGTATACCTACTCCATCCACACACACATATAGGCAAATTCACACACACCCACACATGTGCACAGGCACCTACACACACACACACCACATATTGTAGTATTTTTCTGGGGAAACAGAGAAACAGTCACTCTTTTGAAGAACCTCAGAAACTGCACAAGAAGAGCTCTTCATTTATCATCAAAATTCAGATAAAGTTGAAGGTCTAACTTCCAAGAAGATCTAGACTGTTTTCCAGATTGTTATAAATGCATCTTCGGACATGAAGGAGCACCTCACGGTTGCATTCAGATACCTCCTGGGATGTGATTTAGTCTTGATGATTATCATTACATGTCAGTGAATATAGTTTGATGGAAACTTTTAGGGAAACAAAAATTTTCAGAAACTGTGTCCAGATTTACTGTAGTAGTAGTCAACTCTGAGGATACATTTTTTGACCAGGCAACTATTGTTGGGGGCCCTATACCTGACTTGGAGAGGTGTGTTTGTGCCTTTTAGGTAAGATGAGGAATAGAGGGCCCTCAGACTTAAGAGCTACATGTGATATTTGAGATAAATTGATCCTTAACATTTTTCCCAAGTCAGAGTTCTCATTACTTGTCTCCTTGATGCCAATAGAGTAAAATGCAAAATGGCTCACCACAAATGCAAAATGGCTCAAAGCCCCTCCCTTTCAACTGGCCACATCCTGGCTTTCCTGGGCTCTTTCTACTGAACCAAGCTCTGTGTTCCAAGAAATCATCCTGTCCTCAAATCTCTGTACCTCGTTCTCTGCCGAAGCCATGCCCAAGCAGTTCCCTTTGCCTGGTATGTTTCCCTCTCCCATTTTCCTGCAACACTGCCCCTCAACGTCTTCAATGCGAGGTTCCAGCCCCTCCTTCTAGAAGCTTCCAGAAGCCAGTATTGGGCTTTGGCATTAAACAGCCTGTGTTCAAACTCCACCTCTGTCATTGACAGGGTGACTCTGAGTACGTGGGTCCTTTTGAGCCTCTGTTTTCTAATCTTAAAAAAAAAGGGAGGGGAAAATATTTACTTCACACTTTTATTTAGTTTGTCAAAGATTAAATGAGACAATGTGAGTGAAACTGACCAGCATACAGGAGATAGTCAAGAAATAGTTCAGTGGATAATGGCATTTCTCTCCTGATGAAGTTGGATTAACCCTCTCTTCTACAGTCCGGAACGATCTGTACCTTATACAGCTGCCTTGGATCTGAGGTTTCTGGGTTTGTGAGGTGGGCTCATCTTGGTCTCTTGCCTGGTGACTTTAGCATAATCCTTGCTCAAAAAATTAAATTAAATGAAATAGACTCTTTGGGTATCGCTTTCTTTTTTTCTGCCACATTCCTTCTAACAGCCACCGAGCCTGAAGACAGCAAAGCTGCCCAGACTTTTCTCCTGGGCTCCAGCCCCTCCTGTCTGACTGCTCAAAAGAATCTCAGCAAGCAGGTCTCCCAGGCACCTCAAATCCAGCCTGTGTAAACCTGAGCTGCCTGTGTCCACACTCCTATATCCTAGAACCATGGTTCTCAAATGTGGGTGTTTTTGCCCCCCAGGTTACATTTGGCAGGGTCTGGGGATGTTTTTCTTTGTCACGACTTGGACAGAGGGTCCTTCCTGGCGTCTTGTAGGCAGAGGTCGGGGGTGCTGCTGAACATCCCACACTGCATAGGACAGTCTCCGTAACAAGGAATGATCCTGCCCCAAGTGTCACTAGTGCCGGGTTGAGAAATCCTGATCAAGAGGGAGCCTTTACCTGGTAGGTCAGGCCATTGCACCGCTCTGCTCACCATCCCCCGGGACTGGTGCTGTGGAAGACAATTTTCCACGGACTGGGGGGCTGGGGGGAATGGTTTCAGGATAAAACTGTTCCACCTCAAATCATCAGGCATTAGATTCTCATAAGGAGGGCACAACCTAGATTGCTAGCATGCGCAGTTCACAATAGGGTTCGTTCTCCTGCGAGAATGGCATGCCGCTGCTGATCTAACAGGAGGCAGAGCTCAGGCGGTAATGGGAGCAAGGGGGAGCGGCTATAAATACAGCTCACCACTCACCTGCTGCTGTGCAGCCCGGTTCCTAACAGGCCATGGACGGTGCTGGTCTGTAGCCCAGGAGTTGGGGAATCCTGCTCTACAGAGTTTCCAACCTCAGAGATGAAGCATCCCCTCTGTAAGTCAGAAAGAAATTATTCAAGTAGGAGAATTAAAACAGGATCACAGAGAGGGAGGCTGAAGAATTTGACTTTCTGTGTTTACTTGTATGAGGAAAAACAGTACATAGAGGCATCCACAGTATTTAATTTGTTTGGATAACAGTTACAGATAAATAGGTACACCCCATATACAATTACCAATACTTTTTATACAGTTCATATTTCAGTACATCAACACTATTTTATTTACACTCTATTTATGCACATTAACATCTTTCTAAAGTCAGTGCATTGTCAACAAGTTTTATACAGTCATTTACAAGGTGAATGTGGTTAATAGTTAATTTAATAAATTTTCCGCTAGTTCATGAATTAAAAAAATTAATTACAACCAGTATAACAAACACAGATCAAACAACATTAGTAGATTGTGCTACCTGCTTAAATAAAACATCTGTAAAGAAATTATTTAAGATCTTCCACTTTTTAATGGGACATGTCCAGGTAGGAAAGGACAGATTTTATATACTGAAAATCTTGAAACTATAAAGTATGCATTTTGTCTGACTTTATTACATTAGATAATTTAGGCCACTCCTACCTATTTGCAATTATATTTTTTCTGAAAAGGATTTCAATTTAGGTAGCCATTTAAGATAACCTTTCCAAATGCTCTGAGAACTAGATATTAATAGTTACTGGCCTCAGATATCAGAACACAAATGCTTAGTTACACTGGTAATTACTACCTATGAGGAAGAAAGTGTAGTGGAATCTGACAATTAATGAGAATCAACTTGCAGGGTCTAAATGAATAAACAAAGACCAAAAATAAGGTGAAACATTTCCTTCAAGTATATATTAAAAAACTACATGAAAAAAATTCTACCTGAAATAAATAATATTTATACTTTTGTCCCAGTCTTGAATAATTAGAGGAAAAAATGAAGTAAACAAAGAAACATAACTTTCAATGACTACTGTAAAATTTTTTTAAAAAGACTAATATCAAAATAAAAAAATTAGTGGACATGCAAACAAAGCAAAACTAAAGTTGACTTCCTAAAACCACCAATTTCATTAAATATACTTATGAACTCCTAATGTCTGGGATGTGTTTTGTTTGTAATTCATAGCCCTTGGAGCCATCAAATACACACAAGCAAGTTCATTTGCATGTGTTCTCTCTTTTTTAAAGTGCAAAATAAACATGGAAAAGAACCACCACTAATTGTGAAACGTGATCTAGCTCCGATGCCGCTTACCTTCCCAGAAGCTCTTGTTGCAACATGTGCATGTGAAGATGGTGCAAATATTGGCAACTGCTCCCCTTCCCTCAGCATGGGCGGGGCCGGGGGTGCAGAATACATTTCTGAGGATACCTGAAGTATCCTAAATGTAAGATGCCTCCACTGGGAGGGCCATGGTAGCTGGATTTCCCAGGATGTTTTTCTTTCTACTGGGTCTCCCTCTGAGTAGAAGGCACATAGCTCTTAAGAGAGCCTCCCTTTCAGACTGACCACTCTATGCCCCTGCCACCAATGACTGGTTGTGTCTCAAACTTAAACACAACGGCAAAAACAAAAAGCAAGAAAGACAAAGAAAGGGTATGGAAACTTTAAAAAATAAATTGAAAAATCCTCGCCCATGCCGTAAGAATCATTTGCACACCTTCATGATCTTGCTTTCACCATCTTGTCAACAGAATGGAATAAAACTTCAGGAAAAAGGAGGTAGCATATCATGTCATCCCTAGACAACATTACAATTTTTTGTTTTTTACTTTGACTCCAAGGAAATCTTTAATATTTGTTATGATTATTGATAAACTCTATACTCACTACATATTTGTTCATATCTGGACAAGCACAATTGAATTCTTATTTGGTCCCAGGTGGCTGGTGCCAAACCTTTTGTTTACAGGCTAATGGTGGGATCTGCCTGAAAGTTCTCTATCGGACAACTTGCATGAGACTTCAAAATAAAATTACTGCTACTCTTAAAGTTAACTATTTTAATTAGAATTTGTATTCTAACAGGATAAAATAACTACATTTAGCTTGCCTCTCAGTGACACTTTTGCCAAGTATCAGCTACAAGGAGTCATCTTCCTCCCAACCAAGCTGTCTAGCAGCCAGAGTGGTAGCTTTACTGTAACACACAGTACTTTTTGTAATCAGACTCAAAGTCTTCATCCATACTGCTTGTGTCTGCCATCTTTTTGCCATCAATCTTTGGCAGAAATTGTGCGTAGTCTATCCTCTGCTGCTCATAGAAAAGAATGTAGGCAGAGTCGGTGTCAATTTCATCAGGGTGACGTTCCTGAAAGGGCAAGAAAAACCTTTAACAAAAAGCCATCACTATTATGGCTCTAAATCCTTGCCAGGAAAGGGAAGACCAACCCTCTGTAATTACTAAACCTGATTGCTTCCAATAAGCTCACTAGTTTGGCTGTCTCACACCTGCCCCTTTAAAATGAGCCCCATTATTTCCAAAGTTTGCTTTGGAGAAAATATTTTGACCATAGACAAGTCAAAAGAGAATGACCTAAAACCCCATCAAATTCTATTTATTTATTTTGTATTTATTTATTTTTTTGAGAAGGAGTCTTGCTCTGTCACCAGGCTGGTGTGCACTGGCACGATCTCAGCTCACTGCAACCTCTGCCTCCTGGGTTCAAGTGATTCTCCTGCGTCAGCCTCCTGAGTAGCTGGGACTATAGGCATGTGCCACCACGCCTGGCTAATTTTTTGTATTTTTAGTAGAGACGGGCTTTCACCATATTAGCCAGGATGGTCTCGATCTCCTGACTTCATCATCTGCCCACCTTGGCCTCCCAAAGTGCTGGGATTACAGGCGTGAGCCACTGCACTTGGCCCAACCCCATCAAATTCTAACAGTCTAGAAGATAGGAGCTTTTTGCATTAACTAACTCCTTTTTTTTTTTTTTTTTTTTTGAGACGGAGTCTTGCTCTGTTGCCCAGGCTGGAGTGCAGTGGTGCAGTCTTGGCTCACTGCAACCTCCACCTCCCAGGTTCAAGCCATTCTCTTGCCTCAGCCTCCTGAGTAGCTGGAATTACAGGCATGTGCCAACATGCCCAACTAATTTTTGTATTTTTAGCAGAGATGGGGTTTCACCATGTTGGCCAGTCTGGTCTTGAACTCCTGACATCAAGTGATCCACCTCCTAAGCCTGCCTCAGCCTCCCAAAGTGCTGGGATTACAGGCATGAGCCACTGCGCCCAGTCAACTAACTCTTTATTTTTCCTCACTACTCATGTTTTCATTCCCTACTCTGCATATCACTTTTGTTTCTTTAATACTGACAGCATCTATATATTGATTCTAACAGAAATATCTATTTCCTATTCAAGAGATAGTCTATTATTTCAACAAATGTTTCCCAGTTCTGTTGATATTCTGTTTCTAACCTTCATTCAAAGATTGAGAATGTTTACCTCACAGATGCTGCCATTGTAGCAGTACCACTTGCAGTTTGGGTTTTTCGCATAAGTGACGTAACGGCCCCCACTCAGAATTCCTGAATGGCACTGTAAGAGATAAGAGAGTGGATGTATGTTAGTTGTTAACTGTACTATGTACTATGGCCAGGGTATAGCACTAGGATCTGAGCAGGAGAACAGTGATCATGTAAATGATCAGTAGGTGAGAAAATATTTTAGAACCCTCTAACTTTCTCTAAAACCAAAATAAGCAAAAAGCAAAATACAAAAGTCATAAGCTCCAAGTCTTGTGTGGATAAACAATCATTTTATAATGTAATTACTATTATTATTATTATTTTGAGACAGGGGCTTGCTCTATCACCCAGGCTGGGGTGCAGTCGAGTGATCACAACTCTCTAAAGACTTGGCCTCCTGGGCTCAGGTGATCCTTCTGCCTCAGCCTTCCAAGTAGCTGGGACCACAGGCAATGCCACCATACCTCGCTCCATTTTAAAATTATTTGTAGAGATGGGGCCCAGGCTGGTCTCAAACTCCTGGGCTCAAGCGATCCTTCTGCCTCAGCCTTCTAAAGTGCTGGGATTACAGGTGTGAGCCACCACACCTGGGCAGGCCCAGATTTCTATGTTAACTTTCTCTATCACTAAGCTCAATGCTAGGAAATAAGCAGGACCTGAAAAATACTTGCTGATGAATACATGAAAACAAGTGAACAAAACACAGACCACTCTCCGAAAACCATACAATAAACCACTTACTGAAATTGCATATAGATTATAAATAGGCTTAATATGAGTGTCTTCTCTTTGGTCATCAGTGCTGTCTTCTTCACTGTGGTTTCCAAGCTGACCATTGCTGTAGCCATTGCCACATGCTTCATGCTCATAAAGGAATCCATTGGCCAAAGCTACCTCGTGGTCCTGAGGAGTGACCAGCTCTGGTTGGCTGCCCCCACCGCATATGCCCTCGGCTCAAGGCGTCAGCCAGCTCACAGATCTGCCCAGCCCCATTCTCTTTGCTGGCATCCAAGTTCTTCTTACTACTTGACAGTTTATTTTTGCTGCCAATCTGGGGCAGCCGGAGCCTCCCTTTGCTCCTCCCCAAAGTCCGTGGGCTGCTATTAGGGCTGCTGTTTTTGCTGGAGGGACAGCTGGTTCCACTTTTTCTTGATGAAGAAGGAGAACCTGTGAACAGGACAGAAGAAAAGATTCACAAATCCAAATGCCACAAAGTAAGCCAGCCCCAAATGCTAACTCTGAGGTTAGCTTCACAAATGTACACACAAAGGTAAAGACAGGGGAGTCGTGACTGGCTACCCTTTAGTTCCTATTGTGTGGCCAGTAAGTTACATTTTTGTCTTCTTCAATGCCGAGTCCCTATAAGCAACAATGTCCTGAAAATGTAAAGTAGGTTATAGGGACTCAGAAAATAGCGGAAAGATGATTTATGTCAGATTCAGTTGAAAAAAATCTAATTATTAAGAGTAAGGAGTTTTCCAAATACATATTCCTCTCCTTTGTAAAATTAGACAAAAAATGCAACCACCATTTACTGAGTACTTCCTATTGTTAGGCATGGTACTGGGAATTTCTTGCTGTCCACTGTTACCTCTATGTCTCACAAAAATCCTGTAAGGCTTTAAACTTTTTGGTTATAGCCTCTTACCCCTACCCCCTTTTATACCTTTAAAAATTATTGAGAACCTTTAGAACTTTTATATGAATTTTATCTATCAATATTTCCTGTATTAGAAACTAAAACTGAGGCATGAAAAAGTACAATACATTAGCACAGACTTCACTGTCAAAGTGACGATATTATTCCATGTCGTCTCTTACACCATTGTACATCTGTGAGAGAATAAAAGCGAAAAGGCACATATTGTCTTAGTATTTTTATGAAAATAGTTTTGGGCCAGGCACAGTGGCTCACACCTGTAATCCCAGCAGTTTAGGAGGCCGAAGCAGGAGGTTCACTTGGGTGCAGGAGTTCGAGCCCAGCCTGGGAAACATGGTGAAGCACCATCTCTACAAAAAATACAAAAATTAGCTAGGTGCAGTGGTGCGTGCCTGTAGTCCCAGCTACTCAGGAGGCTGAGGTGGGAGGATTGATTGACCCCAGGAGGTCGAGGCTGCAGTGAGCTGTGATCTGTGTTGCACCACTGCACTCCAGCCTGGGTGACAGAGTGAGAACCTGTCTCAAAAAAGTAAAAAATAAAATAAATAAATAAATAAATAAATAAATAAATAAATAAAGAGTTTTGATCCTCTAGACCCCCTGAAAGATGGGGAACCTCAGAACTTTCACTATAAGGGGACAAGACAGCAGCTACCATTCCTGTTTACCATACATCAGGCACTGTGTGAAGTGCTTTACTCTCCATGTGTCAAACTCTCAACTCTGTAAACCTGGCATTATCTCCATTTTACAGATGAGAAAATAGATTCAGGGAGGCTGAATCTCTTGATAAAACTTACATAGCTCAAATACAGATAGGTCTGATTCCAGATAGGTTCCTTCCACCCAACCAACCTGATGTTCCAGAACAGAAGACAGAAACATATGTAGCCTACAGGAGTCCCAAGAAAGCAACTGCATAAGGCCCCCAGGCCTCACCTTTTGGGCTGCTGCTGATGTTAGCGCTGAGTGAGGATGGGCTTTTGCTCAGGAGCATGTCCTCTTCCCCAGCCAAACTCTGCACATCCACTTTCTTCACCTCTCTTGCCAGAATCCTGGGCTTGGAGAGCTCATCCCCCTGGGGTGTGAGTGGTTGATGCTGGCAGAGAGCTGGGTCTCGTGGTACCAAAAAAGCACTCGGATCAAAACTTTCCCGAGGAAATTTGACAATTTTCTGTGATTTTATCCACTGATCATTTACAAATTGAAATCACTTAAGGTGAATAATCTGGAGAAGTAAAGGTAGAAAACATCGCATTAAAGCGTTCTGAAGATACAAAATTTACATGGAAAAAACAAGTCAAATACATGTGAATGTTTGGGAATATATAACAGAACATTTGCTCTTCATTATTTTTTAAATACTTCAAAAATATGGTTTCCTAAAGGCCTCTACACAGGCCCCAATGCACTGGCGTGCTTGTGCACACACTCAACTCAGCAGTGTGGCACAGCCACCTGACTGCGCAATGGGTATTGCCTCCAGGCTCAGTTGCTCTTCTAGAGTCCACAAAGGGCTAGCCTGAGCTTCCACTCTCCACAGAGCCAGAAGTTCACCCTCTCCTGAAGTTCAAATTCACCACGTTGTACCCCTTGTGGCAGTTCTCACATCACACTGAATTGCAGTTACTGGGCTACATGACTGCTCTGCTTGTTTTATTTGATGATTATATGAAAATATATACTTGTTAAAATTCATCAAACTGGATATTAAAAATCTATGCTTTTAATTGTATGTTAATTATACCTCAATTTTTTTAAAAGGTCTCCCCCTCGGCCAGGCGTGGTGGCTCACACCTGTAATCCCCATACTTTGGGAGGCCGAGGTGGGTGGATCACGAGGTCAGGAGATCGAGACCATCCTGGCTAACACAGTGAATCCTCGTCTCTACTAAAAAAAATAAATAAAAAACACACAAAAAATTAGTCAGGCGTGGTGGTAGGCGCCTGTAGTCCCAGCTACTCGGGGGGCTAAGGCAGGAGAATGGTGTGAACCTGGGAGGTGGGGCTTGCAGTGAACTGAGATCTTGCCACTGCACTCCAGCCTGGGCGACAGAGCGAGATTCCATCTCAAAAAAAAAAAAAAGGTCTCCCCCTCCTCCCCACCCACCTTGTCCCCAAGCCTGCCCCTTCCCTCTAGTTCCTATCTGTGGAGCTAGCTGACAACCAGTGTTATTAATTTCTTGTGCATCATTCCCTGGGAAGCTGTTCTGGTCCAAGAAAAACTTACATTCAGCTTCACAGAGTAGTGTGACAGAGACATGATTAGAGTAAGAAAATACGGCTGGGCATGGTGGCTCATGCCTGTAATTCCAGCACTTTGGGAGGCCAAGGTGGGTGGTTCACCTGAGGTCAGGAATTCGAGACCAGCCTGGCCAACATGGTGAAACCCCATCTCTACTAAAAGTACAAAAATTAGCCAGGTGGTGGTGGTGCATGCCTGTAATCTCAGCTACTCAGGAGACTGAGGCAAGAGAATCACTTGAGCCCAAGAGGTAGATGTTGCGGTGAGCTGAGATTACAACACTGCACTACAGCCTGGGTGACACAGTGAGACCCTGTCTCCAAAAAAAAAAAAAAAAAAAAGAAAGAAAGAAAATACATATAAATATCTGATTAAAATAGGCCAGTACCTTACAGTTACACTGACCTTAATGAATAGGAAGATTTGTCACTTCAAACTCTCCTGACAAACAAAAGGACAGTCTCCTAATCCATGAAGGGAGAAGGCAGAAGTAAATTGAATCTAAAAGAACACACAGGCCCTAGTGCACTGGCGTGCTTGTGCACACACACTCAACTCAGCAGCGTGCCACAGCCACATGACTATGTGCAGTGGGTGTTGGGGGCTCCGGGCTCAGTTGCTCTTCTAGAGTCCACAAAGGGCTAGCCTGAGCTTCCTCTCTCCACAGAGCCAGAAGTTCACCCTCTCCTGAAGTTCAAATTCACCACGTTGTACCCCTTGTGGCAGTTCTCACATCACACTGAATTGCAGTTACTGGTCTACATGATTGAGCTCTTCTTCTAGGTTGTAAGCTCTTTAGGAAAAGGAACTACCAAATATTTGTAGAAAGATTCATCTCTGTATTCAACATAAAAACCTTGTACAGAAAGTGTTTTAAACACTGCTGCAGGAAAAGTCTTATTCTCAAAAATAACAAAACCTCCTGTTTGTTCATGTCTTCTTTCTTTTATGCTAGATTCCTGCTCTCTCAGAGGCAGGACTGTAACATACCAGGAAGGGTGGAAGCCTCCAGAGATCCAGCTTCTTTGTTGCTAAGCAGTGGGTCTTACACTTGGAACAGTAGTACATCTCATCTTCCCCTAGCTCTTCCTCACTGGTGAAAGCACGGAGACAGCTGTCCAGGTTGATGGGCTCGACTTGCACTCGCCAACTCTGCTCCACACTCTCATGCTCATCTACAACCTGTAGGTAGAGGGAACAGGAGGAAAGGGGTGTGTGGGAAGGCATTTAAACTGGTGATCTAGCTATGCATCAACCTCTCGGTCACTCACCCTTATTTTACTCTATATAAGGAAAAAGAAAATATAACTGGCTGGGTATGGTGGCTCAGGCCTGTAATCCCAGCACTTTAGGAGGCTGAGGTGGGGGGCATTGCTTGAGTCCAGGAGTTCGAAACCAGCCTGGCCAACAGAGTGAGACCCTGTCTATGTGAAAGAAAAACCTAAAAATGAGCTGGGCGTTGTGGCGCATGTCTCTAGTCCCAGCTACTCAGGAGGATTGCTTGAGCCTGGGAGTAGAGGTTGCAGTGAGCTGTGATTACGCCACTGCACTGCAGCCCAGATGACAGAGAGAGACCCTGTCTCAAAAAAAAAAAGGGAAAAGAAAACACAACCCAAACTAGAGTCTGAGCAAATACAGCACCTACACATTTATTCACAAATGTTACATTGTAACATTCTGGATAAAATTTCTATTTATATGATCATAGCTTTTCTTGAAAAATTTTTGAATGCTTCAAAATGACAAAAAGAACTGCATTTATTTAACAACTTTGGAATCCTATAAGGGATTACATGTGAGCTGGCCCTCAAACCAGGGGTGATGATAGTAAGCCATTTATCTTTAATCAGAAAGCCAGAGCATTATTAGTATGCTGCAGAGTTTACAGAGGCTAGGAGAAATAACATGAAACACAGAAACCAGAGCTGGATGAAATAAGGGCACAGAAAAGCTCACCATGAGAAGACAACACAGCAGAGCACGAAACACCACAGGGTACAACTCATTTACATCTGATCCCATGTAACACAGAGTTATCAGAATACCAAGTCTATACTTATCTGTCTCCTCCCTCATGGGGCCTTTTTATCTGAGATGGCAACAAAAGGAAGAACAAGCTCAAGAGTGTGCTGCTTTTGTTGAGAAGGCCCCTAATACCCACCCAAACCTTTGGGGTCCTGTTAATCAGCATGTTAGGCTGTGGAGCAAGAAGGAGTTAAGTGTAAGAAAGGAGAGAGAGCAAAGAATGGGCGGGGTGCAGGGATATGTGTTGGGGGTGGTGTAGAATGAAGAAGGAGGAGAGAAGGAAGGATCTAGAGTGCAGCAGAAAAGAAAGAATTTTTCCCTCTCCATGCCTGGCTGCTACCTGACAAACAATCAAGAACCATAGAGCTGGGATCCTTCTGTTTGTCCCTCTAATGTATGGGAAGGTGGGTGAAGCATCAGGGTTATGAATGCTACCATAAGACTTCACACAGTTTATATTTGTGTCCCAAAGCAGAGCCCGGACCACAAGGCCCATACTGACGGCCTCTCTGTGGCAAACGTCACATATGTCCATCACCCACCCTATTTATTGCTCCTCACCCTTCCAGAGGTGAACTTCCTCCATGAATTTCCCTTCCTGAAACTCACGATGGGAACCTTAGGCTGCCTGGAATACAAATTGGCACAGCTCAAGACACGCAGCTTAGCATGGGTTTTCAGGCGAGACTTTTTCCCTATGTGAGAGTCACGAGGCTGTCAAATGCTGTTATAAACAAGCAAGGTTGGGTTTGATCATGCAGTTACGGTTCTAGCACTGCATAATTACCCAGGCTAAAGAGCTCATTTAAAAAGGGGAACTTAGAGGAAAATTCTTTTTTTAGAAAAGGAAATCTGGCTTGGACTTGGGTTATAGACTTCTTTTTTGAGTACAAATTCTGTAGTAACAAGATATTAACTGTCATCATCTTTTGAACTGGTCACTCAAGGAAAAAACACGTGCTTCAAAAGGAAACGTGCTGTATCATCGTTGTTGGAATGAGTAGAAAAAGGGGTGTATCATATACGATAGTGTTTCCTTTCTCATGGCCAGTTAAATATTATCTCTATTATCTCTACCAGGAATACTTTACGGCCAACCACAAATTAGAGTAAGCTAGTAAAGAATGTTGAATTTTATTGACTATATTTTCTGTGGAACACAGGCTACAGTGCTAGAGGAAGACAGGGAGGAAAGATGGCTGATAAACAACATATTTGTGGACTGTACTGACAGTAATTTCTATTTATCAGTAAAAGTTCCCAAAGTGATAAAGATTCCCTTTACCTCTTGGGATCTATGCTTAGATCCTCTACTATTGTTTAAACAGTCTATGAATTACTTATACGCACCCTCTTCTTTTTCAGAGTTGCTTTAAAGCTCATCTTAACACAAAACACAGGAAATGAAGTAATAGTCTTCATATAAGACTATTAAAAAAAAAAAAGAGGCCTAAGAATTTGTCTAGTTTAATTTTCTTTTTTTCTTTTTTTTTTCTTTTTTTTTTGTGAGACAGGGTCTTGCTTTGTTACCCAGGCTAGAGTGCAGTGGCGAGATCACAGCTCACTGCAGCCTTGATTTCTTGGGCTCAAGCAATCCTCCAACCTCAGCCTCCCAAGCAGCTGGGACTATAGGTGCACAACACCACACCTGGCTAATTTGTGCATTTTTTGTAAAGACAGAGTGACATCATATTGCCCAGGCTGGCATCTAGTTTAATTTTCTACTGAGGAATCTGAGGTCCAAACAGGAGAGAAATGTAAAGGATAAGAGTGAGTGTCCCTGTATTTTTTTCTGATTACTAGGTATAATATTCATGTGGAAATTTTGGAAAGCAGAGAAAAATGTAAAAAGGCAGGGAATCCTTTTATATTCTTAATACAAAGGCAACCACTGTCAACATTTTGGCAGATTTTCTTCTGTCCTTTTTCCTAAATAGTATTTTTTTCAATATTGAAGGTATTATTTCCAGTATATGCAACTTTATGTCTTGTTTTTAAAAAAATGTTCACATATCATAAGCATGTTCCCATAAATGTTAGCAAAAACTCCTGGTAATCATTTTCAACAACTGCATTATAGTTTATCCAATGAATACACCATGCTTTATTTAACCACTCCTCTAATGTGAGACAAATATAAGTTGTTAATAACTTTTTACTCTCCTAAAAAATGCTATGATGATATTTGCCTGCAAATTATGGAGTAATTACAGAGTATTCTCCCCTCAGATAAATTCCTAAAAGGGAAATCACTGGAATAAAAAATATAAAACATATGGACAATAATTCCAATTTAAAAAGATGTTAATGTATATAAATAGAGTGTAAATAAAATAGTGTTGATGTACTGAAATATGAACTGTATAAAAAGTATTGGTAATTGTATATGGGGTGTACCTGTTTATCTGTAACTGTTATCCAAACAAATTAAATACTGTGGATGCCTCTATGTGCTGTTTTTCCTCATACAAGTAAACACAGAATGTCAAATCCTTCAGCCTCCCTCTCTGTGATCCTGTTTTAATTCTCCTACTTGAATAATTTCTTTCTGACTTACAGAGGGGATGCTTCATCTCTGAGGTTGGAAACTCTGTAGAGCAGGATTCCCCAACTCCTGGGCTACAGACCAGCACCGTCCATGGCCTGTTAGGAACCGGGCTGCACAGCAGCAGGTGAGTGGTGAGCTGTATTTATAGCCGCTCCCCCTTGCTCCCATTACCGCCTGAGCTCTGCCTCCTGTTAGATCAGCAGCGGCATGCCATTCTCGCAGGAGAACGAACCCTATTGTGAACTGCGCATGCTAGCAATCTAGGTTGTGCCCTCCTTATGAGAATCTAATGCCTGATGATTTAAGGTGGAACAGTTTTATCCTGAAACCATTCCCCCCAGCCCCCCAGTCCGTGGAAAATTGTCTTCCACAACACCAGTCCCTGGTGCCAAAAAGGTTGGCAACCACTGATGTAGAACAAGATCCCTACAGTGGGTACTACCCTACAGAGGTACTACTACAGGGGGTAGAACAAGATCCCTCCAGTGACCAGGTGACTTTAAACATGGCTCACATCCCTTTTAGAAAGTTATGGCAGGGAAGCAAGTAGAGAGCAGGTGGTAAACTGAGGATTGGTGCCTACATCGGTACCTACACTGGGTCCTACAGTCACTTTTGTGCAGATCAGGAGATGAGGTGAAGAGA
This sequence comes from Homo sapiens, assembly GCF_000001405.40. NCBI lineage: Eukaryota > Metazoa > Chordata > Mammalia > Primates > Hominidae > Homo > Homo sapiens. The sequence goes on along the minus strand of NC_000017.11, from coordinate 20,420,555 downwards.
AGGAAAGCTTCTCATTTGCATAATGCCTTGAAATGACCCGAGGTTTCTAGGGGGCACCGAGAAACCAGAGATGTCCCTTGTTGTCTGTCTGGGAAATCCAAGGGGACAGTTGGCAGTGTTGAGAAGAGATGAAGGTGACAGCTGTAGGTCCTTCACCCTCAGCTTCTATTTGTTCACCTATAAAATTAAAATACCGAACACTCAGGCTTGTAAGAATTAAATGAAGGACGCAAATGCCTGGCACAGTTGCTTGGTAAGTGCTCAATCCAACGATACTCAATCCTATTTTACAAAATGGGTTTTTTTTGTTTGTTTTGTTGTTTGTTTTTTTACCTCCTTGCTATACTGATGCTAAAAGAGTTTAATAGTCCTCTGGTCACATTTTCCAAAAACAAGAATACACATTAAAAATGTATAAAATGGGCCAGGCCCAGTAGCTTACGCCTGTAATCCCAGCACTTTGGAAGGCCAAGGCAGGCAGATCACCTAAGGTTGAGAGTTCCAGACCAGCCTGACCAACATGGAGAAACCCCGTCTCTACTAAAAATACAAAATAGCCGGGTGTGGTGGTGCATGCCTGTAAACCCAGCTACTTGGGAGGCTGAGGCAGGAGAATTGCTTGAACCTGGGAGGCAGAGGTTGCAGTGAGCCGAGGTCATGCCATTGCACTGCAGCCTGGGCAATAAGAGCGAAACTCTGTCTGAAAAAAAAAAAAAAAGTATAAAATGAAACATGTTGAATCAGCAGCAGTGGCAGCTTGTTTAAGGAAAGGAACAGACAAAATTAATACAGAAAGTCAAAAAATGAAGCACAACTCTTTTAAGTGCCAGTCTGTTTTTAGGTTTCTTTCTTTCTTTTTTTTTTTTTAAATAGAGACAGGGTCTCTGTTGCCCAGGCCGGAATGCAGTGAGGTAATCACAGCTCACTGCAGCCTCGACCTCCCAGGCTCAAGCAATCCTCCCACCTCAGCCTCCCCAGTAGCTGGGACCACAGATGTGCACCATCACACTCAGCTAATTTTTGTATTTTTTGTAGAGATGGGGTTTCACCATGTTGCCCAGGCTGGTCTTGAACTCCTCGGCTCAAGCTATCTGCCCACCTCAGCTTCCCAAAGTGCAGTGATTACAAGTGTGAGCTGCCATGGCTGGCCAAGGCTGTCTTTTAAAAAGCTAAAGATGTGTTGGTTCAAGACCAGTCTGAGCAATATGGCGAGACCTCATTTCTACTAAAAAGAAAAAAAAAAAATCAGCTGGGTGTGGTGGCCCATGCCTGTAGTCATCCCAGCTACTCGAAAGGCTGAAGTGGGAGGATCGCTTGAACCCAGAAGGTTGAGGTTGCAGTGAGCCTTGATTGTGCCACTGCACTCCGGCCTGGGTGACAGTGAGACTTTGTCTCAAAAAGCCTCGGAAGGAGTGGCCTAGGGAGATGAGCAAGCATTTTGTTTCTAGTTTCTGAATGGCCCTGTGCATTGAGAGAGGTCTTCGGCCTCCCAGCCTCTCTGGCTGAAGGTGGCGATTCTGCATGGAGTCTCTCCACCACTTGGTGGCATTGCTCACAGTGACTTCTTACTTCTAAACACTATTGAATTGGAGCAAGTAGATGATTTGCCACATTTTTCCCAGCTAGTTTGGAGGCTGAATATAGAATTTTACTGGGGCACACCAGAATGTGTACGTTGGGGAGCAGCGATCCCCGTTTTCCTTGATAATGTGCCGACAGCTTCCTTAGTATTGAAATCACAAAGTCAGAAATGCACACACCTCTATGATGAGAGATCCATACAGGAGAGAGCAACAAAAAGAGGCCTTTTAAGTTTGCCAGACTTCCTGACCAGTGGGAAGCAAGAGAGTAGATAAGTGTGCAACAGGCACAAACCCAGGCCTATAAGAACCTAGTTGGGAACAGAATGTAAGAGAATGGGGAGCGATGGGGACTCTAGTGTGTTCTGGGCACGTGCCCATCTAAAGTCTCCATGTGACTGTTGCCCTGCAGGAATGTGGGCCCCATTGTTCACCAAACCTTTTTTTTTGTTTGTTTGTTTCCCATGAAGAGAAGCCAGAAACCCAGATATTGATACAAAGTATCCAGTTTAGAAGTGTTGGTAGTTTTTTTAATTTTGAACATTGTGCTGCCCAAAGAAGGTATCTGCAAGCCAGGTACAAACCAGCAGTTCATGCCCTCTGGTGAGCAGAAATGTCGGAGGTCGAATTCTAGTTCTGCTGTTGCAACAGCTGTAAACGAAAGTCTTCAGATTTCTAATGCCCAATGGAAATGCCACTTTATTTCCAAAGGTTATTAAAAGGAATAGTTCATGTATGTAAGTAGGCACAGAGCTTGCCACCTATTAGGTACTCAAAAGCATTCTTCCTTCACCTAAGGAAACAATACAGGCATAATGCAACAATAATGTTACGATCAAGTTCATTATCAGGAGGCATACACCCAAACAATAGGGGAGTGAGCACCTACCACGTACAGAGCTCTCTGCTAGGTTCTCTGGGGGCAGCAGTTCCCAACCTGGCAATTCATCGGCATCATCGGAATCAGCCAGCAGCTTGTTGGATATGCTGAGTCCAGAGTCCCGCCCATATTACACCTAACGTTCTGTGCCTATTACACCCAGATTTATGAGATCCTCCTCTCCCATGCAGTCAAAGAATCTGCATTCTAATAAGTTCCTCAGAGGAAGCTCTTTTGCAGCCAGTTTGCACTGGTCTGTGGGTTGGTCACTTATGGAAACCACTGCTCCAGGGAATGAATCATGATTTCCAGTCTCATTAGGGAAAGATGATATGCATATGCACACATGTAAAGAGGAGTGACAGTAATTAGCCAAAAGCTCTGTGGACATAATTGCCTCTGATGAAGTGCTGACTGATGACATCAGACAGTAGGCTATTGACAGTGTACCCCGGGGAAAGCTAAATGCAAAAGAGAAGCGAACTGCCTCATGAAGTGAGATCAGGATTACAGGGTCAGAAATGTGGAGAGGGTGATTCAGATGGACAAAGGAGCAGAGGCAGGGTTCCAGTGATGTGTTTCGGAGGCAGTGCAGCCTGTTTGTGCTGAGTGGAAGGTGCACGAGGAACATAGTAGACGGTAACATGAAGGCAGGAGCTGTGAAGGCCTTTGAAGGTCAGGCCAGTTGTAATAAAACTATTTCACATTGTCAGGTATCTTGCGATGGTTGCCAAACATTTTTCTATGGTTTGCATAAATACATATCTATTTTATTTATGTATTTATTTATTTTATGTATTTATTTTATTTATTTATTTATTTTTTGAGACGGAGGTTCGCTCTTGTTGCCCAGGCTGGAGTGCAATGGAGCAATCCCAGCTCACTACAACCTCCGCCTCTCAGGTTCAAGCAGTTCTCCTGCCTCAGCCTCCTGAGTAGCTGGGATTACAGGCATGAGCCACCACGCCCAGCTAATTTTGTATTTTTAGTAGAGATGGGGTTTCTCCATGTTGGTCAGGCTGGTCTTGAACTCCCAGCCTCAGGTGATCCACCCATCTCGGCCTCCCAAAGTGCTGGGATTACAGGCATGAGTCACTGCACCCAGCCTATTTTAGTTTTCTTTGAGACGGAGTTTCACTCTTGTCGCCCAGGCTGCAGTGAAGTGGCACTATCTCGGCTCACTGAAACCTCCACCTCCCGGATTCAAGTGATTCTCCTGCCTCAGCCTGCCAAGTAGTTGGGATTACAGGGTCCCTTGAAGCCCAGGCCAAATGGCCCTGCTGTGGCCTTGCCCCAACTCACCCCCGACTTCCTCTGGGTCAGCCCCAACTCGTAGTGCAGTCCTCCCAGTTCCTCTGCTTCTCTGAGTATAACTTGAGCTGACGTGTGGTGCATTCCACCTACCTGACTTACATCAAGCTGTCAATGGCAATCAAGCGTAATGAGAGCATGGCCAAAGGTCTGCAGAGGGCTCTGCTGCAGCAGCAGCCAGAGGATGACAGCAAGTGCTTCCCCCGGCCCCAGGACCTGATCCGGCTTTATGACATCATCTTACAGCTGACCCTTGAGGACCGGGAAGGCAAGGGCCTGTCATTTTCCTTTGCCTGTGTCAGACACAAAATGACTTAACTTTGTATCATGGAAGGGCTGTGACAAGCAGGACCTGTTAGTAGCTGGGAAAAGACAAAGGTCTTACACCAGTTCCACAGTCTGTGAGCCCCTACCTCTCAGACATGCTGATCTGCAGAGAATAGTGACCCCAGATCATCACTGAGCACTTCACCTGTGTAAGATGCTCCCAGGTGCCATAGAGCATCTGAGACCTGAATCCATGCCATCTCGGCCCCCAGGGAGTTTGTCAGTCAGTAGGACTGTGAGACACACACAGTCAAGGCATCTGAGTAGATGCTAAGCAAAATAAAAGCTCAGCGCTGGAACAGATCCCTTCCAGCTAAGATGGGCCAAGAAGTCTCTGAAGGCGGGTGAGCTATGAGTTGAGTTGTAAAGGGCAAATCTGTTTCCAAGATGAGAGGGGAATGGAGGTGACAGCAGGTGTGGCTGCTGCCAGGTCACTTCACAGGCTTTTCCCCATTGTATTGACCTCGGGGTTTTTTTTTCTCACCATTTTCTGTTCTTACAAGGTCTTCTGTGAAAAATTCAACCTAAGATCTACTCTTCATGAATTTTCTTGTTGCATCTGTTGTACAGAATCTGGTGGAATTGCTCCAGCTTCCTGGTTTAGAGGAAGACAAAGCCTTCCAGAAAGAGATAGGCCTCAAGATTCTGGTGTTCAAAGCTTACAGGTAACGTCCCATGGGATGGGCAGAGTTTTCCTCTGCCTCCCAGGTTCTGTAAGCATTGGGAGCATGACCCAGCCCACAGCAGATGGGATCATTGGCCTTGAGTGTATGGTTACCTTGCCTGTGATCAGAGGAAGGTCAGCCCAGCACGTTCAAGGGGAGTTTCTAAAGGCTGTGGTCAGTAGTGGCCAGTGATGATGACTGCCCTTTGGCCAGGTTGGAGGAGTGGAGCACACACGTTAAACTTGGCTTCCTCGCTGGGTGTGGTAGCTCACGCTTGTAATCCCAGCACTTTGGGAGGCAAAGGCAGGATTAAAAACTTAAATCTAAAATGAAAACATATTAAAACCTTGGACGATAACCTAGGAAATACCATTGCAGACATAGGACCTGGAAATGATCTTCATGACAAAGATGCCAAAAGTAATTGCAAGAAAAACAAAAATTGGCAAATGGGACCTAATTAAACTAAAGAGCTTCTTTACGGCAAAAGAAACTATCAACAGAGTAAACAGCTCACAGAAAGGGAGAAAATATTTGCAACCTAGCCATCTGACAAAGGTCTAATATCCAGCATCTGCAAGGAACTTAAATTTACAAGAAAAAAAACAAACAACCCCATCAAAAGTGGGCAAAGGACATGAACAGATACTTTTCAAAAGAAGACATAACATGTGGCCAACAAGGCTATGAAAAAAAAGCTCAAACTCACTAATCATTAGAGAAATGCAAATCAAAACCACAGTGAGACACCATCTCACACCAGTCAGAATGACTATTATTAAAAGGTCAAAAACTAACAGAAGCTGGCAAGGTTGTAGAGAAAAGGGGACGTTTATGCACTTCTGGTGGGAATTTAAACTTGTTTAGTCATTGCGGAAAGCAGTTTGGCGATTTCTCAAAGAACTTAGAATTGCCATTTGATCCAGCAGTCCCATTGCTTTCCCCATTGCTTTTTTTAAGTGGAGTTGTTGAAGGTTGGATGGTTGTAGGTGTGCTGCATTATTTCTTAGCTCTCTATTCTGTTCCATTGGTATATGTGTCTGCTGTTGTAACAGTACCATGCTATTTCTGTTACTGCAGGTTTGTAGTATAGTTTGAAGTCAGCTACCAAACCACCAATGACATTCTTCACAGAATTAGGATAAACTATTTTAAAATTTATATCGAACCCCAAAACAGCTGGAATAGCTAAGGCAATTCTAGCTTACTTTTATAAGAATATAGTGTATAATACATAGAATATACAGCATATATATTAATCAACTTTGTTATGGGTAAGGTTTCTGGTCAACAATAGTTAATCAGGTCAGTCAGCAGTTACATTACAGGGAAGTCAAAATTTAGGCAAATTTTCGGCTGTGTGGGGTTCAGCCCCTCTAACTTCCACATTGTTCAAAGGTCAAGAGTACTGAAAGGGAAAAAAAACTAAAATGAGCCATGTGTGATTCAACTGGAATTAGAATCACCAGGAAGAACTCATGGTTTTCAGTATATTCTAATATAGAAATATCGATGAATATAAGCATGTATGTTTGTATATTTATCCATCTAGCTGTATTTTTCTGCTCTGTTCACTGAGGAAGCCTATGAGCAATGACAACTCCAATAGCCATACGTATCTACCACAATTACTGCCCAGATATTGGTTTCTAATTACTGTCCCCTAAAGAAAGTCAGGGCTTCTGGAAAAAAATGAAAATGGCTGATTCAAGGGCTGGGGCAGAGAAAATACAAAGTATGGTTGAAACAGCTTATGCCAGAAAGTAAGGAAGTATTCAAAGAACAATAAGGACAGTTCAAAAAGACATGAACTCAGCTTGAAATGGCTACCACTGGTCAAAGCGGAGGGAACCTGAACAGCAAAACAATAAATTTTCCCTTCTCCCCTATTTGTTGGTTGGTTTTGTTTTGTTTTACTTATCCACGTAGAAGGAATGAAAGATGAAGACAATCATGACTTGGCAACCACCATAATAATAATTGACCCAACAAAAATAATCAATGAAATGCTAAATCTAGTGGGTGAGATGTTTAGAGTAACCAGATATTTACAGAGCCTCAAACTATGCTCACATAAGACATTGGTGAAAAACAAAGGGTAGACAGTCACTTTATCATGGACAGACCTGGTAGATTCTCAAACAAAGTCAACACTGGCCAGTAATGGAGCCAAGTAACAGCATATGCCTCCAGATATGCTGCATTGGGAAGAACTTAGCCTCACTTGTGTGACCTTCCTGCCTGAATGGTATAACCTGAACTGAATCATGAAGAAATATCCTATGAACCCAAACTGAGAGAAAATCCACAAAAAACTGACCCATACTCTTCAAACACATAAATGCCATGAAAATCAAGGAAAGACTCAGGAATCATCCTGGACTAAAAGAGACTAAAAAGACAGAATAATTTGACACAGATCGACTCCTCCAAAGGTCAGCAACCTCAAACATCAAAGGTACATAGGCCCACAGAGATGAGGAAGAATCAACGTAAAAATGCTGAAACCTCTCAACATCATGGATTATGAAAGTCAACATCATGGATTGTAACATCACCCATCTTAAATTATTTGGCTATAAAAAATATTATTGAGACAACTGAAAAAAGTAAAATAAGGTTTATGGATGAGATAGTAACAGTAAACCATTTTTAATTTCCTGATTTTGATAGTTATACTATAATTATGCAAGATAATGCCTTGTTTTTAGGAGACACACATAAAATTATTTAGAAATAAAGAGGCATCATACCTGCAACTTATAAACCATTCAGAAAAAGTCTATATTATGCACCTACATTTATATTTACCTAGAAAGAGAAGAGGAAAAGGGGGAGAAAGGATAAAGCAAATACAGTAAAATGTTCACATTTGGGGAATAGTATCCAAGAATGTTTTGTAGTTTTCTTACTATTTTTCTATAAGTCTAAAATTGTTAAAATAAAACATTTCTAAAAAGAAAAAAATTGTTAAAAAAAATTGTCAAATTATAACCTATTAAATGAAATAAACCACAAGTAAATATCAAATCAAGTAAATGAATAAATTGAGTTTGATGAAGAACAGAGATATCTACATAGTCTCAAATTACCTCCCCACAAAATATTAATATTAATTAATTACAAGGTGAAAAAGTAACATTACAGAGGAGAAAGCTAGCAGACACCACTGTTTGTGATCAATGCCAACATCACCAGTAAAAGGGCAAATCAAAATTGTAGGTCACTCATGTTCTATGGGGCTAACAGAGCTCTAATTTCTTCCCGGGATGGAGTGCCTGAGGGGTGGGGCAGGCTGCCACCTAGGCCTTTCAAGCTTCTCAGCCAGTTCAGCCTGTGGGCCTTTGGACAGCCCAAACTGAATGGGAACTAAAGGGATCCCCAACACAGCACAGCTGGTCTACCAAAAAGTAGCCAGAATCATTCTTTAAGCAGGTCCCTTATCCCATTTCTCCTGACTGGAGGAGACCTCCCAACTGGGGTATCCAGCCACCTCCTACAGGCACTTTCGAGCCAGCAATAGGTCAGTACCCTGCTGGGATGGAGCTTCCAGAGGAAGTGGCAGGCAGCCATCTTTGCTGTTTCACAGACTTCACTGATGATACCTCCAGCTATGGGAAAAACCGAGGCAACTAGGGTATAGTGCGAACCCCCAGCAAACTGCAGCAGCCCTGCAGAAGAGTGGCCAGACTGTTAAAAGAAAAACAAGCAGGAAACAACAACAATAACAATTTAAAAAGCCACAAAAACCCCATCCTCAAGGTCAAAGTTTAAGATAGACCCACAGAGATGAGAAATAACCCCAAAATCCTGAGGACTCAAAAAGCCAGAGTATCCCTGCAACACCTCTCCAGCAAGGGCTCAGAACTGGGTTGAGCCTGAGATGGCTGAAATGACAGAGTAGGCTTCAGAATGTGAATAACAGTGAACTTCAATGACCTAAAGGAGCATCTTGTAACCCAATGCAAAGAAACTAAGAATCATGACAAAACAGTACAGGAGCGGACAGCCAAAATAGCCGGTCTAGAGAAAAACATAACTCACCTGTTAGAGCTGAAAAACACACTACAAGAACTTCACAATGAAATCACAATTACTAACAGCAGAATAGGCCAAGAAAAGAATCTCAGAGCTTGAAGACGATCTTTCTGAAATAAGACAGGCAGACAAGAATAGAGATAAAACAATGAAAAGGAACAAACGATACCATCAAAAAATATGGGATTACATAAAGAGAACGAATCTATGATGGATTGGGGTACCTGAAAAAGACAAGGAGAATGGAACCAAGTTGGAAAACATACTTCAGCATAGGATCCAAGAGAACTAACTTCCCCAAGTTAGTTCTAGCAAGACAGGCCAACACTCAAATTCAAGAAATCCAGAGAACTCCAGTGAGATACTCCACGAGGAGATCATCCCCGAGACACATAATCATCAGATTCTCCAAACTCTAAATGAAAGAAAAAATGTTAAGGGCAGTCAGACAGAAAGGCCAGGTCACCTACAAAGGGAACCCCATCAGATGAACAGCCGACCTCTCAGTGGAAACCCTACAAGTCAGAAGATACTGGGAACCAATATTCAACATTCTTAAAGAAAAGAATTTCCAACCCAGAATTTCACATCTGGCCAAACCAAGCTTCATAAGCAAAGGATAAATAAGATGCTTTTCAGACAAGCAAATGCTGAGGGAACTTGTTACTACCAGACCTGTCTTGCAAGAGCTCCTGAAGGAAGCAGTAAATATGAAAAGGAAAAACCATTACCAGGCACCAGAAAAACACACTAAAGTACAAACAACAGTGACACTGTGAAGCAACCACATAAACAAGTTAGCAAAATAACCAGCTAGCATCATGATGATGAGATCAAATCCACATATAATACTACTAACCTTAAATCTCAATGTGTTCTCCAATGAAAGACACAGAATGGCAAGCTAGATAAAGAACCAAGACCCATCAGTATGCTGTATTCAAGAGACCCATCTCACACACAAAGAAACACATAGGCTAAAAATAAAGGGATGGAGGAAAATTTACCAAGCAAACAGAAAGCAGAAAAAAACAGAGCTTGCAATCCTAGTTTCTAACAAAACAGACTTTAAATTAACAAAGATCAAAAAAGAGAAAGAAGAGCACTACCTGTTGGTAAAGGGTTCAATTCAACCAGAAGAGTTAACTATCCTAAATATATATGCACCCTATACAAGAGCACCCAGGTCCATAAAGCAAGTTATTGGAGACCTTCAAAGAGACTTAGACTCCCACACAATAATAGTGGGAGACTTTAACACCACAATGACAATATTAGACACATCATGGAGACAGAAAATTAACAAAGATATTCAGGACCTGAACTCAGCTGTGGATCAAGTAGACATGATAGTTATCTACAGAACTCTCCAACAAAAAACAAGCGAATATACATTCTTCTCATAGCCACATGACACTTACCCTAAAACTAATCATAAATTAGGAAGAAAAACACTCCTCAGCAAATGAAAAATAACTGAAATCATAACAAAGAGTCTCTCAGACCACAGCAAAATCAAATTAGAACTCAAGATTAAGAAATTCACTTAAAACCACACAACTATATGGAAATTGAACAATCTGCTCCTGAATGACTTTGGGGTAAATAATAAAATTATGGCAGAGATCAAGAAGTGTTTTAAAACTAATTAGAACAAAGAGACAACATAACAGAATCTCCAGGACTCAGCTAAAGCAGTGTTAAGAGGAAAATTTATAGCATTAAATGCCCACATCAAAAAGAGAGAAAGATCTCAAGTTAACAACCTAATATTACAACTAAAATGACTAGAGAACCAAGAGGAAACAAACTCCCAAGCTAGCAGAAGACAAGAAATAACCAAGATCAGGGCTGAACTGAAATAGAGACACAAAAAAACCTTCAAAAAAATCAATGAATCCAGGAGGTTTTTTTAAATTTACTTTTTATTTCAATAGGTTTTTAAGGAACAGGTGGTGTTTGGTTATATAAATAAGTTCTTTAGTGGTGATTTTTGAGATTTTGGTGCATCCCTCACCCGAGCAGTGTACACTGTACTCAATGTGTAGTCTTTTATTTCTCACTCCCTTCCCACCATTTCCGCTGAGTCCCCAAAGTCCCCTGTATCATTCTTCTGCCTTTACATTCTCATAGCTTAGTTCCCACATATGAGAACATATGATGTTTGGTTTTCCATTCTTGAGCTACTTCACTTAGAAGAATGGTCTCCAATTCCATCCAGGTTGCTGCAATTAGAAGAATGGTCTCCAATTCCATCCAGTTTGCTCCTTTTTATGGCTGAGTAGTATTCCATGGGGTGTGTGTGTACATATCACGTTTTCTTTATCCACTCATTGATTGATGGGCATTTGGGCTGGTTCCATATTTTCACAATTATGAATTTTGCTGCTATAAACATGTGTACAAGTATCTTTTTTGTATAATGACTTCTTTTCCTCTGGGTAGATACTGAGGAATGGGGTTGTTGGATCAAATGGTAGATCTACTTTTAGTTCTTTAAGCAATCTCCACACCGTTTTCCATAGTGGTTGTACTAGTTTACATTAGTATCAACACTATAAAAGTGTTCCCTTTCCACCACATCCATGCTGACATCTATTATTTTTTAATTTTTTTAATATTGCCATTCTTATAGGAATGAGGTGATATCGCGTTGTGGTTTTGATTTGCATTTCCCTGATCATTAGGGATGTTGAGCATTTTTCCATATGCTTGTTGGCCATTTGTATATTTTCTTTTGAGAATTGTCTATTCGTGTCCTTAGCCCACTTTTTTATGGGATTGGTTTTTTTCTTACTGATTTGAGTTCTTTGTAGATTCTGAATATTAGTCCTTTGTTGGATGTGTAGGTTGTGAAGATTTTCTCCCACTCTGTGTGTTGTCTGTTAACTCTGCTAATTATTTCTTTTGCTGTGCAAAAGCTTTTTAGTTTAGTTAAGTCCCATCTATTTATCTTTTGTTTTTGTTGCATTTGTTTTGAGCTTCTTGGTCATGAAGTCTTTGCCTAAGCCAATGTCTAGAAGGGTTTTTCCAATGTTATCTTCTAGAATTTTTAAGGCTTCAGGTCTTAAGTTCTTGATCCATCTTGAGTTGATTTTTGTATAAGGTGAGAGATAAGGATCCAGTTTCATTCTCCTAAATGTGGCTAGCCAATTATCCCAGCACTATGTGTTGAATAGGGTGTCCTTTCCTCACTTTGTTGAAGATCAGCTGGCTGTAAGTATTTGGCTTTAATTCTGGGTTCTCTATGCTGTTCCATTGGTCTATGTGCCTATTTTTATACCAGTATCATGCTGTTTTAGTGACTATGGTGTTACAGAATAGTTTGAAGTTAGGTAATGTGATGTCACCAGATTTATTCTTTTTGGTTAGTCTTCTTTTGGCTATGTAGGCTCTTTTTTGGTTCCATATGAATTTTGGGATTATTTTTCATCATTTTGTAAAGAATGATGGTGGTATTTTGATGGGAATTGGATTAAATTTGTAGATTGCTTTTGGCAGTATGGTCATTTTCACAATATTGATTCTACCCATCCATGAGCATGGGATGTGCTGCCATTTGTTTGTGTCATCTGTGATTTCTTTCAGTAGTGTTTTGTAGTTTTCCATGCAGAGATCTTTCACCTCCTTGGTTAGGAATATTCCTAAGTATTTTATTGTTATTATTATTATTTGTAGCTATTGTAAAAAGGGTTGAGTTATTGGTTTGATTCTTGGCTTGGTCGCTGAAGGTGTATAGCACAGCTACGGATTTGTGCACACTTGTGTGTAACTCTGTACCCTGAAACTTTGCTGAATGCATTTACCAGTTCTAGAAGCTTTTTGGATGAGTCTTTAGGGTTTTCTAGGTATACAATCATATCATTGGGAAACAGCAATAGGCAGACTTCTTCTTTACCACTTTGGATGCCCTTGATTTCTTTCTCTCGTCTGATTGCTCTGGCTAGAACTTCCAGTACCATGTTGAATAGAAGTGGAGAAAGTGGGCAATCTTGTCTTCTTCCAGTTTTCAGGAGGAATGCTTTCAACTTTTCCCTGTTCAGTATAATGCTGGCTGTGGGTTTGTCATAGATGGCTTTTATTACCTTAATGTATGTCCCTTCTATGCTGATTTTGCTGAGGGTCTTAATAAAATAAGGATGCTGGATTTTCTCAAGTGGTTTTTCTGCATCTATTGAGATGATCATGTGACTTTTGTTTTTTAATTCTGTTTATGTAGTGTATCGCATTTATTGACTTGTAGATGTTAAACCATCCCTGCATCCCTGGTATGAAACCCACTTGATCATGATGGATTATCTTTTTGATATGTTGTTAGATTCAGCTAGCTAGTATTTTTTTGAGGATTACTGCATCTCTGCTCATCAGGGATGTTGGTCTGTAGCTTTCTTTTCTCATTATGTCCTTCCTTGCTTTTGGTATTAGGGTGTCTATTAGTCTGTTTCAGTATTAGGGTGTGTATTAGTCCATTTTCACACTGCTGATAAAGACATACCTGAGACGGGGCAATTTACAAAAGAAAGAGGTTTATTTGACTTACAGTTCCACATATTTGGGGAGGCCTCAAAGTCATGGTGGAGTCAAGGAAGAGCAAGTCACATCCTACGTGGATGGCAGCAGGCAAAAAGAAAGAGCTTGTGTAGAGAAAGTCCTGTTTTTAAAACCATCAGATCTTGTGACACTCACTCACTGTCATGAGAACAGCATGGAAAAGACCTGCCCTCATGATTCAATCATCTCCTACTGGGTCCTTCTCACAACATGTGGGAATTATGGGAGCTAAAAGATGAGATTTGGGTGGGGACACAGAGCCAAAACATATCATGGTGATTTTGGTTTCATCAAATGATTTAGGGAAGATTTCTCTTTCTCTATCCTGTGAAATAGTGTTAATAGGAAGGGTACCAATTCTTTGAATGTCTGATAGAATTCAGGTGTGAATCCATCTGGTCCTGGACTTTTTTGTTGTTGGCAATTTTTAAATTACCATTTTCAATCTTGCTGCTTCTGATTGGTCTGTTCAGAGTTTCTATATCTTCCTGATTTAATCCAGGAGGGTTGTATATTTCCAGGAATTTATCGATCTCCTGTAGGTTTTCTAGTTTATGGATGTGAAGATGTTCATAGTAGTCTTGAATAATCTTTTGTATTTCTGTGGTATCAGTGGTAATATCTCCCATTTCATTTCTAATACAGCTTATTTGGAGCTTCTCTCTTCTTTTCTTGATTAATCTTGCTAATGCTTATCAATTTTATTTATCTTTTCAAAGAACCAGCTTTTTGTTTCATTTATCTGTTGTATTTTTTTGTTTCAATTTCATTTAGTTTTGTTCTGATTTTGTTATTTCTTTTCTTCTGCTGGGTTTGGATTTGGACTGTTCTAGTTTCTCCAATTCTGTGAGGTGTGACCTTAGATTGTTTATTTGTGCTCTTTCAGACTTTTTGATATAGGCATTTAATGCTATGAATTTTCTTCTTAGCTCCACTTTTGCTGTATCCCAGAGTTTTTGATAGGTTGTGTCACTATTATCGTTCAGTTCAAAGAATTTTTAAATTTCCCTCTTGATATCATTGTTGACCCAACAATCATTCAGGAGTAGGTTATTTAATTACCATGTATTTGCATGCTTTTGAGTGTTCCTTTTGGAATTAATTTCCAATTTTATTCCACTGTGGTCTGAGAGAGTACTTGATATAATTCTGATTTTCTTAAATTTACTGAGACTTGTTTTGTGCCCTATCATATGGTCTATTTTGGAGAATGTCCCGTGTTCTGATGTATACAATGTATATTCTATGCTTGTTGGGTAGAATGTTCTGTAAGTATCTGTTAAGTCCATTTGTTCTAGGGTATAGTTTAAGTCCATTGTTTCTTTGTTGACTTTCTGTCTTGGTGATCTGCCTCGTGCTGCCAGCGGAGTATTAACATCCCCCACTATTATTGTGTTGCCAACTACCTCATTTCTTATGTCTAGTAGTAATTGTTTTATAAATTTGGGATCTCCAGTATTAGGTGCATATATATTTAGGACTGTGATATTTTCCTGTTGAACTAGTCCTTTTATCATTATATAATGTCCCTCTTTGTCTTTTTAAAACTGCTGTTGTCTTAAAGTCCGTTTTGTCTGATATAAGAACAGCTACTCCTGCTCGCTTTTGATGTGTCCATTTAGACGAAGTGTCTTTTTCCAACCCTTTGCCTTAAGTTTATGTGAGTCCGTATGTGTTAGGTGAGTCTCCTGAAGACAGCAGCAACTTGGTTGGTGAATTCTTACCCATTCTGCCATTCTATATCTTTTAAGTGGAGCATTTAGGCCATTTACGTTCAACATTAGCATTGAGATGTGAGGTACTATTCTATTCGTAACGCTATTTGTTGCCTGAGTACCTGAAAACCTGGAAGCATTCCCTTGAAAACTGACACAAGACAAAGATGCCCTCTCTCACCACTCCTATTCAACACAGTATTAGAAATTCTCACCAAGGCAATCAGGCAAGAGAAAGAAAGAAAAGCTATTCAAATAGGAAGACAGGAAGTCAAACTTTCTTTGCAGATGATATGATCCTATATCTAGAAAACTCCATCATCTCAGCTCAAAAACTTCTTAGCTGATAAGCAACTTCAACAAAGTCTCAGGATACAAAATCAATGTGCAAAAGTCACTAGCATTCCTATACACCAACAACAGGCAAGCCGAGAGAAAAATCATGAATTAACTCCCATTCACAATTGCCACAAGAAGAGTATAATACCTAGGAATACAGCTAACAAGAAAAGTGAAGGACCTTTTCAAGGATAACTATAAACCATTATTCAAAGAAATCAGAGATGACACAAACAAATGGAAAAACATATGCTCACAGACAGGAAGGATCAATATCATGAAAATGACCACACTGCCCAAGGCAATCTGTAAATTAAATGCTAGGCCCATTAAACTACTATTGACATTCTTTACAGACCTAGAAAAAGCTATTTTAAAATTCATATGGAACCAAAACAGAGCCCAAATAGCCAAGACAATCCTAAGCAAGAAGAGCAAAGCTAGAGGCATCATGCTACCCAGCTTCAAAATATACTACAAGACTACAGTAACCAAAACAGCATGGTGCTGGTACAAGAACCGACACATAGACCAATGGAACAGAATAGAGAACCCAGAAATAAGACCACACACCTACAACCATGTGATCTTTGACAAACCTGACAAAAGGAAGCAATGGGGAAAAGATTCCCTATTTAATAAATGGTGCTGGGAGAACTGGCTAGCCATATGCAGCAAATTGACACTGGACCCCTTCCTTAACCCATATACAAAAGTTAACTCAAGATGGATTAAAGACTTAAATCTACAACCCAAAACTATAAAAATCCTGAAAGAAAACCTAGGCAATGCCATTCAGGACACAGGCAAGGGCAAAGATTTCATGACGAAGATGCCAAAAGCAATTGCAACAAAAGCCAAAATTGACAAATGGGATCTAATTAAACTAAAGAGCTTCTGCACAGCATTAAGAAACTATCAACAGAGTAAACCGACAACCTACAGAATGGGAGAAAATTTTTGCACTCTATCCATCTGACAAAGGTCTAATATCCAGCATCTACAAGGAACTTAAACAAATTTACAAGAAAAAAAAACCCAACCCCATTAGAAAGTGGTCAAAGGACACAAACAGACACTTTTCAAAAGAAGGCATACATGCAGCCAACAAACAAAAAAACCTCAACATCACTGATCATCTGAGAAATGCAAATCAAAACCACAATGAGACACCATCTCACAACAGTCAGAATGGCTATAATTCAAAAAAATGAAAAGATGCTGGCAAGATTATGGAGAAACAGGAATGCTTTTACACTGTTGATAGGAGTGTAAATTAGTTCAACCAGTGTGGAAGACAGTGTGGTGATTCCTCAAAGATCTAGAACCTGAAATACCATTTAACCCAGCAATCCCATTACTTGGTATATACCCAAAGGAATATAACTAATTCTAGTATAAAGATACACGCACAGGTATGTTCATTGCAGCACTATTCACAATAGCAAAGACAAAGAATCAACCTAAAAGCCCATCAATGATAAACTGGATAAAGAAAATGTGGTACATATACACCATGGAATACTATGCAGCCATGAAAAGGAATGAGACATGTCCTTTGCAGGGACATGGGTGGAGCTGCAGAACATTATCCTCAGCAAACCAACGCAGAAATAGAAAATGAAATACTGCATGCTCTCACTTACAAGTGGGAGCTGAATAATGAGAACACATGGACACATGGCGGGGAACAACACACACAGGGGCATGTGGGATGGTGGCGGGTGAGAGAAGGGAGAGCATCGTGAAGAACAGCTAATGGATGCTGGGCTATTATTAATACCTAGGTGATGGGATGATCTGTGCAGCAAACCACCATGGCACCTATTTACCTATGTAACAAACCTGGACATCCTGCACATCCTGCACATGTACCCCTGAACTTAAAAGATGAAAATAAAAAATAATAATAATTGCAGGTCACCTGATAGAATGCAGTGAGAAGATCATGGGATAACTTCTGTGATACTCTTGCCAAAAAAAAAAATTATCATCTAAATCTTATCATAAAAAAACTTCAGAGAAATCCAATGGAGGGACATTCTGTATTATTGGACTTTACTCTTCAAAAGATTTAAGGTCATAAAGGTCAAAGAAAAACTGAGGAACTGTTCCAGACTGAAAGAGTCATGACAACTAAATGAAATTCATGGACCTGAATGGGATCCTTCTGCTACAAAGAACATTATAGACAATTAAGAAAACTTGAAAAGAAACTGAGAATGAAATGATCAAGTGTATTGATGTTAACTTTCTGATTATGAAGTAGTTATATAAAATGTCCTGACTTGTGGGAATACCCACATACCAGATGTGATGGCATAATGTCAGCAATTTACTCTCAAATGGCCCACAGGGGGAAAGCTGTTTTTCCTAAAATGTGGAAATTTTCTCCAATTTTAAGACTGTTTCCCAAAAGTTAATCTAATAAAGAAATGAAACAATAAATAAAAAAGCAAAAAGCCTTAGGCAAACCTTATTTTTCCACAAGGAAAGATCTAAATAAATCAGTGCTTAAAATTAAAATTATCTAAGTTTGATTGCACTATAACAATCGTAATATATCCAAACATTGACAATGACCACAGTACCAGTATACCAAAATGATGTCTATCTAAACTTAAATCTATCACTATGTATAAAGATAAAATTATAAAATACAAACAAGCCATCAATTGGCTCCACTAAATTATTAATGGCAACTTGATTATTTGGCTGTTTAAACAGCTAACATTTGGGCAGTTCGAGTATGTAAAACTCAGTAATACTGGTTTTCATTTGCAAAATCCACTTAAAAGTTAGCTGAAGAGGCCAAGAAACATTATTTAAAATACTATATAAATTTTCATCAGACATGTATAACATAGAATATTTCCCTTTAGTAAAAATGTTCACATCATATATTTAATGGGAAACAAAATATCATGTGAATAGCCCAAATAAAATTGCCTTATCTTTCAGAGTATGTATTTTCTTCTTAAAATCTGTGCATATTCTTTTGCTACTTCCAAAACTGGATCTTGATTCAGATTTTCCTTGTGTGTAAATCCTAGAGGAGAAGCTATATAGGATCCAGGTTCATATTTAGTAGCAGCTGAAAAAAAAAGCAAGAATTATATTATTATTATTATTATTATTATTATTATTATTATTATTGTTATTATTTTAAGATAGGGTCTCACTCTTTCACCTATGCTGGAGTGCCGTGGTGTGATCACAGGTCACTGCAGTCTCGTCCTCCCAGGCTTAAGCAATTCTCCTGCCTCAGCCCCAAGTACTTGGAACTGCAGGCATGAGCCACTGTGCCTGGCAAGCTTTTGTATTTTTTATAGGGGCAGGGTTTCGTCATGTTGGCACAGGCTGCTCTCAAACTCCTGGGCTCCAGTGATCTGCCTGCCTCAGGCTCCCAAAGTGCTGGGACTACAAACGTGAGCCAACATGCCTGGCCAAAGAATTATATTCTATATATTTCATAGTTAACTAAGTGCAAATCAGTAAAAAAGAGTTGAGAGCTTTTTCAGTGTTAACAAGAATGAAAAGTATGTATGACTACAATGCTAACTTATTATTAGATAAGAATCTGCCCATAGTTGCACACTAAATGATCATTGTGGTTGTGTATCACAGCTTCTGGTTTTCTCATTCTTCATTCATTTATTCAACAACCGCATGCTAAGGTACTAGACTATGCCCTGGAGTTACAAGATGAAGATGATACAGTCCACCCCTCAGCAATCACATGCTATAACCTGAAAAAGCAGACAAATAGGCAATTTCCATACCAAGTCATAGATACCCTGACAGGTATAAAACAGGGCACTATTGGAATGCAAGAGGGACACCTATCCCAGTTTTGTCTCGATACTGTAGGTTTTTCGGTGGAGGCATGGTTAGTGGATACCTGAAGGATGAGAAAAAAAGGTTGGCAGATAGAGCAAAGAAGCAAGTGCAAAGAGCTGGAGGAGAAGGACGAGCACTGTGGAATTCTGTGCAGTCCAGTTTGGCTGGATCCTAGAGCAAAGGGGCAGAGTAAAGTAAGTGGTGAGAGATAAGCCTGAGTAACTTGACAAGAACCAAATGAATGTGGGTGTTTATATTACATGTTAAGGAATTTGGAACTTTTTCTGAGGGCAAAAGTAAACCAATGACACTGTAAATGACTGGAGATTTAAAGTGTTACCTCTCAAGCGACTGCTTATAAACTGTAACTGCTTGAATAGGTTACTAGATGAGACTGGGATGTTTTGGCCTTAAAAATCACTACCATAACCCTGAGAAGTTGATGATGCCTCTGTTTTCTGAGAACCGTTTCTGTGTGCTGGCTGACAATTCCATAGGGATGGCAGAAGTGAAGAGTAGAGCCAGACTTCTTGAGCTATTTTTTTCAAGCTATGGAACGTGATGATTCATGAGGCATAAGTATGCTCTTCATTATACATGTTCAGGTTTTCACATCTTTCATTAGATGTATATGAAAGAATATTTAATGTAGTATCTACTAGCCCAAGAACGGAAAGGGATGTCGTTTGCAGTTTATTTCAGATATATATTAATCTAAATTTAATTCATAAATTTTGGTAACATACCTGCTACTTCTGCAGTTAGGTCATTTTGCAACTTCTGCTGCATCTGAAATAAGTCAAATATTATTTATAACGTTTAAGAAGAGACATTATCATGGTAAGGAGCATTAATTACAAAATGCGGCCTTTAAATAATACTTTTACAGACTAGACCTAACTTGAAGATAGCTTAAATTAAAAATATCATATAAATTCCTACCTATTTTAAGTTTAGATAATGGAGAACATATATGTGTTATGCTGTTTAGATTAATCTCACAAAAGTACAATTAATATTGGTCTGTTGGATCTATGTCATTTCAAAAGTGTGATGTTTTCCCTTATCAGTACAGAGGTTACACAATTCAAGTCATATTCTGCAATGAATGCATTACTTTCCCATTCTTATCAAAACTCTGCCCTTTATCAAGGTCTAACCAGTTTTTCACTTTAATGAATAGTTCCTTACAATGAACTCTCCATTCTCCACTTTTAGAAAATAATAATTTCAAAGTATGTTCTTTGCTATTAATTCAGCACAGAATCTTTAATACATACTTGAAGAAAGCAGTATTGTTGTGATGCCATGTGAAAGTTCCACTGGCAAAAGATTAAAAACATTATGCTATTATGATTAACATTTCTTCATTCATACGGACACAAAGATTTCAGAAAATTTACATAAAAGCAAGGATAAATACAGGTTAGAGCCAGTTTTCAATCTTAGTTTCTTTGATTCATGAGTGTCTAGAATTAAAAACTAGGAAAACAATTTAGAGTTATTTAACTACAACTTTGATTTCTTTTCAGAAATTAGTACCCATTTTTTAAGCATCTGACAAGTTATAGTTATCTACTTAATTATGAAAGGTGTGGGAATATTTCAAACTTATTGCCAGTGTCCCTATCTAGAGTGCTCTTATTTAATTTTTTTTTAGAATAGGTATTCTCTCACTAAATGCCTAGAACAGGGTCTGAGATAGTTTGTGGTGATAAAGATAATGATATCTAATGCCTTTACAAATTTTAGGTGTCAAGTCAATTTTTTTGTTTTACTAACAGGTTTACCAATATTTTGAGACTCCTTTCCATAACATTTCTGTGACAAAAACATTACAGATAGGCTTTATAGAGTAGGTAACATGACAACAGCATTACCATCCAGGCCTTATAAAAGTAATAATTCAAGAAATGATCCTTTTCAAGCTATGTCCCACAGAAATCTAAGGTTCCACAGAGGATGCTGAAGGATTAAGGGATAAGAAAGTCACAGCTTCAGAGCACTGATCCTTCCTTTAGTCAGGCAGCACTACTTCTGTTTTCTATAATGTGGTTTTATGCAATTTAAAAAAGTTCCATTCTTAAAAAAAAAAAGAGATTTACTTAAACGTATGAATGTCACTGATTTAGTCAAAGTCCTTAATTTTACATAAGAAACAAAACAGGCTCAGAGAGCCTGCAGCTTGCCTGAGGTCACAAAACCAATTAGTTACAAGGTAGGAGTGGGCTTCAGATCTTTCACTGAGCCTGGAGTTATTCTATGCCAGCACCTTCCTTCATATTCAGAAAAGAAATACAGATTTTTAAAAATAACTCAGGCTGGGCGCGGTGGCTCACACCTGTAATCCCAGCACTTTGGGAGGCCGAGACGGGAGGATCACAAGGTCAGAAGATCAAGACCATCCTGGCTAACACAATGAAACCCCGTCTCTACTAAAAATACACAAAATTAGCCGGGCATGGTGGCAGGCGCCTGTAGTCCCAGCTACTCAGGAGGCTGAGGCAGGAGAATGGCGTGAACCCAGGAGGCGGAGCTTGCAGTGAGCCGAGATCGTGCCACTGCACTCCAGCCTGGATGACAGAGTCAGACTCCGCATCAAAAATAATAATAATAATAATAAAAATAAAAAAATAACTCAGACAGTCCAGGTGTGGTGGCTCACGCCTGTAATCTCAGCACTTTGGGAGGCTGAATTGGGTGGATCACAAGGTTAGGAGTTCAAGACCAGCCTGGACAATATGGTGAAACCCCGTCTCTACTAAAAATATAAAAATTAGCCAGGCGTGGTGGTGTGCACCTGTAGTCCCAGCTACTCAGGAGGCTGAGGCAGGAGAATCGCTTGAACCCGGCAGGCAGAGGTTGCAGTGAGCAGAGATCACGCCACTGCTCTCCAGCCTGGGAGACAGAGTGAGACTCTGTCTCAAAAACAACAACAACAAAAAAAAGAGAAAATGCATCTATAAACTGTCATGATGCTCTATAATGTTTAAGCATGAGACAAAAAATAGTAGCTCTCCAAATTGTAAGTTATGAATCAAATTTAAAGAACAATTAATATCATAACTTCTGGCTAGTACCAGTCAAGACACTCAATTTATAAAGAACCCATTTTTCAAAACGCAGAACAGAAAACTTGAAGGAGAAAATCTTTAGTTGAACCAAGCAAGCAGAAATTAAGAAAACTGTTCCTTAAAAGAACTATTCATTCTCCTCCAAATAAGACGTGGTTTAGGAAAATCAATCAAGTCAATTATCCATGTTGTGAGTTACTTATAGAAAAACTGAAAACACAAAACAGATTTCTCTTTACCATCTACCACACGTCTGTCCAACTTCTAATCACTAATTTGTACATACAAAGACATGGGATTAATTTCAATTATCACTTAAATCCAGCCATAAATGATAGGAGAACCTTCATTTTCCTGGCCTCAGGTTTCAAATGAGGACTTAGACTCTCTCTACCTATAGCTTCCTCTTGAGAGGATATCAGATCTACCTAATGGGTGAATTTGGGCAAAGCACACAGTGTGCTTGCTTGGCTCAGGGTCTCTTTCAAAAGATGTGTCTGCCCACAGTGACATGAGTTCAGGTCTGCTGTCATCTCTGCAGTAAGCAGCATGCACCTGCGATGGGTGTCAAGCATTTGTTTTCTCCACTTAAAACTCTGTGGGTTAGTGCCTAATCTGGGATAAAATACTGTGGCTGCACATCTGAGCCACATCCTCCCATTAGTTATCATGAGTCTGTAATAGAGCTAGTGTGTTGATGTCCATCTATCTGACTCCTGTGTTCTGAACTCAGAAGGGAATGAGGAGCACCATTTGCTGCCTATCCACCACAGCCTGAAAAAGAACCATGACTGTATAACACTTATAGAAATAGTTTCTTCTTCCTTGACTTTTCTAATCTTACCATACATTCTTCACAACTACCTCCACTTTTTTTTTTTTGAGATGGAGTCTTGCTCTGTCACCTGGGCTGCAGTGCAGTGGCACAATCTTGGCTCACTGCAACCTCTGCGTCCTGGGTTCAAGCGATTCTCCAGCCTCAGCCTCCCGAGTAGCTAGGATTATAGGCGCCTGCCACCACGCCAGGCTAATTTTTGTATTTTTAGCAGAGACAGGGTTTCACCATGTTGTCCAGGCTGGTCTCGAATTCCTGACCTCAAGTGACCCACTCGCCTCGGCCTCCCAAAGTGCTGGGATTACACGTGTGAGCCTCCGCACCAAGCACTCATATCTTGATATAATCATGCTTTTAAATCTCTTTTAGTAAATCTAACATGATTGGGCAAAAAATGCCCCACAAGGAAACTAGGTATGCCTTGGAACTACTACATTAACATTAACTTTAAAACAAACAAATTTTCTACTTATCTAGAAATACTAAAAAATGAACACCCCCTTCCCCACAAAACAGAAATTAAAAAAAAAAAGTTCCTCAAAAATCTTCCCTTGCATCACATCTGCTTTTATTTATTTTATTTATTTTTTTCCCCCACCCATGAGATGGAGTCTTGCTCTGTCGCCCAGGTTGGAGTGCAGCAGCACAATCTCAGCTCACTGCAACCTTTGCCTCCCAGGTTCAAGCGATTCTCCTGCCTCAGCCTCCCAAGTAACTGGGACTGCAGGCGCACACCACCATGCCCAGCTAATTTTTGTATTTTTATTAGGTACGGGGTTTCACCATGTTGGAGGTTGGTCTCGAACTCCTGACCTCAGGTGATCCACCCACCTTGGCCTCCCAAGGTGCTGGGATTATAGGTTTGAGCTACAGTGCCCGGCCTACATCTGCTTTTTATACTCTCTCAGCACCATCTTGTAAAATGATACATTACCTTGTTTTTCTGGTAAGTATTGTGAAAGGAAAATATCTTGGGCCTCCAAAATCACTAAGCTAAAAGGAAAACTCAGGCTGGAAACTGCTTAGGGCAAACCTGCCTCCCATTCTATTCAAAGTTACCTCTCTGCTCACTAAGATAAATGCAGATCTGACTGTCTCCTTTGGAAAGGCTAATCAGAAACTCAAAAGAGTGCAACTGTTTGTCTCTCATCTATCTGTGACCTGGAAGCCCCCTCCCCGCTACCAGTCTTCCTCCCTTTGCTTCAAATTGTCCCGCCTTTCCAGAGTGAACCAATGTACTTCTTAAATATATTGATTGATGTCTCATGTCTCCCTAAAATGTATAAAACCAAGTTGTGCCCCAACCACCTTGGACACATGTCATCAGGACTTCCTGAGGCTGTGTCACGGATGTGTGTCCTCAACCTCGGCAAAATAAACTTTCTAAATTAATTGAGACTTGTCTCAAATTTGGGGGGTTCATAGTACTAATGAGAACATTATATTTGCATCTTGCTTAACCATTTACAGACGTATTTAACATTCATTTCCCATTAGTACCCAGTGGTACAATTTCGTGACTGAGGCATTTGGACGCTGATCATCTCATTTTTTTCAGAAAAATAAAACCTAAGCGAACAATATGATTAAAAATATCAGCTAGCTGGGCTCTTGTAATCTATGTATTAAAACAATCATTTAATGCATTCCCTTTTAAGCTATTTGGCCACAATGCTATCTAAGAAACCTTAGATTTGCTCTTCTATGATTTGTTAGGACACGAAATAGCCAGGTAAACACAACAAGGTTGAGGTTCATTCCATGTGGGCCTGCGCTACTTTTCTGTGCGCTAAGGAGATCATAAAAACATCAAAACTATAAGCCAATGTGCATCGATTGAAAATTTTAAAAACAACAATATACACAAAGAAAACTATTTATCTATTGTTGTTCAAACAAATGTTTTATGGATTTTGTAATTTTTTTAAGAGACAGAATCTTGCTATGTTACCCAGATTGGAATGCTGCAGTGCCGTAGCTACTCACAGGAATAATCATTGCGCACTGCAGATTTGAACTCCTGGGTTCAAGTGATCTTCCTGCCTCAGCCTCAGGAGCAGCTGGGACTACAGGTGTGTGCCACTGTGCCCAGTTTTTGTAATTTTCCCTCAGTTGAAAAATGGACAAATGTTAGACAAATACCTTAATCTGGGTCAAGCATAGTTGAACTACGTTTTGTTTTTTTTTTTCCTTACCAACTCTATAGTTGATACAGCTCGTCATTTTTGGATCCATTTTGAAATCCCCAGAAATAGACTCTTACTCTGAGTGAAACCACACGGTTGAACTAAAAGGTTCCTGTTACATGTCCAGGGGAGATGTCCATGTGCAGCTTTACATGGAATTTGGGGTATTAAGAATAGAACTGATTCTGTTTGGTCACATTTGCTATTGAAGGACTCTAGATACCATTGCCATCTTAGTCATCAATTACTAAAGTTATGGCCAGGTAGAGAGACAAAACTTATGTGAGCTTTACTTTAAAAATTCAAATATTTATTTGATTTAACTATTTCAAAACCACTGTGCTATTGCATAGCAACAGACACATTTTACTAAAATTGGGATTAAAACACTATTAAGTGCAATAGCAATTACAGATGTACTCATGTAAGAAAATCACAAAACTTTTAACTTAAAGAACAGATTAATCAAGTGTTGCAGGTTTATATAACATATAAAAGTGTTCACCTTGGGTCCTTTTAAATAATAAACATCCATGGGTGGTTAGTGTTTGGACACCAATC
The DNA here is from genome assembly GCF_000001405.40 of Homo sapiens. Classification (NCBI taxonomy): domain Eukaryota; kingdom Metazoa; phylum Chordata; class Mammalia; order Primates; family Hominidae; genus Homo; species Homo sapiens. The sequence goes on along the minus strand of NC_000017.11, from coordinate 20,394,653 downwards.
ATTCACATATGATGACGGGTAGAAAACCTGAGATGATGCAGAAAAACTTTAAAAGTGACCCCAGGCACACTAAACCCATTAAAAGTGAACCCCAGACAAACTAAAATCAATTAGTAAGACAAAGCACATCAAAGTAAACCTTTGGTTAAAATCTAACTTAAATGCAGTTTTTAAAAAAATTTAAAATGTGTCAGTTTGGTTACATTTATTAAATAAAGTTAACAAAGGAGTAATCTCTTATGAATGAGAGCTCCAGAGACTTGAAAATAACTGTAAAATTTCTGTCTCCTCTCTTTATTAACACAGGTAATTATTACTTTTACTTACCATACACAAGACAATTAAGTAACTGAGTATTTTACCAAATAACATACAAGAATTCTATCAGAAATCTGAACGCCGAAGGAAAAAAGATAGCTAAACTTCAACAAGTAGCTCTCCATGTCCTTAAGAGCAGACCTCTTTTTTCTTGGAATATGTTTTCTGTTGAGACCTTCACTATCATTAAGATTTCCAACGCAAGGTGACTCTAGGACTGGCCTTGTAGCATAAGCAGTGAATAGAGATCTGGATCTGGTCTGCTCTTTCTCCACAGTAAGTTGTGTACTGACCTCTGCTATCATCTCATTAGTTCTATGAAGATTGCAAAAGACAAATGCTTAGTATTTCATTTTTTCCTAAATGATTCCTAAATGACTTCGATTGTTCTAAAAGTTGCCATTAAGAGTAAATGGAATATACCATAAGCCGTGTTTTAACTCTGAAAATGTGTTAGAGCATGCCTACTGTATCCAATTATAGTTTTAACATTGTTCTAAAGAAGTACATCTATTTCTAGAGGGATTTCTAACAAACAAGTAGTTCAAAGAGAGGGAGGGGACAGAAAAGACTATCAATGATGTATGGCTTCATAGTTAACACTTGTTGCCCATCTGGAATGACTCTACTTATACGATTCTTAAGGATGCCATTAGAATTACTTGTATTCCAAGGGTAACTATGTGAAATGATGAAGATATTAATTTGCTTGACAAAATAACCATTTCACTGCGTATAAATATATCAAAACATCAAGTTGTACTCCTTAAATATATACAAGAAAAAACTAAAAGTAAAAATAAAAGCTAGAAATACTTGTATTTAGTAAACAATACATGTTGTTAGAGATTGTCTAAAAAACTCTCTCTCAAAGACATTTTCAAACAATTGTTTTCACCACCCTTGTATATTTCACCCATTATCTGGAAAAACTTGAGCATTTGGCACTGAGGAATCATTCACGGCGACTTTTCCTTGGGGAGAATAAGACTGCTGAAATCAAAGAGAACTAAAGCAGCATGGAGGACAATCAGCTCCTAACACTGCGGCCCATGTATCAGAGGTGGGGCCTGCCCTTTCTGTCTTCCATATACCCCCTCAGGCTGACCAAGGTGTTATTTTTTATCACTTAGTAAGTTATACTTCCCTTCAACCCTAGTTGATCATTCTCTGCTTCACAAGTGTGCCTTTATGTGGATTGGAAAAACTATACAGGACACTTCTTCTCAAGGCACCCTCTAATGATCACAATCAAGCAAAGTGAATTTACTGAGTGCCAGAATGTGTCCAGAGTAGTCGTACTTGACCCTTTTGGTTTTCAGCTGTCGTCTTCCAGAAATTAATTAAATTCATTAGTATTTTGAATTAAGGGAATACTGACAAGCAATTTTTATAATGGTATCACTGTCTAAATTATGAAGCTTCATAAATATTTAGCTGAAACCCTAATAGATCAGGTTAACTATATAAGAATATTAAGGGGTGGGGGGAAGCCACATAAACCCAAAAAACAGGAGAGACAGGAACTGTCCTGGACTAAAGATTTTAAAGGTTACGTTCATTTACTATTTTCAATTTTACTTAAAGGTTAAGTTCATTTACTATATATAATTTACAATTTTCCAAAATTGTATGATCTAGTTAGCTTTCACTTCCCACAAATCTCATGAACCTGTCTCACTAAAAGTCATGCTTTTGAAGGCAAATTAATGAGCTTAACTTATTTTCTATGATTCTGCATATTGACTTACCTACTGAGTTCATTTGACAAGGATTCTCTAACTTTCACTTCTTCTAGGTAGAGTTCCTTATATCTTTCCAATTTGGTTTTATTAAAGTCGGCTTGCGAAGTTTTTATTCTGGAGATTTCAGATTCCAGATCTATGACTGTGAGTTCCATCTGAGTTTTTATTGAAGTAGTATTATCCTCCCTTAACTGTGCTAACTGTTCATGAGATACTGCTGCTTGTTTCTAAAATAAATTAAAAGGGAACATTTTAAAAGTAATTGTAACCTGAATAATTACTGTGTATTTGTTTCCTTTTGTTTGGAGTCAGTGATTCAGAGAACAATTTTAAGTACGTGATTCAGAGAACAATTTTAAGAAAAATGTGAAGAAAGAAAGAAGCTCAAGCTTAACATATTTATGACCAGTACCAACTGAATTAATAACTGAATCTGAATTGTTGAACAATTCTCCAAAGAATGACAGAACCAAGTTAAAATTTTAAAAGTGGAACAACGTAACTTAAAAGCAGTTCAAGAGTATGGTATAATTTCTAAATCACAATTTTTTTTTTTACTTTTTCTATTAGTCTTGTTTTATGCCAACTGGCTTTAGTAATTAAATGATTCTCTAGTGAGAATTATTCTTATGGAAGATCAATTTAGTTATAAGAATGATGGAAACAAAAATATTTAAATGGAGAAACAAATACCACCTTCCTTCTAGAAGTCTACCAAACAAATTGCTGTAAGGAAAGTAGAGAAAACATGTACAATGTATATATCCAAAATAAAATTTGCAGCGAAATGAATGAAAGCACATTACAGATAAATAAACCAACCTGCAAGGTGAGAATGGCTTCGTTTAATTTTTCTTCTATCTCCTTCCTTGCTCTTTCTTCAATCAACAGTTTATGCCATTCAGCTTCACCACGTTCTAACATATTTCTTTCCATATAACTTTTGAGGTTTACTACTTCTTGTTTCAGCTGCTTCTTATTCTTCTGTAGTGTTTCACATTGCTTTTGTATTGCTTTCATAGAGAATAATGTCTGTTGAAGTTGAAGAACTTCATTCTCTGCATCCAGATGTAGACATCGTGAAGGTACAGTTTCCTGTGCTTCTGTAAGGTCAATCTGCATGAGTAAAACAATATAGTTTGGTAATGAAGAAGGTAGACTGAGAATGGTCTAACAAAAAACTAATATTTTTTTTTTTTTTTTTTTTTTTGAGATGGAGTCTCGCTCTGTCGCCCAGGCTGGAGTACAGTGACGGGATCTCGGCTCACTACAAGCTCTGCCTCCCGGGTTCAGGCCATTCTCCTGCGTAGCTGGAGTAGCTGGGACTACAGGCGCCCACCACCACCCCTGGCTAAATTTTTTTATTTATTTATTTTTTATTTTTAGTAGATGGGGTTTCACCGTGTTAGCCAGGATGGTCTCGATCTCCTGACCTCATGATCCACTCGCCTCGGCCTCCCAAAGTGCTGAGATTACAGACGTGAGCCACCGCGCCCAGCCAAAACTAATAATTTTTGAAATAAATTCAGTTGCAATAAAATGTTACCTATACTGTTGTAGATTCATAAAATACAGACCCTTGGATTACTCAGAAAATTAAAAACAAAGTTAAAACCACCAGAATTCACAAAAATACATCCTTTACTTTCATCATCTTTGCCACACAACATTTGGACTTGATCTTAGACTTCTGTTTTCCTATGACGGTTTCATGGCTTTCCTCCTTAAAATGGCTCTAAGTTACCCCTTTAGCACAAAGTCTCTTATTCCTTTAACCCACTATCATTCTCCATAATTTGCAGAGAAGTTTTAGGGGCATCATATTGAATTATTTGGGCCTGAGTCAATAAATGGCTCCCATAATAAGACTCTGAAAATAAGACTCTAATTAATACATTTTGGAAAAAAAAAAAAAAAGGATTCCAATACCATAAGCCTTTTGCTGAACTGCAAATGTCTTACGCTAATTTGAGTTACATTTCAAAGAGTAATGATACTTGGAGTTAAGAAGCAATCACATCTCCCAGTATAAAAGTTCAGTGGCATGATCCATACCATTTTTCTGAAGAAAAATGCCTTAATTCAGTAGCACAATCTTGTAATTCATTGTTACTTTACACAAAATAAGGGAGCACATTAAAGAATGACAACAAAAAATTGCACTGAAATTTCAGTGGTGCTGAGTTGGAAATAACTGCTTTCCTTTAGAGGAAATAATTATGATTGTCTTTTATTTTATAAAGGTAAGTGAAGTGGTGGTTTTAAAACATCTACAAATTGCTTGCCACTTCTCCCATGACATTCCCTCTCCTGAATACAAGCTGGCATTGACAACCGGCTTCTCCGGAACACAATGTGGCAGAACTGCTGTGTGACTTCTAAAGTTGGTTACAAAAAGTCACACAGCTTCTACCTGACTCTCTCTCTAGGGACGCTTGTCCTTAAAATGCAGCCAACATGCCGTGAGAAAGCCCAAACCACACCGTGAACCCTCATGTAGGTAGGTGTTCGAGCTGACTTCCCTACCTAACGTCCCAGCCAAAAGCCAGCTTCGAATGCCGCACAGGTAAATAAACAAGCCTTTAGATGATTCTAGTCCCCAGCTTTAAGTCACCTCAGCTGATGCCAAGTAAAGAGAAAGTGAGTTGGACCCACTGAGCCTTGCCTAAAACTGCAGATTGTGAACAAAATAGATGTTGTTTTGAGACACTGCATTTTCTTATATACCAAGAAATAACTGATACAGATATTGACACTACATATAGATTGCACAACAACAACACAACAAAAACTACTAAAACATGTAGGACTACCATTGGACCAGGAGCTAATCAGAAGCTAAAAGGACCTACAGAAGAATAAGCACAAAAACAAGAAGAGTTTTAAAGAGACTGTTAGTGGAAGCCTGATGGTCCTCGAAGAAGCTGGTAGGAAGGGCTTCAAGGATAGTGAAGAAGACGATACGGGAACCTGAAGGAAAGGGCACTGTTACTACACAGCCGCTGAAAGTAAAACCAATGCAAGAGATAAGCTAAAGAAAGACTACTACATATAAAAGAACCAGGACTTTCTAGGTTCAGTATCCTTTTTATAGCCTCTCCACATGTCAGATTCCCAAATATAGACAGTCCTTGACTTAGCATGGTTCGACTCACCATTTTCTGACTTTTTATAATACTGTGAAAATGATATGTGTTGAGTAATGAAATGATATGTGTAAGCCTTTTGGCTTACAGGGGTGGTTACATCAGGATAAAGTCACTGTAAGTGGAAATTATCGTAAATGGAAAACCCACCCATAACTTCTGATATTTGCAATTTATGATGGCCTATAAATTGCAAATATCAGACATAACAAATGCAAATGCCATCCAGACATAAACCCATCCTAATCTGAGGAGCATCTGTATTGCTGAAATAAATGGCCTCTGAGATAAGATCAAATCCAGGGTGCCGCCAGGAGAAAGTCTGAAGGTGAAGCCAAGACTGTCAGTGTAAGGCCCTATTTTAAGACCTTAGAAAGATTTAAGGTGGTGCCTCAAATTCCCTTAAAGATCTTAAGGGTATAAGCATCTTAAGGCACTGTCCTACTACACAGAACAGTGTGCTTCCTTCACAGGAAGCACAAGGTGAAGTGCTTATCTCAAAGAGATTGGGACAAGTGGTTTTTCCAATGACAAGAACTCAAGTAAAATTCACAAGAGACTCTAAGAGAATTATAGTAACAATAGCACTGCTTGCTAGCTTGGCTTAAAAGACAACAAGACAGTAAAAATGAAGAGAGGCCTTAGGACCTAAGAGGTTCTACAGGGAGGAAGCTGGCTGAAGAAACTACTTAGCTGAAAACACAGGTCATTGCTTATGAAAAGGATACAACAAAGAGCCAAGAAGGTATCACAAAAAGCCACAGAGGATGGTTCCCATGAAGTCCAAATCAAGTAAGTGGAAGCACACATCAGGCTGTATTTCAGAATTTCTATGGTCTAATATTCCCTTTGTGACTCCCATTTTCTCTCTGTTCAATAGGAGGGTCTCTGGCAGTTTAGGAGAATGCTGGGTGGGTGAGTGGTAGACAAGTTGTCCCTTTAGTTCTTACGTCTTTGTGTTGACAAGAAATGCACTCAAGGGGTTATACCGCAGAAACCACAACCCAGGGTGCATCCCTACCATCTGTGATAAAGATGGTAGGGTCTTGCACTTCAAGCCTGAGCTTGCTGCCATATTAAATGAAACTTGTGTGTGTGTGGTGGGAGGTTAGGATCTTGCACTTTAAGCCTGAGTCTGCTGCCATATTAAATAAAACCTGTGTGTGGGGTGAGAGGTAATAATTAGAAATTAGTGTGTTTTTCAAGTGGTAGAAATCTTTTAAATTATAGTTATAGGGTCAGTTGTGCAGGTTTTAAAACATGTCTATACATTCCTTAATATGCACAGCATAGACAGAGACATCATCGAGATGGCTGACTGGGAATACCCAGCACTCACCTCTTTCAAAAAGAAAAACCAAAACAGCAAGTAGGTAACCACACCTTGAGGAAAACATCAAAGAGAGTATACTGGAATTCAGCAGGAAATTGATAGGGATCCTCTGATGACAGGAGGAAAGGGAACTGAGGTAGCCAGCCCAGCCAGGATCATCTCAAAACTAGGACTGATTCCCCCAAATCCCTAGTCCCACAGCACCATATACCTGTGGAAATAGGTGGTCACCTAATAGCCCACCAGGGAAACTACTCTAGGTCAAAGGGATCCTAAGTATGTGCTGTCTAGAGCCTAGGAGCCACCTGACTGACACCACTGCCACCACCAGCAGCCCTATCCCCTTCAGGGGCAGTGCTGTGCATACCTGTACATACCTTTAGGAGGCCGGAGGACTGGCCCACTCGAGTGTACCATGCAGGAGCCTGAGAACAAGCCTGTCAAACCCACCAGGGGTGGCGCCCATGTGAGCCATATGAGAGCCTGAAGACAAGGCCACTTTGCTTGCTGCTGCTATTGTTGCTATCAGTGCTCACATACACTGTCCAGGACCCTGAGGAGCAGTCCACCCCACCCAGGCCTCTGTGCCTTTACCCAGGCCCCGTCTACCACTAATACCAAGGAGAGTCCTACTGCCCCACCGGCACCTGCACATGGCATCCAGGAGCATAAAGACAGGGCTGCCTCACCAGCCACTGGCAAAGGTTCCTGCACGTGTCTTCAGTTAACCTGTGGACAAGCCTGCTCCACACACTGCCTTAGGTACCCACCTAAATGTTCCTCATAGGGGGCCAGAGAAATGCCCATGCAGCCTGCTTTCACCACTACCAGTGCCCATGCATGCTACCAAGGGATCCAAGGTCCGGCCCCCAGCTGCTACTGTCATCTCCAGTGCCACAAGTGTCACCAAGGTCCTGTGGCCTGGCCTGCTATTGCCACCTCTGATCCCAGCACACACCACCTGGAGGCCCAAGGGCCAGCCCACTCAGGTAACCCACTGCCACAAAAACTGGGAAGCATGGCCTGGTGCTGCCAATCACACATACATCCTTGTGTATGCCATCAATGTGCCTGAGGACCGGCCTGCTGTCCTCCCCATCACCATCAAGGCCTCACCACAGCATCCCCTGCTACTAACAACCACACCGTAAGCCACTGAGGAACTTACAGACGCTGATGTTGATTACAGCAGAAGAAAGCATAAGTATATGGAGACCACACCAATGCACCCACCCATCATCAATGCCAGAGCACCATATTCAACCAACAACATAGATACATCTACAGAAAAAAGTCAACCCCTAAAACTAGATGAAGTGACTGTTATACCAGCTGCACAGTTATCAACATTAAGGACACAAGAAGTATGAAAAATCAAAGAAACATGACACCTCCAAAGGAACAGAGTAATTCTCCAGTAACAGATCCCAAAGAAAACAAAACCTATAAAATTCAAAATAATGATCTTAAGGAAACATAGTGAGATACACAATAATACAAAGGAATCAGGAAAGATTCCTGATAGGAAAGATAGGTAATACAAATGAATCAGGAAAACAATTTATGATCTAAATAAGAAATTCAACAATGAAAAAGATAGCATTAAAAGGAACCAAACAGAAATCCTGGAACTGAGAATTCAATACATAAAATAAAAACAACTGAGAATGTTGGCAATAGACTAGATCAAGGAGAAGAATGAATTTCTGAACTTGAAGAGAGGTCTTTATATGAGGCCAGGCAAACAAAAAGCAAAAAGAAAAAAAAGAAAAGAAAAAGAATGAAGACAGTGTATGTAATATATGGACCATCATGAGCCAAAATTTTTTCGGATATTGGGAGTTGCAGAAATAGAAGAGATGGGAAAAGGCACAGAAAACCTATCTAATGAAATAATAGCTGAAAAACTACCAAGTCTTGTGAGAGATGCAAACATCTGGATACAGATGTCTCAAAGATCCCCAAAGAAATACAATAAAAAATGTCTTCTCTGCGGCACATCAGAGTCAAATGTCAAAAGTCAAAGACAAAGAGCAAGAGAAAAACACCAAGTCACATACAAGGGAATCCATATCAAATAGCATATTTGTCAGCAGAAACCTTAGAGGATAGGAGAGAATGACATGATATATTTAATATGCGGGAAGAAAAAGACTGCCTGTCAAGAATATTATACCTAGCAAAGCTATCCTTTAAAACTGAAAAAGAGGGGCCAGGTGCAGTGGTTCATCCCTGTAATCCTAGCACTTTGGGAGGCCAAGGTTGGGGGATTGCTTGAGCTCAGGAGTTCAAGACCAGCCTGGGCAATTTGGCAAAACCCTGTCTCTACGAAAAATATACAAATTAGCTAGGCATGGTGGCTCATGCCTGTAGTCCCAGCTACTCAGGAGGCTGAGGCACAAGAATTGCTTGAACCTGGGAGGCAGAGGTTGCAGTAAGCTGAGATCATGCCACTGAACTCCAGCCAGGGCAACAGAGTGAGACTCTGTCTCCAATAAATAAATAAAACTGAAAAAGAAATAACATCTCAGACAAGCAAAACCTGAAGGAATGCATCACCACTAGACTGATCCTACAAGAAATGCTTACAGGAGTCCTCAATCTGGAAGCAAAAAGACAATGTCTACCACCATGAAAATCAAAAAACTGTAAGACTCACTGGTAGAGCAGGTACAGAACTGAAAAAGAGAAAGGAATCAAACATTATCACTACAGAAAACCAGCAAATTGTAGAGGTAAACAATAAAAGAGGAAGATAGGAACAAATGATAGACAAAACAATCACTAAACAATTAATAAAATGAAAGGAGTAAGTCCTCACCTATCATAAAAACTTTGAATATACATGATTTAAATTCCCCAATTAAAGATATAGATAGAATGAATGGATTACAAAAAAAGACCAAATAATATGCTGTCTACAAGAAACTCACTTTACCTGTAAAGACACATAGACTGCAAGTGAAAGGAAGGAAGGATATTCCATGCAAATGGAAACCAAAAGCACACAGAAGTAGCTATATTTATATCAGACAAAATAGATCTTAAGTAAAAAAAAAAAAAAATAAATAAAAGAGAAAGAGAAGGGCATTATATAATAATAACAGGATCAATTCAGCAAGAGGATACAGCAGTCATAAAGGTATATATACTCAATACCTGAGCACACAGATATATAAGGCAAACATCACTGAAACTAAAGAGACAGATAGCCTCCAGTACAATAATAGATGGGGACTCCATAGTCTGACTTTCAGCATTGAAGGGATCATCTAAACAGAAAATCAACAAAGAAACATCAAAATGAACCTGCACTATAGACCACATGGACCTAGCAGACACTTACAGAACACTGTATTAAGAAGCTGCAGAATACACATTCTTCTCATTAGCACATAGAACATTCTCCAGAATAGACCATATATTGAGTTTAAAAGCTCATATCAAATATCTTCTCAAACCACAATGGAATAAAAATGGAAATCAGTAACGACAAAAACTTTGTAAACTGTACAAATGCATGGAAATTAAACAGCATGCTCCTGAATGAACAACTGGGCCAATCAATAAATTAAGAAAAAAAATTTAAAATATCTTGAAACAAATGAAAATGGGGAAAAAAAATCAATCCCTATAGAAAGTGACAAAAGAAGCACTAAGAGGGCAATTTATAGCAATTAACAGCTACATCCAAAAAAGAGAAAGACTTCAAATAAACAACCTAACAATACACCTGAAGAAACCAAAAAAGCAAGAACAGACCCAAAACTCAAATGTAGTAGAAGGAAAGAAATGATAAAGGCAGGGCAGAACTGAACGAGGTAGACTAATAAAGCAAAACTGCAAACTACATTAACAAGAAAAAAGAGAAAACTCAAGTAAATAAAGAGGGAAACATAAAAGGAGATAGCAAAGAAATACATGGAGTCATGAGAGACTATTATGAACAACTATATGCCAACAAACTGGAAACGTATGGAAAATGGATACATTCCTGGAAGTGCATAACCAGCAAGAATGAACCAAGAAGAAAAGGAAACCTGGACAGACCAATAACGGTAATGTAATTGAATCAGTAATAAAGTTTACCAACAAAGAAAGGTCTAAAACTGGGTAAGTTACTCTGAATTCTACTAAACTTTTAAGGAAAAACTAACAGCAATTTTTTATAAATTATTCCAAAATCTTCCTAGTTTATTCTAAAGGTCAGTATTACTCTAAGGCCAAACCCAGACAAAGACACAACAACAAAAGAAAACTACATGCCAATATCCCTGAAGGATGCAGATACAAAAATTGTCAGAGAAATAAAGGGGATCCAGATTGGAAAACAGAAAGTCAAATTGTCTCCCTGTGCACATGACCTGATCTCATATACAGAAAACCATAAACACGCCACCAAAAAAGCCTGTTAGAACTAAAGAATTCAGCAAAGGTGCAGGCCACAAAATCAGCATACAAAAATAATGCCAATAGCATGTGTAACATTTCTATACACTAATAATCAACTAGCATAAAAAGACATCAAGAAGGCCGTCCCACTATTCTAGCTACAAAATAATAAAATGGCTCAGAATAAAGTTAACCAGAGAGATTTTGTAAAGAGCTTTACAAAAAAAAAAAAAAAAAACTACAAAACACCGACAAAAGAAATTGTAGAGGACACAAACATGGAAAGATATTGCATGCTCACGGACTGGAAGAATATTGGTTAAATGACCTTATTACTGAAAGCAGTCTACAGACTGAACGCAAGCTCTATTAAATACCAATTTTGATGTTTTTAGGGGAAGACAAGATGGTCACCACATGCAGCCAGGAAATGCCTCTCTGCGAGAGAGAAACCAAAATATCAAGTAAATTATCACACTTGGAGTAGGTCTTTGGAGAGAAAACACTGAAATTTGATAGGTAATGCAGGCATCAAGGCTGAAGAGGAATAAATCTGGGAAGCCTGCACAGAGTCACCAAGCACTAGGATTACCTCCCAATCCAGAAACTAAGGAAGGGGTGGGTGAAGGAACTGTGCAGCACCACACTCCCACCAACGAACTCTGGGATACTAGCTCCCGGAGATCCCTGGACCCACACAGACATCTGAACTGGCAAGAGGAACCGGCTGGCGAATAGGCAGAGGCAGAGCTCAAACCCGCATACAGCCCAGAAGGTTTCGCACCTGGTACGGCTGCAGCAAAACATGACCATAGGCACCCATCCCCCAAGGCTCTCCATCTTGCTCTGAGTGACTCTAGCTCCTGCTTACTGCCAGGCCAGAAGACAGTAGGGCTGCATTTACCATGGGACTGCAGCATATCTGGTCTGTGTACCTTCTTGTCCACCAGCCCCTCCCAAGGCCCCTGCCTAGCTACTCACGCAAGGGTAAGCACACAGCACAGCCTCCACTGCCCCATCTGAGTGCTTTGCCGGAGGCCTGGGAGCAGTTCAGCCCCCACCCTCAGCACAGCCAAAGCTCAACCCCATGAGACCAGAAGACAAAGTCATGAACCTGGTCTCAATACCCCCAGGATTCAAGCACACTGCTCAAGTATACTGAGCTGGTATCTGTGGCCTGAGCTCAAGAAGAGGAGTAGCTTTCTCTCTCACAATGCCGAGAAGAGAGGGCCCAAGTTCATATGCCAGTGTGGGAGCCGGGTGTGCTCCCTCTGCAACAGCAGTCCCCAACCTTTTTGGCACCAGGTGCTGGCATTGTGGAAAACAATTTTTCCACAGACGGTGGGGTGGGGATGGTTTCGCGATGGAACTGTTCCACCTCAGATCGTCAGGCATTAGATTCTCATAAGGAGCACGCAACCTAGGTCCCTCACGTGCACAGTTCACAACACGGCTCGCGCTCCTATGAGAATCTAATGCCGCTGCTGATGTGACAAGAGGCGAAGCTCACGTGGTAATGCTCACTCACCAGCCCTCCCCTCACCTCCTGCTGTGCGGCCCAGTTCCTAACAGGCCACAGACCAGTACTGGTCTGCCACCTGGAGGTTGGGGACCCTGTTCTACAAGATCTGTCCAGGAAGGGTGTAACCTGTCTGTCCACAGCCTCTGCCTGAGGGAGCACCACTGCCTGAAACAGCTAACAGTCCAGTTGATCTGGGCACGGAAGGCTGGGGGACAAAACTACCTAGTTGGGCCTGCCCTGGGGGCAGACACTGGAGGGAGGCCTGGTTGGGTGAGTGCCAGCTAAGTGCTCCCCACAGCCATCTGCTGGGCAAAAAACCCTGGGCTGCACGCATCACACCAGGTGCACACCCACAGAACCACAGCCCTGCCCGGGGATCCTCCCCCCTTGACCCACATTATATCAACAGACGACCCGCAGATCCGCAGACATACTCTACAACCTGCTCTGACTCTACCAAGCCCAGACAACCAGCACGTCCCCAGAGAGTTGTAGGTCTCTCGGCAACCTAACTTTTGGCTTGGGCCGCTGCCCTAAGGGTGGGAGGTGTGCAGCCCTCAAAATTCAGGTGTGGCATCAGTGATTGGAGGGGGCTCTCCCAAGTTCCAGGAACTGATTTGGTGAGGGGGTTATCTCTCGCCTTCCCAATCCTACTTCTCCCCCTTCCCCAGAGCACTGCTGCCAACACGCTGAAACAGAAAAGAGGCATGCCAGCCCGTACTCTAGAGCACCATCTCCTGGATTGCAGACTGAATTACACCACCAAACAAAAATCATGATATACCTTCAACACACATCTGTGAAACCCAATGCAGGGAAGTAGCCACAAGGAAGGAACCTGTGTAGAGTCCTGGCCATCTGAAACCACCCAGAAAAAAAGGCCAATCAACTATACACAATACACACCACAAACCCTCAAGAGAAAAAAAAGAACATAAAAACAAAAATTCCCATCCAAATGACAGGAATTTCAAAACGATAAAGAAACATCAGCATTTTCAGAGGAGGAATAATCAGCACAAGAACTCTAGCAATTCAACAAATCAGAGCATTTCATTACCTCCAAAAAATCACACTAGCTCCCCAGCTATAAATTCTCACCAGATTAAAGTGTAATGACATGCTTTATCACAGACATGTGATTCAGAATCTCAATGGCAACAAAGCTCAATGAGATTAAAGAGAAAGTTGAAATCCAATCCAAGGAAGCCAGTATAACCATCCAAAAGTTGAAACACGACAGAGCCATTTTTAAAAAGAATCAAACTGAACTTCTGGAGCTGCAAAATTCAACACAGGAGGGAGCTTCAAAACCAGATGAGACCAAGCGGAGGGAAGGATTACAGAGCTCAAAGACCTGTCTTTTGAGTCAGCCCAGTCAGACAAAAATAAAGAAAAAACCATTTTAAAAATGAACAAAACATCTGAGGAATGTGGGATTTTGTAAAGACACTAATCTATGACTCATTGGCATGGCTGAAAGAGAAGGAGAGAGAGGAAGCAACATGGAAAACATATCTGAGGATATAGTCCATGAAATTTCCCCAATCTCATTACAGAGGTTGATGGAAAAATTCAAGAAATTCAGAGAACCTCTACAACCATCCCCAAGATACACAGCCCATCAGACTTTCCAAGGTCAACACGAAAGGAAAAATCTCACAGGCAGCTATAACAGCTGCATCAGGTGAAAAGCTGACCTCTTTCCGGCAAAACCTTATAAGCCAGAAAGTGGGGCCTGTTGTCAGCATCCTTAAAGAAATTTCAGCCAAGAACTTCATACCACTCCAATCTAAGCCTCATCAGTGACAGAGAAATACAATCTTTTCCAGACAAACACTAAAGAAATTCATTACCGCTAGACCAGACTTACAAGAGATTCTTAAGGAGTTCTAAATATGGAAAAGAAAGAACAATACCCACTACCACAAAAACACACCTAAGTACATAGCCCACAGACCCTATTACACAACTACACAATCGAGAGTACAAAGCAAACAGCTAAAAACATCATGGCGGAATCAAAATCTCACATATAAATATTAATACTGAATTCAATGGTCTAAATGCCTCACTTAAAAGGCACAGAGTGGCAAGTTGAATTAAAAAAAAACAAACCAATAAGAATCAACAGTCTGCTATATTCAAAAGACACATCTCACATGTAATGGCACCCACAGGCTCTGAGTAAAGAGATAGACAAAGATCTGTCATGCAAATAAAATGCAAAAAGCAAGGGGTTGTTATTCTTAGATAAAACAGACTTTAAACCAACAACAGCCAAAAAAGGATGAAGAAGGGCATTACACAATGATAAAGGACTCACTTCGCCAAGAAGACATCCCTATCCTAAATACATACCCACCCAACACTGGAGCACCCACATTCAAAAACAACCAAGTACTTCCAGACCTACCAAAAGACTCAGTCACACAATAACAGTGGGGATCTTCAACATTTCATTGATAGTGTTAAGGCAAATCATTGAGACAAAAAACTAACAAAGAAATTCTGGGCTTAAATTTAACACTTGACTAATTGGACCTAACAGACATCTACAGAATACTCCACCCAACAACTACAGAATACACTTTTTTCTCATCTGCACAAAGAACATACTCCAAGATCAACAACATGTTTGACCATAAAGCAAGTCATGATAAATTTTTAAAAAATGAAATCACACAACACCATTCTCTTGGACTACAGTGCAATAAAAATAGAAATGAATACCAAGAAGATCTCTGAAAACCACACAATCACATGGAAATCAAACAACTGGCTCCTAAATGACTTTGGGAAAAGAAAGAATTTCAGGCAGAAATCAAACAATGATTTGTAATAAGCAAAAAGAAACATCATACCAAAACTTCTGGGATACAGCAAAAGCAGCATAAGAGGAAAGCTTATAGTGCAAAACAAATATGTTGAAAAGTTAGACAGATCTGTAATTAACAATCTGACACTGTGCCGAGAGGAACTAAAAAACAAGGACAAAATAACCCCAAAGCTGGCAACAGAAAAGAAATAACTAAAATTAGAGCATAACTGAGAAAACTTGAGGCCCAAAAATCCATACAAAGGATCGGTGAAACCAAAAGTTGGCTTTTTGAAGGGATAAAAATACCGACAGGCTACTAGCTAGATAAATAAATAAATAAATAAATAAATAACAGAGAACATCTAAATAAGCACAATCAGAAACAACAAAGATGACATTACAACCAATCCCACAGTAATACAAAAGATCCTCAGAGACTACAATGAACACCACTGTATACACACAAACTAGAATATCTAGGAGAAATGGATAAATCCTTGGAAACCAACAAAGATTGAACCACGAGGAAATTGAAATCATGAACAGACAAATAACAAGCTCTGAAATTGAATCAGTAATAAAAAACCAACTAGCCAAAAACAGATTCAGATCAGACTGACTCATAGCCAATTTCTACCAGACATACAAAGAAGAGCTGTTAACAAACCTAATGAAACTATTCCAAAATATTGAGGAGATACTTCTCCCTAACTCATTGTATGATGCCAGCATCATCTTGATACTAAAAGCCAGCAAAGACACAATGAATAAAGAAAACTACAGCCCAATATCCCCAATGAATGTAGACACCAAAGTCCTCAATAAAATATCAGCAAACAAAATCCAGCAAACACATCAAAAACTTACTTCACCACAATCAAGTCAGCTTTATTTTTGTGATGCAATTGGTTCAAAGTACACAAATCAATAAATGTGTTTCACCACATAAACAGAATGAAAACGAAAAACCATATGATCAACTCAAAAGATGCAAAAAAGCTTTCAATAACGTCCATCATCCCTTCATGAAAAAAACACCCAACAAATTAGGCATCAAAGAAACAGACCTCAAAATAATAAAGGCCACTCTATAACAAACCCACAGCTAAAACCATACAGAATGGGCAAAAGCTGGAAGTGGGGGCTAAGTGCAGTGGCTCATGCTTGTAACCCCAGCATGTTGGGAGGCGAAGACAGGAGAATCACTTGAGGCCAGGAGTCTGAGACCAGGCTGGGCAACACAGTGAGACCTTGTCTCTATAAAATAGTAAAGAAAAAAATTAAAGAAAAAAGAACAAAAATAGTTGGAAGCATTCCCCTTGCCAACTGGAACAAGACAAAGATGCCCACTCTCACTGTATGTATTCAACATAGTACTGGAACTCCTAGCCAGAGCAATCAGGAAAAAGAAAGAAAGAAAAGGCATCCAAAAAGGAAAAGAAGCCAAACTATCTCTCTTTGCTGATGATATGATTCTGTACCTAAAAAACTCTAAAGAGTTTGCCAATTTATCCTGGAACTGATAAATGACTTCAGTCAGGACACAAAAATCAATGTAAAAATATCCATAGCATTTCTATATACCAATAAAGTTCAAGCTGAGAGACAAATCAAGAATGTAATCCAATTTATAATAGCCACACACAAAAAAGCAAAATACTTAGGAATGCATCTAACTACAGAGATGAAAGGTGGTTACAAGGAGAACTACAAAACACTGCTGAAAAAAAATCATGACACCAAATAGATGACACCAAAAAAAATGGCAAAACATTCCATGCTCATGAATTGGAAAAATCAATCGCATTAAAATGGCCATACTGCCCAAAGCAGTCTACAGATTCAATACCATTCCTATCAAACTACTAATGTCATTTTTCACAGCATTAGAAATAACTATTCTAAAACTTCATATGGAACCAGAAAAGAGCCCAAACACCCAGAGCCATCCTAAGCAAAGAGAACCAAGCCTGATGCATCACATTACCCAACTTCAAACTATACTACAGTAAACAAACGCTACACTAAACAAATCAGCACGGTACTGGCACAAAAACAGACACATAGACCAATGGAACAGAACAGAGAGCCCAGAAATAAAGCCACACGCCTACAACCATTGGGTCTTTGACAAAGCCGACACAAATATGCAATGGGGAAAGGACTCCCTATTCAATAAATGGTGCTGGGATGACTGGTTATCCATACACAGAAGAATGAAACTTGACCCCTAGCTATCACCACATACAAAAATTAATGAAAGCTGAATTACATTCTTAAAAGTAAGACCTCTAACTATAAAAATCCTACAAGAAAACCTAAGAAATACACTATTAGAAATCAGCCTCTGAAAATAATTTATGAATAAGCCCTCAAAAGCAATTGCAACAAAAGTCAAAATGAAAAATTGGGACCTAGAGGGGAGGGAGGGGAGGGAGAGGAGGGAGGGGCGGGGGCCGGGCCTCCCAGCGCGGTACGCGGTGCCTTTTGAGCTCCTTGTCCACGCTCCGCCCCTGTGGGAACGGCCGCGCTCCCCGCAGCTGGTCATCCGCCGCCTGCCTCCGGGCCTCACCAAGGAGCAGCTGGAGGAGCAGCTGCGCCCGTTGCCAGCACACGACTACTTCGAGTTCTTCGCCGCCGACCTGAGTCTTTATCCTCATCTCTACTCAAGAGCATACATTAATTTTAGGAATCCTGATGACATCCTTCTTTTTAGAGATCGTTTTGATGGGATATATCTTCCTTGACAGCAAAGATCCAGAATATAAGAAGTTTTTAGAAACCTACTGTGTGGAGGAAGAGAAGGCCAGTGCCAACCCTGAGACTCTGCTGGGGGAGATGGAGGCGAAGACAAGAGAGCTCATTGCTAGAAGAACCACACCTCTTTTGGAATATATTAAAAATAGAAAATTAGAAAAGCAGAGAATTCGAGAAGAGAAGCGAGAAGAACGGAGGAGGAGAGAGTTAGAAAAGAAACGTTTGCGGGAAGAGGAAAAAAGAAGAAGAAGAGAAGAAGAAAGATGCAAAAAAAAAAAGAGAGACAGATAAACAGAAGAAAATTGCAGAGAAAGAAGTAAGGATTAAGCTTCTTAAGAAACCAGAAAAGGGAGAGGAACCAACCACAGAGAAACCAAAAGAAAGAGGAGAGGAGATTGATACTGGAGGTGGCAAGCAGGAATCCTGTGCCCCCGGTGCAGTCGTAAAAGCCAGGCCCGTGGAAGGCTCGCTGGAGGAGCCCCAGGAGACGTCACACAGCGGCAGTGATAAAGAGCACAGGGATGTGGAGAGATCTCAAGAACAAGAATCTGAAGCACAAAGACACCATGTGGATGATGGCAGGAGGCACAGAGCTCACCACGAGCCTGACCGGCTTTCCAGAGGGAGTGAGGATGAGCAGAGATGGGGGAAAGGACCTGGCCAAGACAGAGGGAAGAAGGGGAGCCAGGACAGCGGGGCTCCGGGGGAGGCCATGGAGAGACTGGGAAGAGCGCAGAGGTGTGACGACAGTCCAGCACCCAGAAAAGAGCGACTGGCAAACAAGGACCGGCCAGCCTTGCAGCTGTATGATCCAGGAGCTCACTTCCGAGCGCTAGAGTGTGGCGGAAACAGGAGGATCTGCAAGGCAGAAGGTTCGGGAACTGGTCCTGAGAAGAGGGAAGAGGCAGAGTGAGTCACTGCACGCACCTGGCCTCCATGGACGAGCGAGGGCATCCCAGAAACGTGTAAATGACCCCGAGTGTGACTGGGAAGGAGAACTTATTCCTTACCAGGAAACTGGAAGCTAAAACTACAGAGGGTGACATAGAAACACGCAGAAACCATTCTAAAGAAAGTAGTGATCTTGTATTAAATTGAGCAGAATTCTCACAGATTTTACCATTCCTGTTATAAACTAGTATTTGTTGTTTAGCCAAAACAGAAAATGATTTCCACTGGACAGTAGAAAAATATGTGTAAAATAGGGAAGAAAGTTAGTATTGGATCAGTGTGAGTCCTGAAGCACTTTCAGTGCTGTGAGAACGACATCCACTTTGGGTTTCATTCGTTTGTAAGCAGAGGAGCTGTCAGTCACTCGTGCTTCTCGTTGGCCTCTGAGCCATGGTGTCGAGTGAAGAGTAGTTCTTGTTTGTTACAACCTTTGTGAGTCAGCCATGCCTGCAAAGTGTGCTGTGTTTTAGTCCTGGTAGGAATATTTATCAGAGTTCACACTATATAAAACCCAACAGCTTCAACTATTGCCCTTTCAACAGTTTTGCCACTGACCGGATAAAAACGGTTTCAGTCTTTGGATGGATGTGTTTGTGGTTTGTAACCATTACGGTTTAAACCATGGTTTAAGAATTTGCCCAAATAACAGAAATTTTGTTCGGGAAGGGATAAACGAGATATAGCATATAGAGCCTGTTTTTGAGTTTTAGATACTTTATTTGTAAATAACTTAAAATAGCTTTCTGAAACCGTGCATTCTGTAGTTTCTTCCTTTCAGTGAAATTGCTAAATGTGAATGTATTTTTGGCACTGCGATTTTAACCATTTATTAAATAAAAATTTTGTTAAAGAAAAAAAAAAAAGAAAAGAAAAATTGGGACCTAGTTAAACAAAGGAGCTTCTGCATAGGAAAAGGAACCATTCAAGAGACTAAATAGGCAACCTAAATAATGAAAGAATGTATTTACAAGCTATGCATTGAACAAAGTTCTAATATCCAGAACCTATAAGGAACTTAAATCAACAAACAAGAATTTAAAAAAATATATAAAAGCGGGCAAAATACATTAACAGACACTTCTCAAAAAAAGACATAAAAGTGGAGAGCAAACATATGAAAAAATGCTCATCATCACTGATCATCAGAGAAAAGCAAATCAAAGCCACAATGACATACCATCTCACACCAGACATAATGGCTATTACTAAAAAGTCAAAAAATAAGCAACAACAACCCAGATTTTGGCAGAGCTGCTACAGCAAAAAGGGAATTCTAATACACTTTTGGGAGAAAATGGTAAATTCGTTCAGCCACTGTGGAAAGCAGTTTGGAGGTTTCTCTCACGGAACTAAAAGTAGAACTGCCATTCAACCCAGCAATCCCATTAGTTGGTTAAATATCCACTTCCCACCACCAAAAAATCATTCTACCAAAAAGACACATGCACCCAATGTTCACTGCAGCACTATTCACAATAGCAAAGATATGGAATAAAACCAGAAGCTCATCAATGATGCACTGGATTAAGAAAATGTAGCACATATACAATATGGAATACTATGCAACTATAAAAAGAACAAAATACTGCCCTTTGCAGCAACATGGATGCAGCTGGAGGCCATTATCCTAAGCAAACTGATGCAGAAACAGAAAACCAAATACTACATGTTCTCACTTATAAGTGGGAGCTAAACACTGGGTACACATGGACATAAAGATGGGAGCAATAGACAGTGGGGACTATAAGAAGGGGGACTGGGTTGGACAATGATTGAAAAATGACATGCCAGGTACTATGCTCATTACCTGGGTGATAGGTTCAACTGCACCCTAAACCTAAGCATTATGCAATATACCTGTGTAACAAACCTGCACATGTACTCCCTGAATCTGAAAGTTAAGAAAGAGAAAGAATAAGATAAAAATAAAATGCCCTTTATAACTTGCAACAAAAAAACACCAATAACCCTCTTCACAGAAATGGAAAAAACAATCCTAAAATTCATATGGAACTGCAAAAAAGCTAGACTATACAAGCCAAGCCTGAGGGAAAAGAACAGAGCTGGAGGCATCACTCCACCTGACTTCAAAATATATTACAAGGTTACAGTAACCAAAAGAACAAGGTCTTGGTATAAAAATAGAAAATTAAACCAATGGAACAGAGAATGCAGAAATAAATCCACATATTTACAGACACCTGATTTTCAACAAAAGTATCAAAAACATACATTGGGGAAAGAACCCTCTCTTCAACAAATGGGGCTGGGAAAAGTGGGTATCTGTAAAAAGAAGAATGAAACCAGGTCCCTATCTTTCACCATATACAAAAATCAACTCAAAATAGATTAAAGACTTAAACATGAGATCCAAAATTATAAAACTACTACAAGAAAATATATGGAAAATGCTTCAGGACATTGGTCAAGGCAAAGATTTTATAGCTAAGTTATCACGGGCATATGCAAAAAAAAGCACAGGTATAAAAACAAAAATACATAAGTAAAGCTATATTAAAATTAGGTTTCTTCACAGCAAAGGAAACAATCAACAAAGTGAAGGAAACAACCAACAATTGTAGACTGGGAGAAAATATTTACAAATCTATTCATCTGAGAAAGGTCTAATATCTAGAATATGCCAGGAACTCAAACAACTCAACAGTAAAAATTGTTAATAATCCCCCCTGAAATGTGGAGAAAGAATTTAAATAGACATTTCTAAAAAGAAGACATACGAATGTCCACAAATGTATGGAAAAGTACTCAACATCACTAACAGGAAAATGAAAACAAAATCCCAAATAAGATATCGTCTCACCACAGAATGGCTACTATCAAAAAAATCAAAAAACAAAAAACAAAGAAACCAGAAGTAAAAAATCCTGGCGAGGTTGGAGAGAAAAAGAAAACTCTTATGCTCGTGGAGGGAATGTAAACTAGTATAACCATGGAAGTTTCTTAAAAAGCTAAAAATAGAAGTGTCATATGATCCAACAATCCCACTACTAAGTATTTATCCAAAAGAAAGAAAATCAGCGTATCAAAGGGATACCAGTATTCCCATGTTGATTGCAGCACTATTCACAACAACCAAGATACAGAATCAACCTAAATGTTCATCAACAGATCAATGTGGTTGATGAGTAAAGAAAATGTGGTATATGTCCACAGTGGAATACTATTCAGCCATAAAAAAAGAATAAAATCATATCATTTACAGCATGGATGAGGCCATTAAGTGACACTAAGTGAAATAATTCAAGCACAGAAAAATAACTACTGTATGTTTTCACTCATGTGGGAGCTAAAATTTAAAAAAACGTTCACGGAAGTAGAGAGTAGAACTGTGGGTATTAGAGGCTGAGAAAGGTAAAGGGGAGTAGAAGATGGGGAGAGGCTGGTTAATGGATACAAGATTACAGTTACATAGGAGGAATGAATTCTAGTGTTCTGTTGCATTGTAGGGTGAATATGGTTAACTAATATTTTTTTTTTTTTGAGACAGAGTCTTGCTCTGTCACCCAGGCTTGGCGTGCAGTGGTGCAATCTCAGCTCACTGCAATCTCCGCCTCCGGGGTTCAAGCCATTCTCCTGCCTCAGCCTCCCAAACAGCTGGGATTACAGGTGTGTGCCACTACACCTGGCTTGGCTAGCTAATATTTAAAAAGCTAGAGGAGAGGATTTTGAAAGTTCACAACACAAAGAAATGGTAAATGTTTGAGGTGATGGAATATATTAATTAGCCTGATTTGACCATTATACATTGTTTACACATATCAAAATATCACTGTGTATACCATAAATATGTACAATTATACAGGTCCACAAAAAATCAAAGGAAGCCAGGTGTGGTGTCACATTCCTGTGGTCTCAGCTACTTGGGAGGCAGAGGCAGGAAGAATTCTTGAGACATGGAGGTCAAGGCCGGCCTGGGTAACATAATAAGACACCATGTCTAAAAAAAAAATACATCAATAAAAATAAAAGCAAAATCATTCATCCTATATATAGACTATAGGTGAAACTTAGTGACTTGCTTCTAATGAACAGAAAGTGTTAAAAGTGATAACCATGTGGCTTCGAACATTAAGTTAGAAGAGGCTCTCTACCGCAGACTGCTCACCCTTGGACCCCAGCCCCCATGTTGTGAGGAAGCTTAGGCCACAAAGAGAGCCTAGGAGTTCCAATGTAGATATTTGGGCAACCTGCCCCAGCTAAAGTTCCAACCAATAGCCACCATCAGCAACAGACATCTTAGTGAACAAACCTTCAGATGATTCCAGTCCCTCAGCCTTTGATTTATCCCAAGTGAAGCTGAAGGGAGCAGAGGCAAGCTGTCCCAGCCAAGGTTTTCCCAAGCCACAGATTGGTGAACTAAACGAATGTTGTTCTTAGCCACTCAACTTTGGGTAATTTGTTAGGAAAAAATAACCAGAAAAATAAATTTAAACAAGGAGACAACAAGAAATAGAATAACATACCCAGTAGAAATTAGTCTCCTTTAAAGTAAGATCTAAAAAATGTTGAGGTTAATTTATTAATGACAAACAACTCTAATGGGAAGCAGCAGACAACCAGGAGAAGGATGTAAGAACTACTGCAGAGGAAGTTTAGAAAAAGTTCCTTTCGATTACAAATTCTGATGACTAAGCCAGTGAGGCTTTTAGAATTTGTCCCCCGAGTTATGAAATAAGGAAGATGAAGAACGAAGGAGATATATAATTTGAAGTATAAAGTTGAAAAAACCAGAAATATTTGATTAATAACCAAAAATCAGACATTGTACCTGATTTCAATGAACTGAAATTCTAAAAGTGATAAGCAGCTTTGGATATTTATTAGTCAATCTAGGATTCAATCTTCATTTCCATTACCTCACTGAGAAAATTAACAAAATATTATGGAATCAGTTTTAACAATCTCAGAAGTAAAAATGTAGTGTCCTTTGAGTGTTAAGCTATTAAATGCAATTTCCCCTTTACCTTACTTCAAGCTCATTTGTATGGAGAAGGGAAGAGCATCTCATCTTTATGTTGTATCAAAATGCTTCTCCATATCATACAAATTGGCTCTGAAATTTTGAAATTCATACAACTAATTCAACCATTTGTTTCTGATAAATGCCTGGACATGACCTGATTTCCAGTTGCTGCACTCCTGGAAGTTGTTCTTTGAATGGGTTGAAGTATTTATTCAATGAATTATGTATTGAACTATAAAAGCATAGCTATGCATCTCTATTTAAGCAAAAGGAGGTAAATGCAGGGAACTCTGGTTTCTGAGAATGTAGTATCTGTGCCAAGAAGAGGATTCAGCTCCGGGAGTGTACAAGAGAACCGGGTGCTGGGTCAAAAGAGTATCTAACTGTAAACTGCAACATGATGAATTAGCTCAATTTCCAATGAGGAAAGATGACAGCCTAGACTTAATCTTGCCCTTCATAGATAGTTAAAATCTACACATGACTCTATGACTTACAATGAGTTAATAAAAACATAATGCAGTAAATAGTAGACGGAGTCAGCATATCCTGTGACCAAGATTTGATGGAAATGGGAATGAAGAGAGAGGCACTGGGTGAGAGACAAAAGGTATGACTGGAGAAAAAAAATTAATGGGATCTGTCTTCATAAGCCTGACTCTCATCATGTCATGGAGTCAGCAAGGCATAAGCTGGCCATACACTCCTTCAAGAAGCAAAAAGTGAAATTAAAGACATTCTACTACTTGAATTTCTATTCTTACATAAGACAACTGGTAATAAGCAACAGGACTGAAAATGAATTTTCCTAAAATGTGATTTGCTACTGGCATAAGGATAGACATAGCTCAATATATTAGAACTGAGAATCCAAAAACAAACCCACACTTTTATGGTCAACTGATTTTCAACAAAGGTGTAAAAAAAATTAAATGAGAAATGAATAGATTTTTCAACAAATGGTTCTGGGAAAACGGTATATCCACATGCAAAAGAATAAAGGTGGACTTCACCAAATGTCATATCTAAAAGTAACAAAATAGAACCGCTAAATGTAAGAACTAAAACTATAAAATTCCTAGAAGAAAACATAGCCATAAATCTTTGTGACTGCAAAACAAACAAACAAAAAATTAACTGGACTTCATCAAAATGTGAAACTTCTGTGCTTGAACAGAGACCATCAAGAAAGTGAAAAGGAGGCTGGGCATGGTGGCTTACACCTATAATCCCAACACTTGGGAGGCCGAGGTGGGAGGATTGCTTGAGCTCAGGAGTTCAAAACCAGCCTGGACAACATAGTGAGACCTTCTCTCTACAATTTAAAATTATATAAATTTTAAAAACATAATAAATCATAAAAAAGAAAATAAAAAGGAAAGCCATTGAAAATATTTGGAAACATATCTGATAAGGGACTTACACCTAGGGTATATAAAGAACTCTTAAAATTCAGAAATTTAGGACAACCCAATTTTAATGTGGGCAAAAGATTTGAACAGATATTTCTCCAGAGAAGATATACAAGTGGCTCATAAGCACATAAAAAGAGGCTTAAAGTCATTCATCATTAGGGAAATGTGAATCAAAACCACAATGAGGTACCACTTCATACCTCTAGGTTGGAATCCTTTTTCAATCAAAAATATGAAAAATGTTGGCAAGGATGTGGAGAAATTAGAACCCTCATACAATGCTGATGGGAATGTAAAATGGTGCAACCACTTTGGAAAGCAGACTGGAAGCTCCTCAAAATGTTAAGCATAGTGTTACCATATGACCCAGAAATTCAACTCATATGTATATACCCAAGAGAAAGGAATACATATACAAACACAAAAACTTGTAAATAAAAGTTCACAGCAGCATGATTAATAATAGCCAAAACATGGAAACAACCCAAAGGTCCATCAACTGATGAATGGCTAAATAAATTAGTGGTATGTCCATACAGTGGAAAATTACTCAGCAATAAGATGAAATTAAATACTGATACATGTTACAACACAATGAACCTTAAAAATGTTATGCTAAGTAGAAGAAGCCAGTCACAAAAGACCACCACACATTGTGTGATCCAATTGATACGTGGTGTCCAGAATGGGCTAATCTATGGAAACAAAATAGATTGCTGATTCTTTTCAGGGTCATGAAAATGTCCTACAATTGATGATGGTGATGGTTATGCAACTCTGTGAATATATTAAGAGACCATGAATTGTACACGTTCAATGGGTAAACTGTATGGTATGAGAATTCTCTCTCAGTAAACTTGTTTTTAAAAATTCAGTGGTAGAATCTAGATATATCTCTTAATTCTCTACTTTGGATGTACATACTATACATGATTTGTAAAAAAGCACAATATATTTAAAATGAAAGGAAAATAAAGGAAGTACCTAACATTTCAAGTAGTTTGTAAATTAAAACATTTGCATTTTGGAGAACAGTACTATGGCCTTTCTGTACCAGTTATCCTGAAATTCATGAAATAAATATACACAGATTCTGTACCCATTCACAAAAGTAAAGATAAGAAATAAGACAATTTTCTGGAACATTCTATTAAACATTATCCTATAATTTAATCTGGCTTGCCTCACCATGGCAATAGAGAAATCACTAAAAAAATACTACTTCACAGGAAAAAAAAAAAGCCTCTCAACTTCTGTGAGGAATACTGAATAATTCCCAATTTTCCTAAGGATCTTTGGAAATGATCCTTATTTTTAAAATGTACTTATGAGGAGAAAAGGACAGAATGAAAGCCAGATGGTAAGAAACAAGTGTATTATAAAGATAATTAAATTGTAATAAAATGAATTATAATAAAAATACAAAAGAAAGCTATCCACTGCAATCAGTATCCTAAAACATCTGACATTATTTCACCACCTATAGATTAACTGTTGACATGTTATGTTTCATACATACTTCACTTCTGATTTGACCCAATTTCTTCTTTGAATCCTGTGTCTCATCTAAATTAATGTGACAACGTGAGGTAGCCTCTGACGTAGGTTGTTGTTTTAGGAGATCGGTCCATTCTTGCTGGAATTCTCTCATAACTACCTGTGAAGGTATTTTTTGTTACTGATTTATAAATCACCTTATTATTAAATTATGGTAGTAAGATTTAACTCTAACTCATATACTTTGAAAAACATCAACACATATATGATTCGCCTTCTTTTCCTCATGTGCACACATTCTTGTTTATTACTGAATTTAGTTAAGGACAAAGAAGGTGTTATCTTCCTGCCAAATCGGTTTTCTGTTAACTTAGGCAATAGATTCAGCCCACTACTCACTCTTCCCTGAAACATCTGCAGTGCTTAACAACCTACTGAAGTCTCAAAAAGAATTTGATACGTGGGTGGGGCTGCTGGTGGTACATCCCACACTGGTAAAATGTTTTCTCTGTTTTTTATTAGAAGCTCAAATCAACCTCAGAGTTCCTTGCATATTCAATTGCCTGCTCAGATCCTTCTAAAAGATTTCTATCTCACAATACAAGTAAAATTCCAATGGCCTTTGAGGCCCTAGGTAACCTGGCCTCTACCTCCCTCCTGATCTCAGCTCCTACAACTGTCTCACCGATTCAGTCCATTCCTGCTATATGTGAATCCTGCCACTTCTGATTAGTTTGAAAATGGGACTCAATGCCAAACAAATAAATCACAGATAGCCACAGTTACCTTTGTACTATCAGTTATATCCGAATGATAGGCAGTGAGCCTTGAAATGAAAATTATGAGCAAATTCTTTGTAAAAACATTCAAAGTAAATGATAAATACCAGTGGTAAGATTAAATGTAACATGGCTTTGCTGAAATTCACATCTGTCCCAAATTATGATTTAATAAAAAGTAAATGCCTTTAGGCCGGGCACAGTGGCTCACGCCTCTAATCCCAGCACTTTGGGAGGCCAAGGCGGGCGGATCACCTGAGGTCAGGAGTTCCAGACCAGCCTTGCCAACATGGCAAAACTCCGTCTCTACTAAAAATACAAAACTTACAGAGCAAGATTCCATCTCAAAAAAAAAAAAAAAAAAAAAAAAAGTAAATGCCTTTAAAGAATTGAGCGGTCATAACAAGTAATTTGAGACTGAAATCGTCTCAGATTTAAGTCAAATTGATATGAATAAAAATAAAATTATACCAACTTAAATACATTACAAAATTACTGAAGGAAAAGTATTATGAGATACAGCAGTATACTTCAGTTCACCTGGGAAATCTGGAATTAACGGTCAAAGCAACCCTCCCCACTGAATCTTAATTTCAAAATACTCATGTCAGGTATGAGCATTTCTGTTTATCTGCTTCATCATGGTATTAAAACATGGCCACATAAAGGCATTGCAATGATCATTTCAGCAGCATAAGACTACATCATGAGTATTAGTCTGTACCTATTAACACTGTAACTGAACTTAAAATTTCATAGGTGACACAATTTCTTTATGCAAAGTAAAGCATCTTTCAGGTTTAACTTCTTTTTCACTGGTACATTTCTAGGCTGATACAGCAAATACATTTATGATCTATACATTTTATATTCAACTAGATACAACATTTAGCCATAACCAAATATTACTTTACATTTTCTTTCAGGAAGGTTGAAAAATATTTTATCTTTCTTAATACTTACTTTTCTTCCTGCTTTCTCTTTCTCACATTGATCCATTCTTTCTTTTAAATGATTATATTCATCCATCAGCTCCTTGTTCTTCTCTTGTAGTGAAAGAATCTGCTTTTCACTCTCAGCTTGAAGATTTTTGGCAGCAGAATGAAACTGGTCTTGGATAGTACTGATTGTCTTTTCTTGACTGTTAGCTTTCTTGTGAACATCATCCAGTTGCTGTCGAAGCAACATATTTTCACTTTGTAGTTGAGATAATCTCTCCTCTACAGATTCCTGCTTGGCAATGTATTTCTTCAGTTTGCTTTGGTACATTTGTTCAGTTTCTTTCTTCTGACACTGTGTTTGGCTGAGGTCTCTTTGCACACGTTCCAAAATCAAACTCTCTCTTCCAAGAGCATCTCTTGTGTTATGGAGCTGAATTTGTAGGCTGTTAATTTTACTTTCAGCATTAGAAAGTTTTTCAGAAAGAATCTCATTCTTAGCTTGTAGGCCAGACATATCAACCTTCATTTTGTCATGTAAACGAACCCACTCTTGTCTTGTTCTCTGGAAATCAAGTTTTAGGTCTCTTGCTGTCTGACTTTGATCACAGTCATGTACAGCAGCAGCCAGTCTACAACGGTATGATTCCATTTCTATTTCTAGTCTTTCTTGGTTCTCTTTCCCATTCTCCAGTTCAGAATTGAGCATTTTGTTCTCAGCTGTCAGATTGTTCAGCTGTCCACTGTACTGGAGTATTGTTTCTGTTAATGTTTCCTCATTTCGTTTTATAATTTTTTGAAGGTTATCATTCTTTTCTTTCACAACCTCAATGTCCTCAAAATATTTCTTTTCCTTTTGCTTGTTCTGATTTTTTATTGTATCTATTTCCAGTCTCAGCAAGGCAATTTCTTCCTGCAACATGCAATTTTCATGAAAGAGATCCTTTTCTTTCTGATGCCTATGAGAAATCTAAGTAAGAAAGGAAACATTCAGTAGCACTCAATAAAATGACAGATTATGATTTTCTCTGAAATTAAATAACCTATACATGTATACAATGAAAAGATTGCCATAAGTGGATATCCAACTGGAAAAAAATATTCTATCGAAACTTCAAACCTCATAGAGCATAAATTCCCAAAACTTCATAAGTTTATTTGAAGACAATGAATCCATGAATGTAGAACATAAATAACTAGAGAATTTTTAAGCATCTCAGAATTGGAAAAGACGGTCTCCAAATTACAACAAACTCAAAGGCATTAAAGACTAATAAATTTGACTACATTAAAAAATTGGCTTTACACTCTGACATCTAACCTATACACCACCCTATAGTAAAAGCTGTAGCTTTGCATATATCTGGACAGAGGAAATGTTCCAACGTTCTTGAAGTTCTTTTTTTCCTGAGAATATTCTATAGCTATTTATTTTTCTAACATTTTTCTCATCGGTTATATAAGAATTACATTTATTCATAAATGCTAAATCTAAGCATTATATTAGGCTTTTTTTTTTTTTCGAGATAGGGTCTCCACTCCATCACTCAGGTTAGAGGGCAGTGACGCAATCAAGACTCACTGTAGCCTTGGCCTCCCGGGCTCAGGTGATCCTCCCACTTCGGCCTCCTGGGTAGCTGAACTAGAGGCACACACCCCCACACGCAGCTAAATGTATTTGTACTTTTTGTAGAGATGGGGTTTCGCCATGCTGCCCAGGCTGGTCTGGAACTCCTGGGCTCAAGTGATCCACCCACCTCGGCCTCCCAAAGTGCTGGGATTACAGGCGTGAGCCGCTGCACCTGGCCTTGTACCAAGCACTTGTACATGTATCACTGAACTCATTTATATCACAATTCTGAAAGGAGAGGTCAAAAAATATGCAAGTTGCAGGATTTTCCCTAGGTTCCCTTACTTTACTTCTAGTGCTCTTCCACCAAACCACAATTACTTCTGTGTTGTAAATATATAAATATAAAAGACGCTTATTTCAAAACACCAGTGGTAAAAAAAGAAGTTACAGAGCTTTTCTTAGAAAATCATGAGATTATCTGTTATTACAATAACTTACGTTTCCTCTTTATAATGTCTGAAACAGAAATAAGCATGAAACAAGGTGAAATACACTGAACTATTTTTCTTTTCTCTTTTTTTTTTTTTGAGACGGAGTCTCGCACTGTCACCCAGGCTGGAGGGCAGTGGCCCAATTTCGGCTGACTGCAAGCTCCGCCACCTAGGGTTCATGCCATTCTCCTGCCTCAGCCTCCCGAGTAGCTGGGACTACAGGTTCCCGCCACCACGCCTGGCTAATTTTTTTTGTATTTTTAGTAGAGATGGGGTTTCACCGCGTTAGCCAGGATGGTCTTGATCTCCTGACCTCGTGATCCACCCGCCTCAGTCTCCCACACACTGAACTATTTTTCTAAGAAAAAACACTTACCAATAAATTATCACCAAGTTTATATTATGGCATATCATTGTTTTCAAAGCTCTTTGCACTGAAATGAGACACTACTTGGAGCAAACTGTTACTCTCCTCAAAAGTAAGGGAAACGGCTTCTGAAGTACGGCCTCTGAACTGGCTATACATTTCATCCTTACTGCAAGTGGAAATAATAATCTAACCTCTCCATTAATATATTAGGAAGATGAAATAATGTCTGAAAACTAGAACGTCTGTTGTTAGTAGCAAGGATTTTGAGATTGTGGAAAGATCATTAATTCTATGAAAAATAACAAATGTTTCTCCTTTGGATAAGGCCACTGTGAATGTCACTACTTGACTCTTGCAAACAAATGGAGTTGAATTAAGAACATGACTTTATTCAATGAGCCAAAAATGCCAGAACCACCATCACCACCCCCAAATGTGTGTGTGTGTGTGTGTGTGTGTGTGTGTGTGTGTGTAGTTCAAAAATCCATTGTACTTTCCAAGTTGCACAGAGTTGTTTTTTAAAAATATATTCACATACAAAAATATATTTGAAAATGACTAAAGAAAATACCTCAGGATTCCTTTTCTTCTGAGCCATTTCTAGTTCCTTTTGTTTACTCGTCAGAATCTGATCTTGTAATATTCTGGCATCCTGTTCTTCAGAAAGTTGCTTCTGGGCATCGTTTCTCTCCTGCACAACCTAGAGATGACATGGAGGTTTTGGTCTAATAGCACTGAAAAAGAAAATCTAAAAGGTTAAGAGCAGAGCCTCTCTTATAAAACGGTTAAAAAGAAGTAGCCTGTTAAAACACAAGAACTTTTATCCCTCAAGAATCACTCAAATCTTAATTGCATACATGACAGCTAAATCTGTCAAAGAGGAAAAACAGTTCTTAACTACGAGAAGATACAGCATTGTGAAATAAAATTTCTTTCAAAACATTTAACTAGTGTCCTTATAGTTTCAAAGCTATTTAGCCTGTATTTTAACATAAAAAATGTGTAAATGAACAGCTATATTAGTAATTAAACTCAACTTATCCTCCACTCTAAAAACACAGACTGAGCATCTATTAGATGACAAGGTTTACAGTAAATAATTTTATCTATAAATGTCATAGTTCATTCTTAAGAGGAAATAACAGTTTTGGTTTATTTTAAACCTAAATGATATACATGAAGGCAAAAAATTATAAGTAATACCGATGAAACATAAAGTTAGAAAAATGAAGTTTACACCAAAGATTAATTTACCAGATCCAAGTTATTTCTTACTGTCCTCAATTCCTTAACAAGTCTTCTCAGATTCCATTTAAGTTGTTGCTTTGTTTCAACCACTTTCCCACACTCCTCTTCTTTTATTCTTAACTGTTCACTATCTTTATTATACAACATATCGGCATTTCTTTTCTCCTCATTTTCTTGTTTTAAGGCAAGTCTGCAGTTAAACATGGATTACATTAAAATGTGTTTTGTTAAAAAATAAAAAAGTTTATTCTGTGATCTGGCTCTTCCCATGTGGGTTTATTATCCTCATAAAAACTCCTATGCTCTTGTTTCCTTTCTAGTTCTCATGTTTTTAATTTCTCACTTCGATCTCTTCCAAGGGACATATATATTTGAGAGGTAGTGAGGAAAGAAATATTCCATTAACTGGTAAGTTTCTGTTACTAGTAACCCTGGTAAATATTATGGAAAAGCATATTTGAAATTTTTCAGTAAAGTTACAAGTTGAAAATTACTTCTTTTTCACGTTATGCAAGTTGAAAATTAATTAGATCATTTAGAGTTAATTTAAAAGAAGTTACTGTTTACAAACAAGTTTAGAAATTCACTAGAAATGCATTTTCGTCTTCATGGAATAGTGTATGTGTAGTCATAAAAATGATTTACAGTGTAAGATAACACCTTCAGATGTCATTCACACAACATGTATCTGCAGATTACTATAATCCAAGACTAGCCTAAGCTGTCTATAACTGTTACCCCATCCTTTTTATGTTTCTCTTTTGGGTAACACTTTCAACTTATCTTCTTGATTCTTAAGTATTTCATCACCAATTTTAAAATCCCTTTTTGGAACAAGACAGGATCTAATATTTAGTTTAAAAGTAAAGGATAATATGTGTTTCAACAATGAATTTGGAATTAATTTTATCTGCATATGAGAGATATGGAATAAAATAATCATCAATTACTGTCCATTTTACTTATTTCGTGCATATTTAGAATAAAACTGGGAAGTCCTAGCCAGAGCAATCAGGTAAGAGAAATAAATAAAGGGCATCCAAATTGGAAAAGACAAAGTCAAACTATCTCTGTTTTAGCTTAGAAAACCCTAAAGACTCCTAGATTTAATCAATGAAATCAGTAAAAGTCTCATGTTACAAAATCAATGTACACAAATCAGGAGCACTAGTAAACATCAAGAACGACCAAGGTGAGAATCTAATCAAGAACCTAATCCCTTTTACAACAGCTGCAACAACAACAACAACAACAAAAACCTAGGAATATACTTAACCAAGGAGGTGAAAGATCTCTAAAAGGAGAATTAGAAAGCACTGCTGAAGGAAATCATAGATGACACAAACAAATGGAAATATGCCCTATGTTCATAGATTAGAAGAATCAATATAGTGAAAATGATCATATTAACCAAAGCAATCTACAGATTCCATGCAATTCCTATTAACATACCACTGTCATTCTTCACAGAATTAGAGAAAGTACCCCTAAAATTCACAGGGAATCAAAAACGAGCCTGAATAGCCAAAGCAATCCCAAGCAAAAAGAACGAAGCCAGAGACATCACATTACCAGATCTAAAACCATATGACAAGGCTAAAGTAACCAAAACAGCATGGTACTTGTATAAAAAAGTACATACGTAGACCAATGGAACAGAATAGAGAACCTAGAAATAAAGCCAAATATGTATAACCAA
This sequence comes from Homo sapiens, assembly GCF_000001405.40. Classification (NCBI taxonomy): domain Eukaryota; kingdom Metazoa; phylum Chordata; class Mammalia; order Primates; family Hominidae; genus Homo; species Homo sapiens. The sequence goes on along the minus strand of NC_000017.11, from coordinate 20,360,674 downwards.
CTGACCTTTCACAAAGCGTACAAAGACATAAACTGGGCAAAGAACACCCTATTCAATAAATGGTGTTGGGAAAATTGAATAGCCACATGTAGAAGAATGAAACTGGATCCCTATCTCTCAACATATATAAAAATTAACTCAAGATGGATTAGGCCTAACATGTGGCTCACATCTGTAATCCTGGTACTTTGGGAGGCCAAGGCAGGAGAATGACTTGAGCCCAGAAGTTTGAGACTAGCCTGGGCAACATAATGAGACCTCATGTCTACCAAAAAAAAAAAATGTGTGTGTATATATATATGAAACTACCTACTGAGGTACAATGTGTACTACTCAGGTGATGGGCACACTAAAATCCCAGAGTTCACCACCATACACTTCATCCATTTAACCAAAAACATATATATATATATATATATATATATTTTTTTTTTTTTTTTTTTTTTTGAGACAGAGTCTTGCTCTGTCACCCAGGCTGGAGTGCAGTGACATGGAGGCCAAGGTGGGAGAATCACCTGAGGTCAGGAGTTCAAGACCAGCCTGACCAACAGGGAGAAACCTTGTCTTACTAAAAATACAAAATTAGCCAGGTATGGTGGCAATGCCTTTAATCACAGCTACTCAGGAGGCTGAGGCAGGAGAATAGCTTGAACCCGGGAGGCAGAGGTAGCCATGAGCCGAGATCACGCCATTATACTCCAGCCTGGGCAACAAGAGTGAAACTCTGCCTCAAAAAAAAAAAAGAAAAGAAAAGAAAAGAAAAGAAAAGGCTTCTGCACAGCAAAAGAAATAATCATCAGAGTAAGAGAACCTACAGCATAGGAGAAAATATTTGCAAACTATGCATCTGACAAAGGACAAACAAATCAGCAAGAAAATGCAAATAATCCCATCAAAAAGTACACAAATGACATGAACATTTTTCAAAAGAAGATGCACAAATGGCCAAAAAACATATTTAAAAATGCTCAACAGCACTAATATTCACAGAAATACAAACTAAAACAACAAGGAGATATCACCTTACTCCAGCCAGAATGCTCATTATTAAAAAGTCAAAAAACAATAGATGTTGGTGCAGATGTGGTGAAAAGGAAATGCTTATACACTGCTGGTGGAAATGTAAATTAGTACAACCTCTATGAAAAACAGTAGACAGATTTCTCAAACAACTAAAATAGAGCTACCATTCAATCCAACAATCCCCTACTGGGTATCTACCCAAAGGAAAAGAAATCATTATATCAAAAAAAAAACACCTGCAAACGTATGTCTATTGCAGCACATTTCACAACTGCGAAGATACGGAATCAACCTAAGTGTCCATCAACCAATGAATGGAATAAATAATATGTGGTATATATATGTCATGGAGTACTACTCAGCCATAAGAAGAATGAAATAATGTCTTTTGCAGCAACTTGGAAGGGACTGGAGGCCATTATTCTAAGTGAACTAACTCAGGAATGGAAAGCCAAATAAAACCACATTCTCACTCATAATAGGGAGTTAAGCTATGGGTGCACAAATGCAGACAGAGTAGTATAATGGACATCGGAGAATCAGAAGTGGGAGAGTGTGGGAGGAGGATGAGGGATGAGAAACTACCTACTGAGGTACAATGTGTACTACTCGGGTGATAGGCACACTAAAATCCCAGACTTCACCACCATACAATTCATCCATTTAACCAAAAACCACTTGTATACCTAAAGCTATGAAATTAAAAAAAAGTTTTCAAAAAGAATAAAACTGTATAAATTTTTTGAAAATTACTTTGGGTTTAGAAAAGTGACCAGTTCATGCTCTGTTGCTTGAACTATAAATTAACACAAACATTCTTGTGAAAAATTAAGAAATGTTGATCAGAGGTCTTTTTAAAAAGTTCCTATATTTCAACCAATAATTCTATATTGGAGAATTTATTCAAAGCAAACAGTTTAGGAATGTAGAAAAACATTTATATAAAAAATGTTCTGGGCTGGGCATGATGGCTCATGTCTGTCATACTAATGATTTGGGAGGCCAATTTTGCAGAAGTAATGCTTGAGGTTGGGAATTGGAGATCATCCTGAGCAACATAGTGATACCCCGTCTCTACAAAACACTTAAAAAGTTAGCCAAGCATGAGAATGTGCACCTGGAGTCCCAACTACTTAGGACGCTGAGGCAGGAGGATGGAGTTCAAGGCTGCAGGGAGGTATGATCACACCAGTGAACTCCAGTTCCAGGCACAGAGACCCTGTGTCTACAAATAATAGTAACGATAAAAGATGTTCCTTACATCATTAATTATAAATACAAGATAATTTTAAAACCCAAATTACAATTTGTTAAATGAGTAACAAGATTTTATATGGTGGACTTCTATATGGCCATTTAGATTGCAAAGAATATACATTTATTTATTAGAAGAGTTCACAGTTAATAATTTGTTTTATTATTTCCAAGAATTTCATATCCCACAAGACCAAAAAGGTTTCTCCCCCATTAATCTGCAGAAGGTAAGTCAGCAGTTACAAAAATTCTGATATATTGTCTTTAGTATAAATATTTCTTTAGAACTAGAACATCATACCTCAAATCGTACAGCTCTTTCTCCCATTCAATTTTTTGAAGTTCTAACTGTAATTTTGTCTTTTTTGTTTCAGATAGCTCATTTTGTAGTACACTGACCATATTTTCCATTTGTTTAAGTTTTACTGTAAGTTGGTCACAGTGATTATTCTTAAGTTTCAGTAAGTGTTCACACAAACAAAATGTGTCTTTCTTGGATTCTTGGTAGGCTAGCAGAATCTGTGTCAGGGAGAAAAGGTAGAAATAAAATATATGAGTACTTTTAGGTATTAAAAAACTGTGCATTTTTAACATTGTCTCCTTCATACATTGAACACATATGCACTGAGTGCCTACAAAGTGGGAGACATTCTACTAAGCTCTGCAGATAAAACAGATAAGACCTCTACTCTCATTTAGCCTTAAGTGAAGTAAGGAACAAACACAACAAAAATGACAATTATAAATTCAGATATATGGTGTAAGAAAACAGAGTTCTATGATCACACAGAAGAATTTGATCTATAATGGGCCCAGGGAAGATTCCCCTGAGGAACAGATGGCTACACTGAGAAATGAAGGGTGAGAAGGAAGCAGTTAAGCAAAGGGGTAGAAAAGCATTCTTGCCAGTCGACAGCAGGTGCTGAAGCTCTGCTGGAATCTGCTTCTGGCCACAATGGACAGCAAGTACTGATTTACCTTCTGGCCTGAAACAACCAAAAAGAAAACAGACAAAATATATTATACAATGATTTACCAGGCAGTGGACTTCAGGTAATGAAGACAATGATCCCCGTAAGACAGGAAACAAAGGAAATTCATCCAACACTCCAGCTCCCTGCCTTCACGGAGTTTCCAGGCTACCGCACAGAGAGAAAAAACTGACATAGAGTCCACCAGATTCCCTGAGATGAGATGATGAAGCTGAGAGTCTGGTAAAGCCAAGGCACACAGAGATCACAAAACAGAACACCGGAAAGGAGACAAAGTACAGGGAAAGAACACTGAAGATTTGCAAAAATACCTCCTGGGTATCTAGCAGAGTAACAAACAGCACATGTGTGCCAGAAAACCGCCCCAGATCAAGGGGAAAAAAACATCTAAAAAACACTGGAAAGAAACATGTCTGGTGTTCACGATGTGCCAAAAAGAGTGTCCATTCCCATGAGTGATGCTGGGAAAACTCAGACTTCGCATGGCAATGAATAGAGTCATCACAAAGATCTTGCCTCAGGAGCAGGAAATTAGACCAATCATAAAAGCAAGATCAGAAAGATCAAGCTGTTCATATGGAACTCAACTGTATATTAAAATTAAGCTCAAGCAGACAGGCAGAGGCATGGAAGATTTTTCTTTAAAGCAAACTACACTTGTAGAGATTCAAATTACAATGTCAGGAATGAAAGCTAAAATGGATGGAGGTGAACACAGATTAGACATCACCAAAGAGAAGATTCATAAATTTGAGACATCAGTGAACTATGAGAAAACTTCAAGCAGGAATAAGTCCCCAAAGAGGGAAAAAGAGAGACAGAAAAATAAAAAAAGAATGGCCAAAACTTTCTAAATGTAAAGAAAACTATAATCCTACAAATCCAGAAGTATCTGGCTGGGAGAGAGGAAATGAAAGTATACTATTCCAATTTTCTTTTTTAAAAAATTTCAATAGCTTTTGGGGTAACAGGTGGTCCTTGGTTACATGAATAAGTTCTTTAGTGGTGGTTTCTGAGATTTTGGCGCACCCATCACCCAAGCAGCATACACTGGATCCAATCCGTAGTCTTTTGTCCCTCACCCCCCTCCCACTCTTTCCCCACAAGTCCCCAACCTGTATCATTTTTATGCCCCTGCATCCTCATAGCATAGCTCCCACTTACAAGTGAGAACATACAATGTTTGGGTTTTCATTCATAATTTTCTTATGCCATATATGATATGCCATAATATTTTTTGAAGATGGACTGTGATGTTAAAATCATATACTATAAATTGTAGTGCAACTGCTAAGATAGAAAAAAATAGTTATCGCTAATAAGCCATAAAAGGGAGATAAAAATAAATCATAAAAATTACTGGACTAATTGAGAAGAAAGCAGAAAAAGAAGAGAACAAAGAACTGGGGGGACCAATGGAAATCAAACAGCTTGATGACAGACAAATTTCACTGTATCAATAAGCACATTATAAATGGAACTGGCCTAAAAATCTCAATTAAAAGGCAGATTGTCAGACTGGATAAAAAGGCAAGAACCTACTCCATGCTTCCTATTAAAAAAAGCACTTTAAATGTAAAAACATAAATTGTTCAAAAGAATGGAAAAAGATATATCAGGCTAAGAGTTGACAAAAGAAGCCTGAGAAGAAATGGCTATGTTAATACCAAAGTAGATTTCACACCAAAAAAAAAAAAAAAAATTACCAGCTATAAACAGTCATTTCCTAATGACTTTTAAAAGTTCAGTTAATCGGCTGGGCGCGGTGGCTCATGCCTGTAATCCTAGCACTTTGGGAGGCCGAGGCAGGTGGATCACGAGGTCAGGAAATCGAGACCATCCTGGCTAACATGGTGAAATCCCGTCTCTACTAAAAATACAAAAAAAAAAAAAAAAAATTCAGTTAATCAAGAACGTGTAATCTCAAATGTTTGTGCACCTAATAACAGCTTCAAAATATATGAGGCAAAAATCAATAGACGAAATAGACAAATTCACAAGTACATCTGAGATTTGAATATCACTTACTCAATAAGTGATAAAACAAGGGAGCTGCAAATCAGCAAGAATGGAGCACACTTGAACAACACCATGCTTCTCAAGTACCCAGTGAGCACTTACCAAACAGACCACATTCTAGGTTCTGCAATCAATCTTTTTTTTTTTTTTTTTGAGACGGAGTCTCGCTCTGTCGCCTAGGCTGGAGTGCAGTGGCGGGATCTCGGCTCACTGCAAGCTCCGCCTCCCGGGTTCATGCCATTCTCCTGCCTCAGCCTGCCACCACGCCCGGCTAATTTTTTGTATTTTTAGTAGAGACAGAGTTTCACCGTATTGGTCAGGATGGTCTCGATCTCCTGACCTCGTGATCCATCCGCCTCAGCCTCCCAAAGTGCTGGGATTACAGGCGTGAGCCACTGCACCCGGCCTGCAATCAATCTTAATGAAAGAATTAAGTCAGAAAGATTTAAGTCATACAAAGTATGTTCCCTGACCACATGGCAATCAAATCACAAATTAGTAACAAAATATCTCATCAAAATATTCAAATATTTTAAAACAAAGTAATACACATCTAAATAACCCTAGGTCAAAGACACGATGCAAAGAGAAATTAGAGAGTATTTTGAACTGAATGAAAATGAAAATACTACATATCAGGATTTGTGGAACACAGCTACAACAGTACTTAAAATTTTTTAGCACTTAATGTCTATATTAGAAGACTCTCAAGTCAATGGTCTTGACTTTTATCTTAAGAAACTAAAAAAAGAGAAGAAACTAAAAAAGAAGAAGAACAAATTAAACTCAAAGCAAGCAGAGGAAATGATACAATAAGCATCTGGTATTGTCTGACATTTGCATCCTCCCAGAACTCATATGCTGAAACTTAATCACAGAGGTGATGTTATCAGAAGGTGGGGCTTTGTGGAGGTAATTAGCTCATGGGAGCCAAGCCCTCATTAGTGGGATTAGTGCCCTTATATATATAGACCCCAGAGGGCTCATTCACCTGTTCTGCCATGTGAGGACACAGGGGGAAAAAAGAGATCTATGAACCAGGAATTGGTCTCTCACCAGACACCAAATCTGCCAGCACCTAGATCTTGGACTTTTGTGAGAAATCTATTTCTGTTGTTTATAAGCTACCCAGTCTATGGTATTTTGTTATAGCAGGCCGAACAGACCAAAACATCAAAGATGAAACCAATAAAACGGAAAAACAATAGGAAAAAAATCAATAAAACCACACACTTTGAGGAGGTCAATAAAAGTGATAAAACTCTAGCCAGGTTGATCATAAAAAAGAAGATGCAAATTACTAACTTCAGAAACATAGTAACATGACATTTTTATAGATTCTACAGATACTAAAAGAATACAAATATAATAAGGTAAGCTTTATGTGACTAAACATGACAACTTTGATAAAATGGACACTTGCCTTGAAAAACAAAAATTACCAAGGTCCAATTTAAGAAGGAATAACATGAACTGTCCTATATCTATAAAAGAAAGCATAAGTAAAGCCTTCCTAGAAAGAAAACTCCAGGCCCAGATAGCTATGCTGGTGAATTCTACCAAATATTTAAGAAGCAATATAACAATTTTACATGACCTCTCCCCCTGCCCTCAAAAAAAAAATAGAGGAGAAATACAACTCATTCTGTCCCTCTAGCATTACCCTGAACCAAAATCTGACTCCCTCATGAACATGGACGTAAAAATGTAACCAGTTTCTCAAAAAACCAAGATATCCTCCTTTAGGTGAGTGAACAACTTCTGGTACAGCCATGCGATAATGAGCTATCATGCCATGAGAAGACATGAAGGAACCACAAAGGCATATTACCAAGTGAAAGATGCCAGTCTAAAGGCTACACGCTGTCTGATACCAACTAAATGACATTTTGGAAAAGGCAAAACTACAGACACAGTAAAAAAAGTCAGTGGTTGCCAAGAGTTGGGGAGGGAAGGTGGGAAAAGATGAACAGATGAAGCACAAAGGAGTTTTAAAGCTCTGAAATTACTTTGGATAATACTACAATGATAAATACATGTCCTTATACTTTTGTCCAAATTCACAGAATATAAGACACCGAGAATGAACCCTAATATAAACTATGGACTTTGGGTGATTATGATTATCAATTCAGGAACATCAATGAGATCAAGTGTAGCACTCTGGTGAGGATATTGATAATTGTGGAGGCTATGCACGTGTGGGGGCAGGGAGTACAGGGATAATCTCTGTGCCTTACTTTCAATTTTGCTGTGAAGCTAAAACTACTCTAAAAAATAGTCTTTTAAAACGCTCTAAATAAAGCTTTGGCAAATCAAATCCAATGATACATTAGAAGGATAATACATCATAAACAAGTGGGGTGTATCCCTAAATACACGGTTTGTTTGACATTAAAATATAAGTATTCACCACATTAAAAAACTAAAAGAGAAGAACCATATGATCATCTCAGTAGATAGAGGCATTTGATAAAATACAACATTCATTCCTGATTTAAAAAAAAAAAACCCCTCTCAGTAACTAAAGAATACAAGGGAACGCCATCAGCATGATAAAGAGCATCTCTGATAAACCTACAACTAACATGTGTCATGATGAATAACTGAATGCTTTCCCTGTAAGATCGGGAACAATACAGGAATGTCTCCTTTCACTATTCTAGTCAGCATTGCACTGAAGCCAGTGCAGTTAGGAAAGAAAAGGAAATAAAAGCTACCTGAGTTGAAAAGAAGAAGTAAAACTGTCTGTATTCACAATCATGATCACATAATAGGGATGGGTAAAATCCAACCTGCGGGGCAGCTTCTTATTTTTGCAAATAAAGTTTTAATGGAATGCAGTTGTGTTTTTTAACATATGTATTGTCTATGGCTGGTCTCATACTACAATGGCAGAGTTGATTGGCTGTGACAGAGACCATTTCATCACAAGTTTAAAATATTTACTATGTTTAGTAAGATAACAGTTTGAAAATGAAAAGGTTTGACTATCTTTGGTGTATGTAAAAAAGCTGATTGAATCGAATCTCAATTTTAAATGTTCATAAGCTACCCAGATTGGAAAAGACAGTTCACAGGTGGCAAATAAGCATATACAAGATGCTCAACATTATTAGTCCTTAGGGTAATGCACATTAAAACCATAATGATATGCATAATACACACCCATCAGAATGGCTAAAATTTCAAAATTTAAAAACAGCAATAATAAGAGCTTGTGATGATACAGAACAACAAGAAATGTCGTATACCTCTGGTTGGAATGCAAAATCAATACAAATACTTTGGAAAACAATTTAGCAGTTTCTTAATAAAGAAAGACAAAGGGACAAGAAGAGACTTTTATGGATGATGAACATGTTAACTCTCCTGATTATGGTGGTTTCAAATGTGCACACGATTGTATATTTTATATACGTGCAGTCTATCATATATCAGTTATACCTCACTGAAGCTATCAGTGCTGGAACAAACATATAAGACACAGAGTGGGACACAGAGAAAGAGAAGAGTAAAAACGATGCAGGATAAAGCTAGAGGATTCAGATCTCTAACCTTACAGCAATAAGAAGTAGTAGCTGAGTTATAAGCAAAGGAGTAACATGATCAGATCCAAATTTTTAAAAATTTGTCATTATGATTGCAGAGTAGACCATGGTTTTAGGAGGTGGGGTATTTGGGAAAACAGTTCTAAGATTCCTAAGATTCTCGCAGCATTCCAGGTGGAGAAAAAAATGGTAACCTGACATTGGGGGAAGGAATAGGAGAGAAAGAGTCAACAAAAAGACTGGGAATGCCACTCACACTGAGAGAAGTACAGTGGAGTTATCATAGCTCTTTGGCGTAGAGTATAAGCTAGTTCTCTATTTTAACACTGAGCGTATTTCTGAGATGAGCTTCACTATCACACATCAGTTCTCAGCAATGTATACACACATTACTGCAGGATACATCAAAAGGCCTTGCATTTATGCAGTGGTCCTACCTTTATACTCCATTCTAAGTTGTTCAATCAGCAACATAAAATTCTCATAAACAGAGTGAGACAATTCACAATCCTCCGAGGCTATTTCAGATGGCTCCATTGAGTCAGCAAAGTCAGCCTCAGGATATATTTGGTTTTTGACCTATAAGATAAATAATACTGTTTCAAAATGTCCTCGAAAGATTTATAGCATATACTAAAGGTACAGAAGCGGTATTTCTCCATTTTTTTTGTATGAGCAAAAATACAGGTACTTCTTAAAGCAACAGATTGTTCTTAAAAGGTACCATTATCAACGGTTACTGTTTCTTCATCACTTTTTCTAAGCAAACAGCCTTACAACAAAACATCTTGTTTTTTTCATTTTTACCTTTTAGAACTTGTTTTTTTAAAACAATATTTTAGATCATTTCCTTTTTTACAATACCTCGTTCTTTTCATTAGATGTTTTATCTGCAGGCCTGAAAAAAAAAAAAACAATTCCTCTTAGAAAAATAGCAAAGATTTAAAATACAAAGAATATCTAACACTACTGTTTTATCATATAAAATGTCTGCATTTGTGTTACTTCTATTCATCAAGTGTATAGGTAATTTTTTTACAGGTAATGTAAAATGCAGTAATTTTCTACAACGGACATTAAACTATAAACAGAAACAGCAACATTAAGGGATAAAGAAATTTACTACTACTAATATAATTACAAAGAATTAAATTTAGGTCAAGATTTCTCATAGTAAAACCAAAAGAAAAAAATATGTTACCTGCATTACGTGATAAAAATAAATATACCAGGGTCTTCTCATTGTTGTCCTTTTCAATAAAAACAAGCTTTTACGGGCACTAAAACCTATTTGGAAAATATTACTCACATTCTTATATAAGGGAAACCCTTTTTTAATGATGATATTAGTAAGCTTTTTCTGGACTTACTATGCAGGTACTGTGCATCATTCTGAGCACTGTCCATGTGTCAAACTCATATAATCCTCATAACAATTCTGTGAGGTCAGTAACATATTAAGAATTTTATAAAGAAAGAAAATAGGCACAGAAGGGCCAAGTGACTGTCCTCAGCCCATACAGCTGGTCAGTAGCAGATCCAGAACTCAAACCCAAGAATTCTGCCTCAAAAACATGTGCTTCATGATATGCTGTGAAGGTAACATTTATTTTCAAGTGTTTTAAAGAGAGATGATAGCAGATGAACCCACATTGTCATTCCATTTCTGACTACAACTATAAATAATGTCAGAATCTTGCAATTTTTTCTAATAAAAAAACTTTATACAGAGGCAAGTTTAGAAAACTACTTTCAAAAAACTAAAAAGTATTTTTAATGAAATCCATCAACAGGTATTCATTCATGTATTCACCCATTCATTCACGCATTCAACAAATAAATACTCATTGAGCACACAATACATGCTGATGGCAATGTTGGTCAAGGGAAACATGGTTTTGATACTTCAGAACTTTATAATCCATTGTAGGTCAACTTGATTAAATATTTTTAAAAAAAACTTTATAGGCCAGGTGCAGTGGCTCACGCCTGTAATCTCAGCACTTTGGGAGGCCAAGGTGGATGGATCACGAGGTCAGGAGTTCAAGACCAGCTTTCCCAAGATGATGAAACCCCGTCTCTACTACAAATACAAAAATTAGCTGGGCACGGTGGCGGGCGCCTGCAATCCCAGCTACTCAGGAGGCTGAGACAGGAGAATCGCTTGAATCTGGGAAGTGGAGATTGCAGTGAGCTAAGATTGTGCCACTGCACTCTAGCCTGGGTGAAAGAGCAAGACTCTGTCTCAAAAAAAAAAAAACAAAAAAAACAAAAAAAACAAAACTTTATAATCCAGAAGTAATAATCTGATAGACTGTCAACAGTTAGCTTTTCTAAAGTACTTAAACAAAACCCTCCCCTTCTCCCCAGAATCTAAACAACTGTAAAGTTGATACTCCTGACATTTTAGAGTACCTCAGCAGATCATACCTATTCATCAGGGATGTTTAAATTCTATTCAGTATGGCCTAAGTGTTTGCATGTTTATTATTTCATAATTAAAAACAATCTGCATATGATAGTTTAAATTTTAGGTCACCATTCACAGGTTCAGTTATGCTAATATGTTACATTTCTGAACCAATGCTGAAGGAACAAACTCTTACCATAAAACTCTACATGAATAAACACTTTAAGGACAATTAGTTTGCTAAAAACCTACAAAAGATAATGAACCGAGCTTTCAAACACTTAGACATACAAAATTAAATCTCATAAACATGTTATCCTTGTCCCTATCATTCCCAGCAGCATACAAACACACTCTAAAAGCTTCTATTTTGAAATAAAAAAGAAAGAAAATTCCCTTGAATCCCACATTCTTCTTCAGTTATCACTCATTTCTCTGTTGCCTTTCCCAATAACGGTTCCCTCAAGGGGTATCTATGCTTATCCACTACAGTCAGGATTCCACAGCAATTATTTATTGAAACTGCTCCTTGTCAAAGTTACCAGCCCTCATCATAATCAGTCTTTCAGCATTGATATAGTTGAGTATTCTCTAGCTTTGGCAGACTACACTATTTTCTATTTCCAGAAAAAGTAACCACTGGGAATATTCCTTCTCAGAGAAATAAAGAACTTATACATTTTAACTTCTTTCAACCTCATCTATTTCACTTAAACTGCTGTCATCATCTCCTTGTAGCAGACCACAAGTTACTAAATTAGCCTTCTCAAACACTGGTGTAATCAGAGATTATTTTAGAGATTATTTTGAGGTACATTTTTTATTTTCATTTTTCTTTACTTCCTTCATATGTAACGCAGAACCACAACTTTAAAAAATCTACAAAAAGCCAATGTTTTATAATAATTCTACTGATAACAAATAAAAAAAATTTTGTAAAATTCCAATTCTTCCCCATCTCAATTCATTAATTCAAAAAACACAGTTATGAATTATCAACAACATATAAAGAAATATATATTTCCTGCCTCAAAAACCAGGTAATATGCAATTATGATACAATGTGTAGTTTAAGAGTTGATATATGGAAAGTTATATTTTAGCACAAGGAAGTCATTACAGAAGAGGCAAAATATAAGAGGAGCTCACCAGGGAAAAAATAGAGAAAACTACTCCACTTGGAGAATGGAATGACAGCACAAAGATTAGTCCCATGGAGTCTAGGTGTTTCCTAGGAACTTGAAAGGAAAAGTGTAAAACACAAAGAAAGTAAGAATGGAAGATGAATGCCACACTAAAAAGCTGGAGTCAGCTGGGTGCGGTGGCTCACACCTGTAATCCCAGCACTTTGGGAGGCTGAGGCGGGCGGATCATGAGGTCAATGGATCAAGACCATCCTGGCCAACATGGTGAAGCCCATCTCTACTAAAAATACAAAAATTAGCTGGGCATGGTGGCGCACCTGTAGTCCCAGCTATTCGGGAGGCTGAGGCAGAAGAATCGCTTGAAGCCAGGAGCTGGAGGTTGCAGTGAGCTGAGATTGCCACTGCACTCCAGCCTGGTGACAGAGTGAGACTCTGTCACAACGAAAAAAGAAAAGAAAAAAAAAAACAGCTGGCCGGGCGCAGTGGCTCACGCCTGTAATCCCAGCACTTTGGGAGGCCGAGGCGGGCGGATCATGAGGTCAGGAGATCGAGACCACGGTGAAACCCCGTCTCTACTAAAAATACAAAAAATTAGCTGGGTGCGGTGGCGGGTGCCTGTAGTCCCAGCTACTCGGGAGGCTGAGGCAGGAGAATGGCGGGAACCCAGGAGGCGGAGCTTGCAGTGAGCTGAGATGGTGCCACTGCACTCCAGCCTGGGCGACAGAGCGAGACTGCGTCTCAAAAAAAAAAAAAAAAAAAAAAAAACAGCTGGAGTCCACTGCACACAGGCAATGACTCTCACACATGAAACTCATATTTAGATCTGTGCTATGTTTTGGGTTTTGTTTTTAAATATAATAATGTTTAAACAGATTAACCAAGTTTTAAAAATAACAGGCACATATTACATGAAAGAAATCAAGGAAATGTCTCGGGAAGAAAAAAATCTTAGTGTTAAAATTCCTAAATGTCATTATAGTCATTATATATTGTTCAAAAATAGCAATATTCTGATTAGTTATATGTTTGTTTGAAAATAAAATAATTTGGTAAATTTCCCACATATTTAGTCTAGTACTTAGTCTTAATATAAAAAGGTGGATTTGCCAGCAGAAAATTGTAATTACTTTTTTATGAAGTAAACACACATTATATCACTATCATTGCATGGAAGAGAAGGTGAACAAAAAAAGATTAAGGAATAAAAAAAAGAATATCACTATCATATAACTACATACATTAACAAAGAGACAAACATTTCCCACTGGAGATTAGGAGTTTAGCAGAAGTCTCTGAAAATACTAAAAACTGAAACAAAATTAATAATTGCTTTTTGTTTGTTTGTTTGCTTGTTTTTTAACTATGTAGCGAATTCTTCTGGTTAAGACTAAGCATCAAAAAAAGAGATCTTCCTGAGAGCAATTATTAAACAATTCCTCTTGACCCACACTTCCAAATTAAGTCTATAGTTCTGGAATATGAAATCATTTTCATTTTAAACATAGTTGATGGAAGGCAACTTTTAAACAGAAAACTGCAGTTTAAAGTTGTCTCAAACTTAGTAGCTATATTTGTAACAAGCAACCACCCACAGCCAGTTGTAAATACAGTCAATCATCAGTGACCATTGGCCTCTCTCACCAACCAATATCAATGTGGACCACTTGCTTCGGAAAGACAGCCAATTAAACACAAACTCACTCCAATCCACAAGCCTGGGAGTGTTAACCAACCCACAGCAGCCTCACTCAGATAGCCATGTTTCTCCAGATGATGTTAACCCTCCTATGCCGCTGAGAGTCTGCCAATGCTTCAAGTCCGCTCCTCCTGCAACCCTATGTAAGATCAACAGCTGCTCTGTCAGAATACAGAGTGCCTGATGAGCATAGCTCTCTTATAGAAAGCAACACATTCCAACTTGGTCTTTTAACTTCAAATACTGAAGGTTCATAATCAATTGGAAACAATTTTAAGTCCATTAAATTTACCACCCTTATATTTTAATTTTCTTTATAAATTACCAATGAACTATGTAATTCCTTTGATCCATTTTATCATAAGTAAAACTATCATGATTATTAGTAAAAGAATAAATAGTGAGTAACCACAATATTGAGCTTTTCTCTCTAAATGGAAAACTATTAATACAAAGAATGTAGCTTATTACAAAGAGCCAAAAAATCCAAAAACGCATATAATTTCCAGGCAAAAGTGTTAGAATGAACCCATGTGAAACCTTTCTTTTTCTTTTTTTTTTTTTCTTACCTGAGAATCAATCTAATGTTTAAAACAATACACCGAAGGGTAAACTTCAGTTGCTCATTTAATAAATATTTATTGAGTAGCTACTTATTGCAAGCTAGGCCCTTTTCTAGGCACACAAACATCCTACTCATGGGAGTGAAATAAACACAATAACCATAGATAGATTAGGCAAAATATACAGTGTTAAAGGAGAAAAACTAAAGCAGGAAAATGAAATGTTTACAGGTTTGAGAGGAGGGATAGTGGGAATTCTAGGATGGCCAGAAAAGTCCTTATTGAGAAAGGGGCTTTGAAGTAAAGAACTGAAGGAATGGAAAAAGAAAGCCAGGAGGCTATCTGAGGAAAAGGCATCCCAAACACAGGGAACTGCCCAGTACAGAGGTGTGCCTGGGGTGTTTAAGCAACTGTGATAGATAACGAAGAGCAAGAAGTTTAGTGTAGCTGAAGCACAGCAAAGGGAATAAGAAACAGAAGTTTAAGTGAGAGAGAGAACAGGGCATATTGTGTGTTGCCTTCTAGGTATGAGGAGGAACCCTGACACATACTCAGAGTGAAATGGGAGGCAATCAGATGGATCTGAGCAGAAGAATGACATCATCTGACTTATGTTTTAAGTATGGCCACTGAGTTAAGGATTAATGAAAAGAGGTTTCTTTAAAAAAAAAACAACAGACCAATTAACAGTCTATTACATGCATCTAGAGAGCAGATGGTGGTGGGTTGGAAATGGAAGATATGACTGGCTTCTGGATATATTCTTCAGGTACTCCTGACAAGATCTGCTGACAGATTAGATGTGAGGTGTCAGAGAGAGAGGGGAGTCAATGATGACACCTTAGTTTCTAGCAGAGCAACTGCAAGAGTTGCCATTAATGCAAGTAGGAAAGACCATGTGAGGGGTAGGTATGAGAAAGAATATCGGTACCCCAATCTTGGACCTGGTAAGTTTGTGATACCCAACAGTTCGTGACCAATCAAACAGAGATGTCAAGTAGGCAGGTTGGTATAGAAGTCTGGAATTAAGGAGAGAGATCTAGGCTGGAGACACGCATTTGGAAATCATTAGCACACACAAGGTAGTAAAAGTCATGAGAAAGAAGATTGAGGACTGAGTCCTGGGACATATCAGTCCTGGGACATATCAATGTGTAAAAGGTGGGATATGAGAAGAAAGCAAAACAGACTATGACAGATGGACTGGAAAGGCAGGAAGAAAAGCCAGGTGAGTGAGTGAGATCCTGAAAGCCAAGTGAAGACACTGTTATGGAGGAGAGAGTTTTCCATTGGGTCCAATATTGCTGACAGGTTAAATAAAATGAGGTCTAAGAAACAATGTCTAGATTTACAAATCAATGGTAAACTTGAGAACAACAATCTTGGAAGAGTGGTGGGAGTGAAAATTACTGGTATCAGCTCAAGAGTGAATGGACAAGAAATCTGAATCCATGAGTATAAACCATTCTTTCAAGGCCAGCATACCTAGGGGCATGACTGTAGATGATCTAATTTTCTTCTTGTTTAGCTGTATTTTTCAATTCTTATATAACTATATGCTATATTTTTACCCTTTAAAAGTTTTTTTTAAATCATATCTATATGGCATTTTTGAAATGCCAGATGAAGGTATTAAATAAAAATTCATTAACTTATAAGACCAAAAGACCTCTTGAACATTTCTAGATTATATAAGCTGATTATCATTTTGCTCATGCTTATACATAAAGACCAAGGAAGACTAACAGTTTCAGGAGAAGTATTTCTTGCTTGATAAAAATCATCTAACTCTAGAATATTTTATACTCATCAAATATACAAAGTAATAGTCAAAATATGGAATTCTATAACAAGAATAAAAGGGGACAAGTGCAGAAAATCATCTTATTTTGTAAATCAAATTTGTCTAAATTATATGAAGCTACTGTTGAAAAATATGGTGTGTTTCCTACTGAAATACATTATCTTTTAAAAGAAAGGATAATGGCATGCATGTAGGGTACCTTTAAAAAGAGGATTCACTGCATAACAGCACCTTGGTTTTAGCACAAGGATCAACAAATTGGTGCTTGTGGAGCAAATCCAGCCCACTGCCTGTTTTCATAAGGAAATTTCCTTGAAATGCAGCCACACTTATGCCCTTTATAATTCACAAGGCCTAAAATATTTACTAACTGGCTCTTTACAAAAAGAGCTGTCCAATTCTTGGTTCAGTAGAGCTAAGATCCTCTGTTGTATTTTAGTAAGTTTTACCCAGTATATTGAAAAGCTGACACGGAACATGAATCCCCATGTGCAATCCCTTGGCAATATTCAGATTAATTTGAGGATCTGGTATTTCAGCACTCACACATTGACAGCAAAAAACAAAAATTTAATAACTAGAATTCTGTTGCTAACAAGGTACAGTGTCAATGTAGCATGTAGCTAGCTTCCTTTTGTAACTCAGCAGATATTATGAGAATTCCAACAAAACTGGCTTAAGATGTGTCATCAAACTAAAGGCTTTAAATAGACTTTAATTGTGAAATAATCAGTACACTCCTGGTCTAACAACTTCTTTTATTAAAATGAGTGCATGCTACATTATTTTCTGGGTATGACAATTGTACTATTTCCTTATTGCTAAGGATTTAGACTATCTCCAACTTCTTGATATTACAATGCTATAATAAATATCCTTATACATAAGTATATATGTAACATATATAATTATCCTTAACATATATATCATATATACTTAACATTATATATATTTAACCTATTAGCCTATTGTATGTTACATACATGTAATAAATGTCCTTAACACATATGTGTATGTGTTTACACAAGTCATATTTTCCTGTAGGATCTTGTCCCAAAAGTGAAGTTGTTAGGTTAAAGAAGTGACATATTTGAAATTTTGATACATGCTACTAAATTACCCTGCAAAAAGGATTCATCAATTTCATTTAACAAGTGTATGAAAACGCCTTTTTCTTCACATTTGCCAATACTTCCTATTTTTTAAATAAAATATCAATATGATTGGAAAACATGGTGTCTCATTGTTAGTTTGCATTTTTCTGATAACCAAGGAAGGCTGAATATCCTAGTAAAAGTATAAAATCTGTTCATCATGAATATTAGCCCAAATTAGGATTCATTTCATAGCACATAATTGTCTCCTGTTTTTTGTTTTTGTTTCTGTTTTTGCTTTTTTTTTTTTTTTTGAAATGGAGTTTTACTCTTGTTGCCCAGGCTCGAGTGCAATGGCATGATCATGGCTCACCACAACCCCCGCCTCCCAGGTTCAAACGATTCTCTTGCCTCAGCCTCCTGAGTAACTGGGATTACAGGCATGCACCACTACACCTGGCTAATTTTGTATTTTTAGTAGAGATGGGGTTTATCCATGTTGGTCAGGCTGGTCTTGAACTCCTGACCTCAGGTGATTCACCCACCTTGGCCTCCCAAATTGCTGGATTACAGGCGTGAGCCACCACACTTGACCAATTGTCTCCTGTTAAACGCTGCTATAGGCTTACCTGTCATGCTCTCCATTTTCCTTCCTAGGAATCTGCTGATTTAGTCCATCATCATCATTGCCAACAGTAGTACCATCAGTTAGGGTTCCTGATAATTCTGTGCTATTACTTCTGTGCTTCTCCATTTCTTCTTCAACCTTGAGTGAGAGTTTGATGTTCAG
Source organism: Homo sapiens (assembly GCF_000001405.40). Lineage (NCBI taxonomy): Eukaryota > Metazoa > Chordata > Mammalia > Primates > Hominidae > Homo > Homo sapiens. The sequence goes on along the minus strand of NC_000017.11, from coordinate 20,342,333 downwards.
GATGATTGTTATTGCTTTATTCAATACAAAGAACTTTTTTCTGTTTTCATTGATTTCATCATCACTTGACTCAGTTTAATTATAATTTTAGTCATTAAAATATTTGGTGCTTACTTTAATTTTATCACATCTGGAACTATCATCATATAATTATAATTATTATAATTTTATCATCAACATTTTTGTAAAGTCAGCTTCATTTCTGTTTCAATGAATGAGACAGAATTTCCCAAAATTTCAACCAGGGCCCGTCTTAATTTTGTGCTTTTATTCCCAACCACCCTTCACTATGTATTATGAATTTTTACCTCATTTGACTGGCACAAACATGGAAATAAGAAGATAAAGACACAAAGCATGTCTTCTTCTGTCTTTGCCACTTGACTTTCATATTCAACAGCCAGATTGAGAGGATACAACACTGTGGGGTTTTAGGAAAAGAAAGGAAGCTTTCCCTTTTCTGCACTAAGCTATTCTTTTCCCCCACTAACTTTTGTCTTTTTTTTTTTTTTTTTTTTCATTTGAATCCTGGGATATCGAAAAGGTGAAGGTGCTTACTGAAATACAAGTCTGGCACAACACAAAAAGCAGAGTGAAACTGCTGAGCTAGGGTGGAATTCTCGAAATGAGATGCTCCCCAAATTTCACATTCAATAGCCATAAAAGTTTATAGCTGGAGGATATACAGTATAAGAATCTACTTTAGCTCACTCTCTATTGATAACTGGGCTAAAGCCAAAAAAGATTAAAATGATTGATCCAAAGCCCCTGAAGTGCCATTACCTAGCATTTTGTGGCACCAAAAGAGACAGTACAATTCCATAATGCTGAATCAGACAAATTCAGCAAAGTAATCAGATAGGTTAAAAGTGTGACTTGGGTAAAATAATTTAATGCCTTAGAGGAGGGTGGGAGGCCTGCCCTAATCAATGTAGAAGACTCAGCTTTCTACTTTGGCATCATATACTAAGTGTTTGGCTGAGCATTTATGCTACTTACATGGAAAAAATATATGTGCCAAAACTTACTGTACTTTATTAAGCAACATAACATAAAGGTCTGATTCAACAGAAACAGTGGAGAGTAGTTATATTAACAAATATATTAAAGTGTATATACTTGTTGTTGAAAAATATTTAAAGTGGTCATGATGCAATTCTAAGTTCCAACAGTTTGAGTTAAACAGATAAACCTGAAAAGCACAATAAACAGATTCATTGGCCAGGAATATTTGCTGCAGCTCTCAGGGCTGGATACTTTCTTTTTCTTTTCTTTTCTTTTTTTAGTAAGAGATGAGGTCTCACTATGTTGCCCAGGCTGGAATGCAGTAGCTATTCACAGGCACGATCCCACTACTGATCAGCACAGGAGTTACTTATGACCTGCTCCATTTCCGACCTGGGCTGGTTCACCCTTCTTTAGCAAATCTGGTGGTGCCCCGCTCCCAGGAGGTCACCATATTGATGCCGAACTTAGTGTGAACACCTGATCGGCATAGCACACTACGGCCCAGAATGCCTGGCCTCAAATGATCCTCCTGCCTTAGGCTCCCTAGTAGCTGAGACTACAGGTGTTTGCCACCACGCCTGCTAGATACATTTTTATATCTCTTCTTAGTCATTGCTTCCTTTCTACTGTATTCCCATCTTATTGTTAGACACAACTCATCTTTAAGTCGGTAAAAGGAAAAAGCCCTCAAGCTCATCACATTTCCTTTAGCAATTTTCTTGACGCCTCTCCTGGTTCTGAAGGTCACATGATATATGGCTACATGAGTTTCACAATCCATACGCCACTTGGAAGACTGACAGAGAGACTTAGGTCAATTAAGAAACAAAGATTATGAGAAAGTTTTCCTAAACTCCTATTACTTAGAAATCATCTGTTTCTACACACAATTACAGATTTAGACAACCAAACTGTATGATTTTCATATGCTTTTCCTAAGTGGAAAATCAGAATGGACCAGATAATTGAGAGAAAAAACAAAGAGTGGCAGCAAGTAAAACCCTACCTCTTTATGAAGTTGAACATTTTCTTTCTTCAAAGCCAGGAACTCTTCTTCTAATGTGTTGACCTCATTCTTAAACTTTTGCATGTCTTGCTGTAATTCTTCATGTAGATATACTTCTGATGTTCTGTCAGAATCTGGTGGTAAAGAACTCAGATTTTCTAATTTAGGTTTCAGGCTTTTATAGTTATTTGTACTGCCACTGTCACTATTTTGGTTCATATTTTTTGTCATTTGCAAATCAAACTCTTGGTCTTCTTTCATTTCAACCGTAACCACTTCTGGGTTCCTTGCTTTCTTAGTGCTTGCATCATTATGAAAGTTCTTATCTGTACTAAAAATATGTCCAATGCCTGGTTTGTTATCATTGTCGCAGTCTAATTTATTTTCATGTAAATGAAGCTTAGAAGATGACTGGCAAACATGTTCCTGGGACCCAGAGTACGGATGGTAGTATGAATGGATGATATTTTTGAGACTGGGTTCTTTTTGTTCAGGAAATGTCTCGAATACCACTGAGACAGATATTTCAGATGCATCTTCTTCCTCACAACCAGGTATGTTATTTGTCAAATTAAAGGGAATATCCTTCACATCTGTTCCTCTTGTAGAGTTATCAAGTAGTGGCTCTTCCTCAGGACAAGCCGGAATTTTGTATTTTTCATAAATTTCACCAAACCTCTGCTTTAACTCATTTATGACGAGTTTTAATTGGTTTTTCCACTCTAATTTGCCTTGTTCAATCCGCATTTCCTCAGATTTTTGCACATGAGGAAGTACTGGATATATAGGTATATCCTCTCTATCACAATCCTTAGCCATTTCTGGTTCTTGAGACGTTTTCTGCAGATGCAAAAGTGGAAGATTAATTTGCTTGTTTTGTTTCTTGGGTGTCTTCTCTGTTGGGCTACATGTTTTAAAAATAGCTTTGTCCTTAAATAACAGGTATAAACAAAGAAAAATTCACAAATAATTAAAATGAAAATTTAACTGTTAAACTTCTTCATCTAGGTTTGGCTACTCCCAAATCACTGGCTTGTAACTAAGAAGTTAAAAAAAATTGTCTTAGCTGAAAGGAGGAGAAAAATATGAACCAGCAAACTTAACTTTGTCACTGTTTGTTTGGAATAAACTTAATTCATTATGTGTTAAATCTACCAAAAATGAATTAGCAGATGATTTCTAGTGTTACAAAGGCTTCCTCACTTGAAAAGTGAGCCCCTACAGTACATGTAAGTACTACATATTACTACATGTAAGTACTATATATTACTACATGTAAGTTCTATAGATTACTAACTGGAGGGTAGGCAATCTTCAAATTATTAGGAGCCCGAATCAACACCAATCAGAAACAAAAGCAAATTCTTAAGTTTTAATTCAAATTATATACTGTAACATCATAGGGTTATATATCTAGACTATCTTCTTCAGTTCAGTTCTAATATATACTACGGTCCCCTAATAACACTAACTAAAACTTTAAAGATAATTCTTACTAAGTTTCTGCATCTAAAAAGTTAGAAAGTTATTGTTTGTACCCTAACACCAAAGATCCCATTCTGCAAGGTATGATTCCCTTAATAGGCAGTTGGGTTGATTTCATAACCCCACTCTCACTGAATGTAGACCGTGAAGTCAATGAAAGGCCACATCTTTAACCTAGGCATTAGTAACTGGCAATATAAAACTGCAAAATTTGAGCCACTGGCCATGATTACTCCTATACCATGAATCCAACTTAGTGGCCATCACTGTTAAATTGTTCATAATTTCTGTTGCTTAATAATATAAGTCAATAATTGACATTACCTTCTTTATCCCATAAGGATATTGTAAGAATGGAAGAGCAAACAAAATTCTGGAATGTTTGCCTCTACTCCAAGGGTAAAGATTAACTATAAGTTATGATAGATTCTAACAATATTGTGTTTTATAACTAGTTTAAATGTATTTAAAATTAAATATTAAGTAAGGATCTATTGATTCTCAAAGGCTAGTCTGAGAGGTAATTTCATTTGGGCTAGCATATTAAAGCAAAGAAAAGAGTATTAAACCAGAAATTTAGATTTTAGTTTAAATGTTTCCACACTTGTGGCTGCTTATTTTCGCATCCTTTAAGTCTTTCTTGCTCTTCCTCTGATGTCAGCTCCAAGTCTTGTTCTGCTGCAAAATCCAAACGTTCAGTTAAACTACTTAGAACAGTTAGATAAAAGACATAGTCTTTATAAAAATAGATTTTAAATTACATTTCATTTTATTTCATAAATTGAGAGTTTAAATGAAGCTTGATCTTTAGTGGAATACTTACTTCTTTAAGAAATAATTCTAATTCTCCAAAACTTCAACAAACCACTTTCTGGGAGACACTAGATGCCACCAGGTTAAAGAAATACAATCATGTTGAAGATTCACTCACAGATTCATCCACCCAACATCAATGAACAAAGCCATCACAAACAAAACAAAATTTTGGAATGCAGTAGCAATATTATCAGGCAATGCTGCATACTGTTCTCCATTTCATAATAGTACCTTATTAATGATTTCCAAAATGACTGTGGACACCTTTATTGGTGTACAACCTCTTCCTAACATCCGAAATGGTTCCCTGTATTATTCTGACAAATGTATTAATATTTTCATCTTTTAAAACAGACTGCTAAAAATAAATAAATAAAATACATAAAATAAAAAACAGACTGCTAGGTGAAGTTGACCCTCATCCTCATCTTTCCCCAGGTAAACAGGTATCTAGGTATCTCCTTCCTTAGGGCTGCCCTAGAACTTTACTGATTTTTCTACTGCATCTCCACCACCCGAATTGTCAATTATTGCTTTACATGTCTATTCCCTCTGCTCCTTGACTGTAGGGAACAATCTTGAAAATCATCTTTGTACAAAGAGTCATTATCTATTTTACTCAGCAATTATGTATTGAGTCTTGCTATGTGCTAGGCACTAGGATTTAAAGAGTGAAAAGAAAGCATGTCAGAGATGACTTTTCTAGAGATCCTGCCCGAGCTGAGGCTTAAAGAGTGAGGCTAGCCTAATTAGAAGGGGTAGGGGACAGGAAAGAGTGAGAGCATGACAGGCAGCAACAAAAGGCAGAAAGAGGCCTGAAAGAGTGTATGTGTTTGCCTGCAGTCGAAGGATGGGTCAGCAGGACAGGACCAGCAGTTCAGTAAGGCCAGAGAAGGGGCACACGGGGGAAAGGGCTAAAGATGGAGAGCTGAGCAGAATCACATTATGAAAGCCTTACGTATAACTTTAAGATGCTTGGACATTAATGTTCTCAAGAGTGGTCCCTGGTCTTATTTGCATTGGTGATAGAACACTGTCAATGCCAAAACCAACATCCCTAGCGAACACATTTATTAACGCAAGGTGGTAGCTCATGTGGACACAGCCAAGGAGATACTATGCAGCAAATTCTCAATAAGTCTCATTAATTACTGACTTGGAAAGTCAATTCTATAATACATAAAGTCATAGAAACGATAGGAAGTCACTTAATATTTGCTTTTGGAAGGTGTTTTTTTGTTTTTGTTTTTGTTTTTTGAGACGGAGTCTTCCTCTATTGCCCGGGTTGGAGTGCAGTGGCGCAATCTCGGCTCACTGCAACCTCCACCTTCTGGGTTCCAGCGATTCTCCTGCTTCAGCCTCCTGAGTAGCTGGGACTACAGGCATTCACCACCATGCCTGGCTAGTTTTTTTTGTATTTTTAGTAGAGATGGGGTTTCACCATATTGGCCAGGCTGGTCTCGAACTACTGACCTCGTGATCCACCCACCTCGGCCTCCTAAAGTGCTGAGATTGCAGGTGTGGGAAGGTGTCTTTTAAATTATAGTGCATATAGTTATAACTAACAGCTGTGAATTCAGAGCTGTAAAAATAAAGCAAAGAAACCACATTGTGTTTGAGTCAGCAATCTTTAGGTCTCTACTAAGTTATCCTAAATATAATCCTATGTTAGTCCCTAAACATACTTAGTCCCTATATTCTAAATATAATCCTACTTCCTAAAGAAAATCCTGCTTTCCCCTAATTCTCTGTTATCTAGATGTTGCTTTGGTTAAAGGAAGAACACAAATATCCTGCCAAAAGGTATTCTGTTCAGTGCAAAAGGTGAGTAAACACAAAGCACATTTTACCAGAAAAAGTTTTTTTAAGTCAGAACTATAGCTCTATGCAGCCAAGCAGAGGCACTCTAGGACTGAATTCTCTATGCTTCTTTGTTACCTTCTTTGCTCTCTTTGTTTTCTGGTAGCTGTGATTGGCACAGGTCATGGAGAGTATCATTCCCTGAGAGAAGTACAACCCCAGTGTCCATCTTTTCTCGTTCTGTTAAGTTCATCTGTCCCAGTTCTTTGGTTGCTGACTGATTTTCAGGCATTGATGGTGATACAGATGGACATTTATCATCAACTTTCAGATTCTTGGATCTCTGACAAGTCTCATCACTAAGGGTCAAATTAGTAGGATGCCAATCTGAAAAATCCGAAAATGAAGTTTTCATTTTTAGGATGTAAATAACACAATAATTTGACTAACTTGTATACATGCTTTCTTCACAGAAACAGTCCCACATCCTGCTCTCTCCCACAACACACTATGCATTCAGGATTATTACATTTTACATGTCCTATGCTTACAATTCATTCAGGTAAGTTTAATTAACTATCATCTCTCACTTTTCTACATTTTTACCGTTTACTATTACTTACTTTTATTCACTCAGCAGTCTCTATTACATATTTTGCTTCCCATTAAGATTCTTCGTGGATATAAATCTTTTAAAACAGAATTTATGTCTAACCATTTTAAGCTTAAATATACATGACAGCATTGTATGTATGTATTGTAGAGACACAGGATTTACAAAAACTCATAATAAATATACTTTTAAAACTATTTTAATTATAATGAGATGGTCTTTCCTCAATGCACCACTATCTTCAGAATTTCCTTTCAAATACTTGGATAAATTTCATACATTTATTTGCAAAATAAGAGCTGTTAAGGGCTCTAACTGTTCCCATGTGAGAACAGGATTAGTCTAGGACCACACTAGGTCCAAATAGCACACAGTGCCACGAGACAGGAAAGGAATACATAACAAAAATATTTTCCTTTTTACTATATAAACAAAATTGTTGGGATTTAAATTTTTTTTTTTATTTTTTGAGACGGAGTCTCGCTCTGTCACCCAGGCTGGAGTGCAATGGCGCAATCTTGGCTCACTGCAAGCTCCGCCTCCCGGGTTCACACCATTCTCTGCCTCAGCCTCCCGAGTAGCTGGGACTACCGGCGCCCTCCACCACGCCTGGCTAATTTTTTGTATTTTTAGTAGAGACGGGGTTTCACCGTGTTAGCCAGGATGGTCTCGTCTCGATCTCCTGACTTCGTGATCCGCCCGCCTCGGCCTCCCAAAGTGCTGGCACTACAGGCGTGAGCCACCACGCCCGGCTGCATGCTTGTTTTTAAAATATTTTAGTTTTTATTTCTAAAATAGTAAATAACAAAAGACACAACCGACTTAAATAAAAGCTCTTTGGAATTTGCAATAATTTTTCTTTATTTTAATTATTTATTTATCATTATGAAGAGAGTTTGAGATCCAGTCATTTGATAGAAAACCAGAGCTTCCTGTGTCAATAAGGACTGACCTCAAAAATGTAATGTGACCAGACAAAAGAAAGTTGCAAAATATGTAGAGTGTAAAACAATTTATATACAATTTTAGGACATGAAAACAAATTCTACATATTATTTATGACCATACACATATGTAATAAAATGTTTTAAAAGGGAATGGACATAATAAATTCTTAATTCAGGGTGTTGGTTACCTCTAGGCAATAATATTTAATCATATAAAATGAACCCCAGGCCAAAAAGTTTCAGAATCAATGTTTTAAAAGACTGTGTCCACCATATAGTTATTAAGGGTAATTAATTGCTTTCTTCATTTCTGATAATCAAAACACACACACATATGATTTGCTGACCAGAATATCTGACTGGCTTAAAATCATCAGTATAGCCACACTATGATGAAATAATTAAACTTAAAGCACAACTAACATATTGGCAAGTAAAGTTTGTCTTATCTGATAAGTTTTGGTGCTGCACGTTCACCTTATATTCTTTCCACCTTTCTAATACCCCACTCTTCTTTTGAAGTATTATCTCATTTTACCACCCTCCATCATATCCACTTGCTTCTTTTCCCTTCATTTACTCTCTGTACTCTCTGCCTTCCACATTCTTTATTCCCCCTTTTGCTCTTATCCTCTTCCTTCTATCCTGACATTGCATATCTAGGGTTCAGTACTATCCACAGTTCCAGGCATTCACTGGGGGTCTTGGAACATATCCCCCATGGATAAGGGGGGAAAACTGTACATTTTGTTATGTAGGTCTATGGGTGCTGTGCTGTGTTATGTGGCAAAACATAGGGAAGAGACCAGGGATAAGGATCTTTGCAAAGACTTTTCAGCTGCCAGTGGAGAAGAGCTCAAGGGAGATCAATGTACTCACTCTCACTAATCCTCTTCTGGGGCAGATGCTGGCAATGTTTACTGAGTTCTAGCTATTTTCCCTAGTACAAACAAGGCTCAAATTCACCTCCCATTTTACCTCCTATGGACAGAACCACTGGAAAGATCACTCCCTTAAAGAGCTTATTCACTCTGAGCCACACCATTCATTCAGTGAGAAGCTTAAGAAGAAACACTGCCACAGTGGTGGCAGGTTGCCAGGGAATACTACCTGGTATGAAAAATATATATGAACAGAACTATCAGCTCACTCAACCTGCCAGAATGTGCCAACAGTTGTTACTCTCTCTGGTGAAAACAAAATTATTTTTCATTTATTGTAAAGAAAAACACTGGCATTTCCATGACAGAGCATTTAGTTGTAGATGAGCCATATTCTAATAATATAGACTGTTTTCAAGCTCATCCCTAAAAGGAAGAGAACCAGAGAGGAACATATTTATTCACCTGTAGTGTTCACTGCCTGATCTTTTTAAGTGCAAGGTAAGTATGCAAGACTTTGTGATTCTAGTTTTATAAAGTCCAGCTCTTGAGATTATCCCGTCCCATCGCTAGAGTCTATCTGGACCCATCTCCTAGAGCATGATGGTCCAGTTAGTGCTGTGGAATACTGCATGATGCCATTTTCCCCACCCTCCCCGTTACATGGCAAACGTCTACAGAAATCACGCTTTCTCAGCACGTCAAATCATATGCCATCAGATCCTGTTCTGATGAACACAACATGAGGAAAACAAACGCAAGGACAAAGAACATCTAAAATGACAGAATCAAATTACCATGGAACTTTATTGTTTAAATATTCAAAAAGATATCCACCACTGTTTTATTCCAACTATATGACTAGTCTGGAAAAAGCAAAACTACTGAGACACCAAAAAGACCAATGGTTGCCAGAAACCAGTGGAGAGGAAGAGACGAAACAGTGGAGGACAGAGGATATTTAGGGCAGTGAAACTATTTTGTCTGTGATACTACAAGGGTATATACATGCCATCACACATTTGTCCAACACCATAGAATGTACAACACCAAGAGTGAACCCTAACGTAGACTGTGGACCTTGGGGGTGATGTGTCTGTCAAGGTAGATTCCTCAACTGTAACTCTGATGAACTCTGATGGGGGGTACTGATAATGAGGGAGGCTATTCATATGTCAGGGGTCATGGGGAATATGGAAAATCTCTGTACCTTCTCAATTTTGCTGTGAATCTAAAACTGCTCAGAAAATAATATTATTAATTTTAAAGCACATACTCACTGAACTTGCTATTACCCTAAATTATAAAAAGACAGAGTCACCTTGAAAATTGCAAATCACTAAAGATCAAGGTAACAGAATACGAGTACTATCTCCCAAATTGAAGCATATAAAAACACATAAAGCAATTAATTTTAATTGTATACTTAGGCAAAAAAAATTCACAAAAATGATTGAATATCTGATCTTATTTCATAATTGTAAACAGGGATTTAGTACAATATGAATCAAAACTGGTCCATCCATGAAAATAAAATGAAAGACAATTTTTATTCTAATTTCAAATCAGAACTTATTATGCCTACTTTATCCCACAATTTTACTGAAAGGTTAATCAGATAAGAAGGACAGATTATAATTACTTAATATTGCCATAGTAACTTATGTACCAATACCTGTTAAGTATTCACCAAATGTCAAAACTGTAAGCAGCCTTGCTATTTAATATGAATGATGCAGCTGAAACCAGTACCATGTTATGGTCTATCATATTATTTGCTATTGTATTATATAAAATGTTAAGATAACACCAAAAATTTACTCAGGGGCATAGCTGCTGGGCAGCAAAGATTTCATATAGCAGGCATGAGACACCCATCCTTAGAAAGGCTTGCTTGCAAGGCTAGTCCTTGGCTGGTGTTTGGGACCTTGAATTTGGGAGGGTTCCCAGCATTCCCTAACTTAGAAGAAGGGAGTGGCTCACTGTGCCTAAACTGTTTGTGCAAATGTGGTTTACTATGAACAGTTAATTTCCTCCTGGGAGTCTAGAGTTTTGTTACATGTGAGGGAGAGGAGAGGTTGCCTATGTGACTAGCCTCCATCGAAAACATGGGTGCTGAGCCTCTAATGAAACTCTGGTAAGGTAGACAACATTGCACATGTGTCGTCAAAATTTGAGGCTGGGGGAATTAAGCATATCCTGCTAGCTACACAGGAGATGACTCCTGTAGCTTGTGCCTGGCTTCCTCCAGACTTTGACACATGCACCTTTTCCTTTCTCAAATGTTGCTTTGTGTCTTTTTGCTGTATTAAATGTAATAAATCAAAGCCCCAAGTATGACTATCTGCTGAGTCCTGTGAGTCCTTCTCAGTGAATTACCAAACCTCAGTGAAGGGGGTCTTGGGAACCCCTGATACAATTACATTATACAATTTTTTATTGTTTAAGTTGATGTGTTTCATGTGACTACAATCAGAAGGTAATTTCACAGAATACCTTTCCCTAATCTGCTTATTTTTTTTTTTGACATTTGCCTTGGAGATTCCTGTACTTCTATATCCACCGGACTAAAGGCATTAAAAATGCATGAAACAATGATGTCAGAAAGTAATTTTAAAAAGCAACAATCCTATTTTAACTCAATTAAAAATAGAAAATCTTAATGACTGACAATATATTCTACAGTATAAAAGTTTCTGGAACAAAAAATTATAAGATCACAGTCAATTTTCTCCCACTAGGTAGGATTTAATTCATTTTTATAATAATTGTGCAGCAGGCCAGGTGCAGTAGCACACATCTGTTGTTCCACCTACTCAGGAGGCTGAGGCAGAACAATTGCTTGAGGCTAGGAACTAAAGCTGCAGTGTGCTATAATCACACCCGTTCAAAAAAAAAGTCCAGGCCGGGCGCGGTGGCTCACGCCTGTAATCCCAGCACTCTGGGAGGCCGAGGCGGGTGGATCACGAGGTCAGGAGATCGAGACCATCCTGGCTAACACGGTGAAACCTCGTCCCTACTAAAAATACAAAAATTTAGCCAGGCGCGGTGGCGGGCACCTGTAATCCCAGCTACTCAGGAGGCTGAGGCAGGAGAATGGCGTGAACCCGGGAGGCGGAGCTTGCAGTGAGCCGAGATAGCGCCACTGCAGTCCCGCCTGGGTGGAAGAGCGAGACTCCGTCTCAACAACAACAACAACAAAAGTCCAAAAAAACCCTGCAAATAGTGGAACTGATCAGTAAGGATCAACAGGACTTTTAACTTATCTGGCCGGGAGAAGAGACATCTTATGTATAGATGGTTAAAAGTGTGGTAATCCAATTGACCACATATTCTAGTTAAATCACAGATTACCAATTTCTGAAGAAATGTAATACCAGAAAAGCACTTCACATTTAAACTATGTCAGATAAAACAATTTGTATTTGACAACCCAGAAGACACTTAAAATCTTGGCAGACCATCATCATTGTGTCATTGTGGTGCAGATATAAAGAAGTGCATTTGAAATGTGTTCTAATAGTATTTTCTTTAGGAATGGAATTCAAAAGGAAGCAGTAAGAGCAGAAATATCACAAGAGGGTAAATGAAAAGGGAACTGCACTAACAAAAGGAGTCAGGCACTGACTTTTCTCCTGATGTGACCAAAACCCCAAGTACTGAGAACTGGTATATTCAGCATTTCACTTTATTTTTTTCTCCAGGACATTATATTAGTTTCCTGCAATAAAATATTTTTAAAATGTCAGTTTGTCTAAACTGCTGGCCTGTAAACTATTTCTAATCAAAACCTGAAATTGTGTCACAACATGGCTGTATTATGATTCCATGTCAGAGGAAGGATATATACGTGTATCTGGTGGTGGCTTCCCGTTGTTGCTGTCAGATGTTTGTTTGGGAATGCATTCAGAAGAGCCTATCAAGGACTTGAGTACCAAACAAGCATTTCCACAAAAAAGCAGTTAAGAAAGACTACACTTTTCCTCACATATGACCTTAGGTTTAGACAATTCTAGGAAAATGGTGGTACATTAACTCACCAGTCTTGACCATTTTCCCTGATCCTGTACAGGGAGCTGCTGCAGTTACAAAAGTTAGGTAGGATCTTGGTAGGTGTATTCTTCCACATTTGAACATCAGAAGTACTGATCACATAAACAGCGAACCCCACAACTCTATGATTGTTCTTTAGAAGACAGTGCCACTGAAGGCTTTTAAAAGCTTAACTCACTTTACTTTTTAGTAATCTTACTGGTTAGAATTGATACTCCCTCCTTGAAATTCTCACCTTTGTAAATTTTTGCAACATCACTTTATGATTCCTCTCCTCTTTTTCTTTAGCCACGGCTCAGGCTTCTTTCCTAATTCCTCTGGGAAATGCTGATATTCCCAGGGTTCTGTCACTGGCCCTCTGCTCATTCTATACCTTTCCCATCATGGACAAGCTCACTCAGATCTACAACTTTGCCTCAGTTATTCCAAGTCTGCAACTCCAACCTCAGAGCTCCATCTCCAGCCATAAAAATTTATCCAATTACCTACTGAAAATATCCCACATGGACATTTCAGTAAACTCAGCAATGCAGAGAAAACTGTTAGTCGTGACTGCTGACCTGCTGCTCTCCTCTATACACCTGAAAACTGCCTACTCCCTCGTGTCCAGGTTAAATGCTAGGGCACAAGCCAGAAACCTGAGAATCATCTGAGATTTCTCCCTATCCCCTATCTTTTTACATTCAACAATCACTAAATCATATTAACTGTACCTCTTTTCTGCATCTGCTTTATATTTCCACTGTGACACGTTTATTTTATGTTTATATTTCCTAGTTAAACATGGGCTCTTAAGTAGTGGCTTTTATAGGGAAAAAACAACTATTAATGTTATTTCTTAAATTAAAAAAAGTTTAAGTAAAATAAATGAAAAAGGCATCATGCCAAGAAAAAGACCAACATTTTTAAATGAATAACTGAGCTCCTTAACCTTAGTGATTTCACCATGGATGGGTGAAAACCTCACAACAGACTGACACTAGTCTGAGGACAGCACAAGGAAACTATAGCTCTGATAAATGCAAATGTTTCTTTTGTTTCCCTGTCTCTTTATGTGGTTATCTTCCAGCTGCTCTCCATATGAGGGGTCAGCAAACTACAGGCCATGGAGCAAATCCAGTCTGCCTTATAGTTTTGTAAATAAAGTTTTACCGGAGCTCAGTCATGTGTATTTGCTTGCCTTTTTATGACTGTTTTCATACTTCAATGGTAGGGTTGAGTAGGAATGACAGACCACATGAAAAAGCCCTGTACAGAAAATGCTTGCCAATCCCTGCTTTATACCATAACCAGATTGCCCTAATACTCAAATCTAATCATGTGACTCCCCACTCCAATGTGTTCCTACAGTAAACATTGCTGTCTCCCTACCCAATAGCGATTCCCTGTTCTGTCTTGCTGGAGAAACACGAATCTATTTGGATATTTATCATGCCAATAGCCCTCCCCACTCCAAAAGAAGAAATGATTATTCTAAGCTCATCATAGTAATTACATTTGCTTCCCCAGTGCCTGGTTTAGGAATGAGCATGTGGTAGGACCCAGCCAATAAAATGTTACAGGAAGTCAACTGCACCCTTCTGAGTCTTCTCCCTAACTAAAAGAAACATGTAAAGAAAAGCCACCCTTTCAGCCTTCAGATATTGTCGGTGAGACCATGATGTTTGGAGCTGTTGCTAATTAGTCAGCCATGAAAACAGACATGAACAAAACATCGTGTTATCACTGAACCATCAAAATAACTCTGGTCCCTACTGTTTTAGCCATTGTTAGTTAGGTCACCTAGTATTTACAGCCCAATGCATTCCACCTGGTAAATTTCCCATGGCCTACAGGAAAAGTTCTACTCATTTCTTTTTTTCTTTTTCTTTTCTTTCTTTTTTTTTTTTGAGACAGAGTCTTGCTCTGTCACTCAGGCTGCAGTGCAGTGGTGCGATCTTGGCTCACTGCAGCCTCTGCCTCCAAGGTTCAAGTGATTCTCCTGCCTCAGCCTCCTGAGTAGCTGGGACCATAGGCACGCTCCACCATGTCCAGCTAATTTTTCATGTGTATTTTTAGTAGAGACAGGTTTCACCATGTTGGCCAGGATGGTCTCAATCTCCTGACCTTGTGATCTGCCCTCCTTGGCCTCCCAAAATGCTGGGATTATAGGCATAAGCCACCATGCCCGGCCCGAGATCTACTCATTTCTATAGTATTAAAAAGTCTGGGCAGGGAGTGGTGGCTCACGTCTGTAATCCCAGCACTTGAGAGGCCAAGGTGGGTGGATCACTTGAGGTCAGGAGTTTGAGACCAGCCTGTCAAACATGCCGAAACCCTGTCTCTACTGAAAATACAAAAATCAGCTGGGCATGGTGGCTGGCGCCTGTAATCCCAGCTACCTGGGAGGCTGAGGCACGAGAATCACTTGAACTCAGGAGGCGGAGGTTGCAGTGAGCCAAGAGAACGCCACTGCACTCCAGCCTGGGTGACAGAGTGAGACTCTGTCTCAAAAAAAAGTCTGTCATGAGCTTGCCTTAGGTATTCACTTCATTCCCAACCATTCACATCTCATATGTTTTGCACTGGCAAAACTGAACTGCTCATAAACCCTGCAAAGTTCACTCAAGCATCTTACTTTTGCACTCGCTGCTCCTTCTGTGAAACACACAATCTTCTGCCCACATCATCCTTCTGCCTCTTTACCTAGAAAAGTTCTACTCACTCTTCATGCCTACCTTAAATCTTACTCACTTTTTTACAGCTTTCATTCCTCACCACATAAAGTGTCTGGCACATATTTAACATAATAAATGATCACTATACGGTTCCAGAGGGCATCTAACACAGTAGTAGGCACTGAATAAATAATTCATCAAATAATTAAAGTGACAATGATAATAACAAGCTCCTGGGTTTTGTTGGTTTGTTTTTTTTCTTTTTTGAGACAGGGTCTCACTCTGTTACCCAGACACGAGTGCAGTGGCATGATCATAGCTCACTGTAGCCTCAAACACCCAGGCTCAAGCAATCCTCCCACCTCAGCCTCCCAAGTAGCTGGAAGTACAGGCACCTGGCACCATGCCCAGCTAATGTTTTATTGTTTTTTTAAAAATTTAGTAGAGATGAGGTCTTGTCATGTTGCCCGGGCTGGTCTCGAACTTCTGGGCTCAAGTGATCCTCCCATCTCAGCCTCCCAAAGTGGTGAGATTACAGGCATGCACCACTGTGCTGGCCCCAACAGTATTTTTAAATGTCTGTATTCTGTAACATTAGAAAAAAAATGCTTAGTACTAAAAGACATTTGATAATTATTTGTGAAGTGGACAAATGAATAAATGATTTCCTTGAAAATTCTGTTGAAAAAAACACAGAAATTAAATAGAGAAAGCTCTATTCTATTATGAGCACCTCAAAGACCAAAACTATGTCTATTTCATGTTTGTCTCCCATAACGTGCAAAACCTAACTTAGAGAAGTTCTTTGATTAATATGTACTAAATTAAAGGTGTCCTCTTACAGTTCAGATTGTCCAATGCATTAGGCATAACATCTTGGAAGCACAGAAGCATTTTTTGTTATTGTGAAACATTTTTATACTTTCATTATAATTTGTTGAGCCTAGAGTTGGGCTATTTGAATATTTATTATGATAATCTTTTGGCTAATGGTAACTGCATATCTTGTTCTAACAAAATTACTGTTAACATAGCAATTAACCAGCAGGTAGAAAAACACATCTTGTTCTAATGAAGTAAATATACCTCATTCGATTTCAAATTGGGGGAAAGTCAATAATAGCGACACCTTGTTGGTTTATAAGTATGTAACATGACCTGTTCTTCTCAACAAGGAATTGCTTTTCTGACTTCTGCACTCAGAAGGTATCTTTGAAAAATAATTTCCCATTAGTATTAGTGCACATTGGGTATGTTTGGCAGGGTTTTGTTTGTGTTTTTGTTTTTGTTTTTTTCTGAGACAGGGTCTCACTCTGTCATCCAGGTTGTGATCATGATCACAGCTCACTACAGCCTTGACTCCCAGGCTCAAGCGATCCTCCCATCTCAGTCTCCCAAGTAGCTGGGATTACAGGTGTGCACCAAAACACCCAGCTAATTTTGTATTTGCTTTTGTAGAGATGTGGTCTCACTATGTCACCCAGGCTGGTCTGGAACTTCTGGACACAAGCGATCCTCCCACCTAGGCCTCCCAACTTGCTGGGACTACAGGTGTGGGCAGCACACCTGGCCATTTCACAGTTCTTATTGCTATTTGTTTATGGTGCCAGAAAGGTATTGCTGAGTTTCCAGTTTTGAAACTAATTTCTTTTAGTGACACAAATCACTATGTAATATAGTTAGCCTTTGAACAACACGGATTTGAACTGCAGGGGTCTACTTATGAGCAGATTTTCTCCCACTTCTACCACCTGAGACAGCGAAGACCAATCTTCCTCTTCCTCCTTCTCCTTAGCCTGCTCAACTTGAAGACTATGATGAAGAGTTATATAATGATCCACTTGCATTTAATGAACAGTAAGCGTATTTTTTCTGCCTTATGATTTTCTTAACAGTTTATTTTCCTAGCTTCCTTTATTGTAAGAATACAGCATATTAATACATATACCATACCAAACATATCTTAATTGACTATTTATGTTATCAATAAGGCTGCTGGTCAACAGTTAGCTATTAGTAGTTACGTTCTTGGGGGAGTCAAAAGTTATACACAGATGTTTGACTGCAGAGGGAATCAAGCATCCCTAAATTCCACATTGTTAAGGGTCAATTGTGATTGATATTCATTTACTAAACATAAGTCATTTATTTTAAAAATTAAATAGAAGTTCCAATTTCATAATAAGTCTAATTCATTATAATGTGACTATAAAGAAAACATACAACTTACTAACTCAAAAATATCTTTTTCTTGGCCGGGCGCGGTGGCTCACGCCTGTAATCCCAGCACTTTGGGAGGTCGAGGCAGATGGATCACGAGGTCAGGAGATCGAGACCATCCTGGCTAACATGGTGAAACCCCGTCTCTACTAAAAATACAAAAAATTAGCCAGGCGGGGTGGCGGGCGCCTGTAGTCCCAGCTACTCTGCAGGCTGAGGCAAGAGAATGGCATGAACCCCAGGGGGTGGAGCCTGCAGTGAGCCGAGATCGTGCCACTGCACTCCAGCCTGGGCAACAGCGAGACTCTGTCTCAAAAAAAAAAAAAAATCTTTTTCTTATTTATACAAAAATATCACATAGGATTTTAGGGACTATAATTAATTTTTTTTCAGACCAGATTGTTTGAAAAAATAAATGACCTATAATTAACTTTTTAAATAATTGTGACATCTAACCTACCAAGAAATCTAACCTATCAACAAAGAAATAAAGATTTTTTAAAACTGCTCTTTCATGATCAAAACTTCCTGACTCTTACTTCTTTTTTACCTATGGTAGGACCACCAAAAATAATTCACTATCAGAAGTCTTACCTGGATTGTTATTTTGAGGAAGACTTTCAGGTGTCTGTTTTTCCTTATATTCAGGAACTAGTTGCTGAATGCTATGGATAAAAATGTAATAAATGAAATTACTATTTTAAAACAAATGAAAAATACCAAATATATTAAATTTTTAGAGTATTTCAAACAATATCAGAGTTAATATCAGAACTTTAATTATCCCATATACTTCAATTTGTGAGTTCTACCAACTTCTCTTTAAGCTTCTGAAGAAGAAAAAAAGATGAAGTACTCATGAATTGAAGGGAGTATAGTTCAGTAAATTAACTCACATTAGCTTGGCATAATGGAAAGCATCCTAGCTCTATTACCAGCAGCTATTTATTCTCTGACAAGTTGCTTCTCTTAGGCTCAATGTATTCTTCTAAAAAGCACGGATTTTACTGCCTTATTTCACTAGGTTGTTAAAGATTTAACAAGAAAACGTTTTGTAAATGCTCAGAGAAACAGTGAAGCAATGAAATAATTTGTTCTTGAGCTTTATTGCGGAAATGGTTTTGGAATCACAAATAAAACCCAATGTGTATTTTTTCCAGAGGTTCTAATATTCAAATGTTGCAGTTTTCCAAAACTGTTATTAAGTTCTAGTTTTATTAGTTCTATTCTTTGTGGCTTATAATTTGGGGCATCACAGCTAGTTCATAGTTTGTAACTAAATTTACTTATAAATATATTATTTCATCAAACTAGATAGCAACACTGTCCACTATTACTGAGCTCATCAATCACGCCAAGGGGAGAAAGCTAATAGATGTCAAGACCTAGCTTGGACTACTGTTCCATACAGACTCAAACTCTGAATCGGCAGATCTTTGTTAGAAGGATGCTCAATCCCCATGTTCATCTCCAACTGACATGGAAAACAAAATTCTACTTTTTTTTTTCAGTTCCATGAAAGACATGCAAGTTGACATTCTCTCATTTCTGAGATACATACTGACAATATATTTGCACACAACATCCCACGTGTTACTCAGCTCCATTGATCACCTTACTGCATATTTTTGTAGTGAAAAATCACAATTTTAATATTAGGTGATACCCAGTTTGCTTTGACTCACACTGTCTTTGGAACTAGTCAGCAAATAGTCAAATGAACTTCTAGTGACTGCGCAAAATATGGACCACTTCAAAAATCTGTGCATCATCCTTATGCAGGCAGGGGCCATGCTAATTTCTCTCCATTTTGTTCCAATTTTAGTATATGTTTGCTGCTGAAGCAAGTTTTGTTTGTTTGTTTGTTTTAGACTGAGTCTCGCTCTGTCACCCAGGCTGGAGTGCAGTGGCGCGATCTCGGCTCACTGCAAGCTCCGCCTCCCGGGTTCATGCCATTCTCCTGCCTTAGCCTCCTGAGTAGCTGGGACTACAGGCACCCACCACCACGCCCGGCTATTTTTTTTTGTATTTTTTAGTAGTGACGGGGTTTCACCGTGTTAGCCAGGATGCTCTCAATCACCTGACCTCGTGATCCGCCCACCTTAGCCTCCCAAATTGCTGGGATTACAGGCATGAGCCACTGCACCCTGCCAAAGCTCTCATTTTATACATGGATATTCATGAGTCATGGATGAGACTTAGCTCTGTTAAATCCAACTAACATGCTTGAGACTCAGAATTCTGGTGATGGCTTCCTGCCACAAATCTGGGAAAGGATAATATGGGACATTCCACGATCTAAGAAAAGGGTCCTCAGCATACAGATCTGGTAGCAATGAGAAAAGGAAACTCATCTCTTTCTGCAACATTATTTGAACTGAACCCCGAGGGCCTAAAGGATAATTTGTCATGAAGGTTTTAGCTAAGTCTAGGCTGAGACAAAAGCATAACATGCGGGGTTTCACCATGTCGGTCAGGCTGGTCTCGAACTTCTGACCTCGTGATCTGCCCTCCTCGGCCTCCCAAAGTGCTGGGATTACAGGCATGAGCCACCGAGCCCGGCCAACATGAAGTTCTTAAGGATGGAAGGAACCTGAGCGACAGTAGAATATGTCTGCTGTATAATAGGTATTCAGTTTATGTTTTTTTTTTTTTTTTTTTGAGACGGAGTCTCGTTCTGTCGCCCAGGCGGGAGTGCTGTGGCGCGATCTCCGCTCACTGCAAGCTCCGCCTTCTGGGTTCACGCCATTCTCCTGCCTCAGCCTCCCGAGTAGCTGGGACTACAGGCGCCCGCCACTGCGCCCGGCTAATTTTTTGTATTTTTAGTAGAGACGGGGTTTCACCGTGGTCTCGATCTCCTGACCTCGTGATCCGCCCGCCTCGGCCTCCCAAAGTGCTGGTATTACAGGCGTGAGCCACCGCGCCCGGCCCTTATGTTTGATGAATAAATTGAGAAAATGGATAAACACAGTTGGGAAGTGCAATATTTTTAAAGAAAACTCCTGTAAAGTAGACCAACACTTTTGCAATAGTAATAATCCTTTATATTTGATCCCGTCTCACTAAGAGGCCTGGGCCCCTGACCCCTCTGACGTTTCCCCATCCCGGGTGCCGTGGGGCCTGCGGGCACCAGAAAGCCAGTGTCCCCGACAGGACGGCGCGCCCGCATCCTTCGCCTGGCCATTACCTCTTCTTCCTATCCCTCTTGTCCACGCCAGTGTCTCCAGGAACCAAGACGTGCTCCACCCCAGGGACGTCGCCCGACCGGGCAGCTCTGTGGAGCTCGCCAAGATCTTCCAGGCGGACATCGTGCTGGGGCTGGTCTAAGGCGCCCTCACCGTGCTTGCTCTCGCTGCCGACGCTGTTTTTCCACCAGCTGTAGGAGAAGCCCGAGGACCACTGGTCCCCCGGGTAGCCCAAGTACCACTGGTCCTCCTGGCTCCTGACGCTACCGGTTTTCCTCGTGGCGTAGACTGCCGGCTTCGGAGACCCCTCAGCCCCTCCCCGCTTTTCTCCACCCCAGGAGACCATCAGTAGCGAGCTACTGCCTCGGCCACAACCTCCCAGCAGGATAGCCCGCGGTTTCCAATCTGCGAAAGGAGGACCGCTAAGCCAGAAATGCCAAGCCAAGCGATCACTGCCACGCCAAGCCAAGCGACCACTGCCAAGCCAAGCAGCCACTGCAAAGCCTCGCGGGTAAGGCCAAGCCAATCCGTTACAGACTAGTGCGCCTGCCCACCTGTGACGTCACGGAACCTGTGACTTCACTGCAACTGCAGCTCCAGCCTCCCAGAAAAAGACTCCTTGGCCTGCACGTCGCGCTGCAGCTCCAGCCTCCCAGAAAAAGACTCCTTGGCCTGCAGGTGGCGCTGCAGCTCCAGCCTCCCAGAAAAAGACTTCTTGGCCTGCAGGTGGCGCTGCAGCTCCAGCGCCAACCTGGGCTGGCTGGTCCTCCCTCGGAGGTTTCGGGGTGGCGGCGCCCAGCCTGCCTGTCATGAGTGCCGCTTCACAGCGCCGCCGGCGCACCTGCTCCTAGGCTTGCTCGGTTCAGGGGTATGGGCCAGTTCCGCCCCCGGCTTGGCCACTGCAGCGAAGTTGCCCTAGGGTCCGCGCTGCCAGGACGCAAGCGGAGTCTGATGGCTGGGTCAGAGCGGCCTGTCAGCCCGGCTGGAAGGGCCTGCCCGACGCCGCTGCCCGCCCAGCTGCTACTCGGCCTGCGCCTGGAGCCAGGGACCAGCTCTGGGCATTCTGCTGCCTTAGGATGGGGCCGAGCAGCCGCTCCCCGCCCTGTGCCGCAGCCGCTGCGCGCATCTGCCCAGGGTCCGTGCAGCTGGCGACCCGGGCAGGTCGGGGAATGCCTGGTGCCACCGGGATTGCTCGCCTCTAGTCCGTCCTGACCCTTCAGCCCGCGAGCACCAGTGAGATTGAAGAAAAGTGACGGCCGGGCGCGGTGGCTCACACCTGTAATCCCAGCACTTTGGGAGGTTGAGGCGGGCAGATCACTTGAGGTCAGGAGTTTGAGGCCAGCCTGGCCAACATGGTGAAACCCTGTCTCTACTAAAAATACAAAAATTAGTTGGGCGTGGTGGTGCGCGCCTGTAGTCCCAGCTACTCCAGAGGCTGAGACAGGAGAATCGCTTGAACCCGGGAGGTGGATGTTGCAGTGAGCTGATATCGTGCCACCAAACTCCAGCCTGGGCGACAGAGCAAGACTCCGTCTCAAAAAAAGAAAGAAGGCAGGAGAGAACGAAGGAAAGAGAAGAAAAGAAGGAAGAAAGGAAGGAAGGAAGGAAGGAAGGGTGACAAAGAAGAATCTAGAGAGCACTCAAATACTAATTCTTGAGGACAATTAAGACAGATCGCATTATGAAAAACAGATTTTGTCACTGAAGCCTCAGGGCTTCAGCCTAGATCCTGCGCTGCTCACCCACAGAAAGCCAACCACTGAGATGAGTATTGCAAAGGAAGAAGGCTTTAATCAGATGCTGCAGCCGAGGAGATGGGAGCTCAGTCTCAAATCCCTCTCTCTGACCAACTAAAATTAGGGATTTTTAGTATAGCAAAGAAGAAATGTAACTATGTTTAAGAAAACATGAACTAGGAAGGGGTAAGGAAGCAATCATTTACAAAATATCTGTGGCCGGGCGCAGTGGCTCCCACCTGTAATCCCAGCACTTTGGGAGGCAGAGGCGGGTAGATCATGAGGTCAAGAGATCAAGACCATCCTGGCTAACATGGTGACCCCTTGTTCTCTACTAAAAATACAAAAATTAGTTGGGCGTGGTGGCACGTGCCTGTAGTCCCAGCTACTCGGGAGGCTGAGACAAAAGAATCGCTTGAACCCGGGAGGCGGAGGTTGCAGTGAGTCAAGATCGTGCCACTGTACTCCAGCCTGGCGACAGGGCTAGACTCCATCTCAAAAAAAAAAAAAAACCAGAAAAAGAAAAAAAGTATCTTCACCCTGCCTCCTCAATCTTGGCATAATTCCCCCTGCGAGTGGTTTCTGGGGTCTCAGTTGGCATTTAGTCACACATTGCACATATCGTGTGCACATCTGCACAGCTCAGCAGTGTCCTGGGTAGGCCTTGAAGGGTGATCTTCACGTAAGCCTGTGGCCTGAGCAAGAAAGCTGCACACGGGCAGCGGAGGAACCAGCAGGAGCCCAGTCCTCTGTGGAAAATTCCAGCACCACCCGCAAGAGCAGCTGCAGTGGAGACTGTGACCCGACAAGGATATATGCATGAAGATGCTGGTCTGAAAACAGACTCAGTTTAAGGGTGGCACTTTGAAAAAATATTGATAAATGTCAGTGAGAAAAAAATAATTAGAAACAAAATATATTTATTAGAAATATTACAGTCATTTATCATACACTTTCCTATGAATAGTTAAATACATCTAATTAGCATGTCATATCCAAAAGTGCTGGGTACAATCTAGTGTGCTCTTTATAGACACGAGGCCACAGATGTATCAACTACACTCAACTAATGTAGTTAAAGTTAGTGTGCTAAAAAAAAAAATTAGTGTGCTATTCAGGATGCTACAGATTTAGCAAAATTCTAACCTGGATCAGAGGAGTGAAATGCCCCGTGAATTGAGGCAACTGTAGATATTCGAAATGCTTCTAAAAAGGCTGTGAGGTTATGTCCTTTACTGCATGTCATTGGTAGGTCATCTCAAAATGGCACTCGAGCTTTGGAAGGGTGAGAACTATTGCTAGATTTGGTAGGGGGTCTGCATCTATGGGCCCGAGTCCTCCATCTCCACAAGCTGCCCCTCAGTGGGGAAGAGGAGGGGGAGGCTAAGGGAGTCTCCGTAACGTTTGTGGGCAGCAGGGAAGAGAACATGGCAGAGATTCCTCACCGCTGGATGGCTTGTCCCCTGGGGATGTGTGTTTTTATCTAACACCCACCTGCATCTACTTGGGTTGGTCTCTACAAAAGCTGTAAAACAAAAACTGAATGAAAAAGGAAAATAAAAGACTAATATTTTTGAAATGAGAAGGGGCTAGGACAAGAGAAGCTCCTGAGAATGTTATCCCCGCAGGGCGGGGGCCATGGGTTACCATCAGACAAGGAAAATTCAATCCATGTTCAATGCAGAGAACAGCGACTTCTCACCTTGAAAAACTCTCCAACTCTACTGGGGCTTGCATTTTGCAGCTGTCTTTCATGTAAAAATGATACATTAAAAAAAGGATCTTCAGAACAACTGAAGAATTTTAAATGACTACTGGCTGAGGGAAGATGGAAAGAAATGTGGCTGTTGTGGTCTTTGAAATCCTCAGGACAGAAACTGGGAATGGCACACTCTGCTGAGTATAGAAAAAATAAGATGCTGACCTTGTTTTCCTGCCAACTTTCCACCTTCACCTGGTGCTCTGAGCTCTGTTAAAAACAGACCTAAAAACCCTACCCCTTGGCCTAGCTGGGTTGGGGACTGCCTCCCCCAGGTCCTGCACCTCCACACGCCAGCGGATGGCTTGGGGGAGCCCTACTAGCTGCTGTGCTAGAAGGCCTATTCCTGGACTCCTGAGGCCATCAGTCACAGTTCCAGGACCCCAGCAGAACCTTCCCTTCCCCAAAACACCACCTGTATTTCTTTTTTTTGTGTGTGTGTGTGACAGGGTCTTGCTCTTTGGCCCAGGCCAGAGTGCAGTGGCACAAACACAGCTTACTGCAGCCTCAAACTCCTGGGCTCAAGTGATGCTCCCACCTCAGCCTCCCAAGCAGCTGAGATTACAGGTGCCTATCATTGTACCCAGCTAATTAAAAAACAAAATTTTGGGCCAGGCGCGGTGGCTTACCCCTGTAGTCCCAGCACTTTGGGAGGTTGAGGCAGGCTTATCACTTGAGGTCAGGAGTTCAAGACCAGCCTGGCCAACATGGTGAAACTGTTTCTACTAAAAATACAAAAATATGCCAGGCATGGTGGCATGTGCCTATAATCCCAGCTACTTAGGAGGCTAAGGCAGGAGAATCTCTTGAACCTGGGAGGCGGAAGTTGTAATAAGCCAAGATCACACTACTCTAGCCTGGGTGACAGAGAAGTGAGACGCTCTCTCAAAAAAAAAAAAAAAAAAAAATTTTTTTATAGAGTCAGAGGTCTTGCCATGTTGCCCAGGCTGGTCTCAAACTCCTGGGCTCAAGCAATCCTCCCACCTCAGCCTCCCAAAGTGCTGGGATTATAGGCATGAGCCACCATGCCTGACCACCATGTGTATTTCTATGGACAGGACATGGCATTCCTCTTCTACATGCACACCACTGGCAAATAAAAAAAAAAAAAATGGTAGTCGGGGAAACTCCTGGAGTTGTAAAAATAAATTGTACATGGCCTTTCATGTTTCTTTCCTTCTTTTTAACCTAAAGAGAGCAGGATACAGACAAAAATGGGGGAGTTTGGCCACAGTCATTGGCAACTTGGGCTCCCAGTGGAGAGGGGCTGGTATGGCCCCAGCGGGGAGGGAGGGACACCGCAACGCCATTGCTCAGAGCTGGTTCTAGATGATTTACACGTAATCACTCAAAATAGAGCCAATCACAGGCCAGGTGTGGTGGCTCACTCCTGAGTGAGCTGAAATCGCGCCACTGGCACTCCAGCCTGGGCGACAGAGCAAGACTCTGTCTCAAAAAAAAAAACAAACAAACAACAACAAAAAAAACACAAAAAAACAGCCGGGCTCAGTGGCTCATGCCTGTAATCCCAGCACTTTGGGAGGCTGAGGCAGGCAGATCACCTTGCCATCAGGAGTTCGAGACCAGCCGGGCCAACATGGTGAAACCCCCTCTTTACTAAAAATACAAAAACATTAGCTGGGTGTGGTGATGGGCACCTGTAATCCCAGCCACATGGGAGGCTGAGGCAGGAGAATCGCTTAAACACGGGCGGCGGAGGTTGCAGTGAGCTGAGACGGTGCTATTGCCCTCCAGCCTGGGCAATAAGGATGAAACTCCATCTCAAAATAAATAAGTAAAAATAAAAAACAGAACCAATCACAGAAAACACCCACTCCCACTCCGGGTATCCCAAGACAGCAACTGCCTCCCCACATAAAACCCTGGACTAATTCCAGCTTAAATCTAACAACCAACAGCTCAACTCAACTACTTGGGATATTACTTTCCCCCACTTTAATGGTGGGCAAAGAAGAAGTACAGGGTTAATAAAAAAAAAATGCTTCAAACAAGTGCCTGAATCAGCAGAAGTAGTAACTTTCAGGTTGAATTGGTTCTATGTGTCGAGTTTCATTTAAATACAAAGGCATGGGTGATGTAATGACCATCGCCCAACAGCTGCTCAGGAGCTCCCGCAGGCTGCCTGCCTTGTGGCTGCCAGGGGAAGGTGTCCACCCCTCAGTGGTTCTCCAAGCAGCTGTGCTTCAGTCGCCTAAAGAACTTACAAAACATGTGAACTGCATCTCTGGTCCCATTCCAGACATTCTGAAGTTAACCAACTAGGGCAGCCAAGAGTGTTTTCAAAAGGGTCCACTGTAGGTTCTGATGCAGAGCTGCAGCTGGGATGCACTAACAGGGGGGCGGAGTTCTTGTCTCAAGGTGGCTTGAGAATCAGGGATCTGCTGACCCGTGCAGCCCAGTTGCCACCTCTGCAAAGGTCTGGCTTGGAGGAAGGGACTGAGCTCCTACCTCTCCAGGAATGGTAAGGGGCTGGACCTGCAGCCTCTAGAACCTGGCTCTGAACCAGTGGCTCAGATCAGCAATCAGAGATGTACTTTGAATAGTAATGGCAGTCACTGTCATTCTCGGTGACTCACTGGAAGGATGATCCTTTGTTGGAGGGGCGCTAACACGCTATTTGGCACTTAAAACAGCAAGGGATGGGCATTACCCATTTCCCTCAAACAACTGTGTGAGCCACGCCCTCACTCGCTGTGTAGTGCACACAGATCCGCCCAGAAGAACACGGCAGAGCCACCAGATGGGCACTCGGGCCGGACTGAGCACTTCTGAGGGACTGGGGCACCGCTGGGGAGGGCTCTGCTGCCACTTAAGGTGACCAGTAGGATGCTGGGGCAACTGCATTCTTCTTTGTTAGTTATAAATGTGCCCTCACCGCCCACCCCTAAGGGCTTTTCCCATGCCGATGAAAGAGGCCTGGGGAAGCACTAAAGGCCAAATCAGTCCAGAGCCGAAATACTGTTGGGATTTGCTGTCAGCCCAGCATCCCCAGAGGCACACACCCTCAGCCTGCTCAACCCTGTAAAGCAGACACAGGCCATTCACACATGTGACCTCCTGTCAAGTTCTGTGGGGTACAAGCCTGTGTGGATGTGAACGGGAGGGTAAACGAATGGGAGGACAAAGGCGCAGGTGACGAGGACTGCGGTTTCCCTACTGTGAAAGCCGCGAGCTGCTCAGGAGCACACAGACTTTGGTGGCAGAGGTGTGGGGCACCTCCCAGGGACTCCAGCAAAGCAGCCAGGGGCTCCCTTGCATTCTCACAGGCTTTCCTTTTGCTACAATAAATCAAATAAGGGATGGTGAGAGCTAAAAGTGAATCAAGTTCCAGGTGTTAACATTGTTACCTAGAACTCCCATTTTTCCCCAAAAGGCTGAGTGCGCACGCACGTTTCCAGGTTGCCCTGGAACAAATGTTTATTTTTTGTGTTTTGTTGTTTTTTTTTGGGGGGGGAGGGGGGAAGGGAGGGTTCACAAGGGCAAAGTTTTGGGTTTTATCATTTTTTTGAGACAGGGTCTGGCTCTTTCACACAGGCTGGAGTGCAGTGGTATGCTCATAGCTCACTGCAGCCTCGAACTCCTGGGCTCAAACGATCCTACTGCCTTGGCTTCCTAAAGTGCTGGGATTACAGCCACGAGCTACCACACCCAGCCAAGGGCAAAGGTTTCATAAAGGCAAAGCCGGGATATTTTTAACAACAGCAACCAAAAGACTGATTTGGAGATGTTCTTTGTCTGAATTTCTGCAGATAATGTGTTCGTTCAGCCACCCAATATAATCAGCAAAACAAGCCTGGGTGTGGGGTCTTGGTCTGGAAGGAGGGAGGCTGCCCTCTTTAGAAGCATCCCACAAGAGATCAAAGAGTCCCCAATTTACAGTCCAGCTGCATTTGCATTTCAGACAGGTACATCGTGGGACCCACTCTGTTTCTTATTTGGGTGTTGGTCCACTTGGATTGAGCCTGTCTTTGAAGTCTAGGCAGCTGGGTGGTGGGCAGAGCAGGGTCAGTGGACAGTAATCAGGCGCTTCCAGGAAAAGCTGCAGTAGGTGGCAATGGTGGCTGCCCCAGGCCCTCCAGGGTTACGTCTCAAAGTACTTGTAGATTTGGGCCACGTACTGCATCACACTCTGCCAGTCGGGCCGGTCTGTGTACAGCATCTCGCTGAGTTCCTGCAGGGGAAGGGAATGGGGGACAGATCACAAGGCAGGACATCACAGACCCCTTCCCCTCAAGGACTTCAGTCCAGGTTAGGGCTTACACTGCCTGGAAACCCTCCACTTACACAGACAGAACGTGAAGGCCAGCACAGGTGGTGCTGAAAGCGATGAGTTAAAGGACTTTTCCTCCCACTTATTCAGGAGATACTGTCCCTTTCCAAAAACGGAAAACATGACCTCCCACTGCTTTTATCTTTTAACCATATGACAGCATTTAAACAAGTTTTAAAAAGCAAAAATCACCCATAATTTCACTATTAAAATGATTTCCAAGTTTCTAAATTACATTTGAATCCACCTCTAATTCCCCAGACTCCCAGCACACTGCACGCGCTATTACGTGGGCTGTGCCATTACGTGGGCTGAGCATTTCACACCCGGGTCCCCGTGCTGCTGTGCCACTGTGCGGGCTGCCATTCTAGTGAATGTGCACTCACCAGGGAAACTGCTGTCCACAAGGGACATGGCATCCAGTGTACGCTCACCTCGTGACCACCACAGACTCTGCAATCAGCATCTTTGTGCAGTATTGTTTCCTTCTGTCGAACTAGTCCCTCAAGATAAATTACTGAGTGGGATTATCACAAAAGCCTTGAACCAATTTCAAATGCAACCATTTATTTTACCAGCATTGTTACTACTTAATGTGTTTTTTTGTTTGTTTGTTATTTAATACAGTTTGGTGATTTTTTGGCTTATTTTTATTTTACTTTTGCTAATTTGCTGGTTTTTACTGACTGATTTATTTTTGTTCATTTTGCAAGTAAGCTTGTAATGAGCATGCATAACATCCAGGCCAGAAAGGGAGGGGCAAGAGGGTGGGCATCCTGTCAGGCACTCAAACTTTTCTGAAATTTGTGCCACTGGACATATTTAATAATTAACTTTGGGATTGAATTTGGATTCTGTGTGGTTAAAAGAGAATAGTAGGAAAGGACCCTGATGTAAAGCCAGAAGCAGAGATGCCATGGAAAAGTAAGGCTGAACTTAGCACATCAGTTCCTGGGGGTTAACAGAGTTGGCTGAGGCTGTTAATGAGCCATTCATCCCCTGATTCAAAATCTGAACAGACTTCACTTATTCTGCTCCCTGGTGATGCTAAAAAATTATCAGCCTATCATTAGTCATGGGAAAGGAGTGGAAGAAGAGTTGGTAGAACATTCCGTGCAGGTACACCTAGAACAATTTTAAAAGAAAAACAAACTTTCACAGAATACAAGAATAGAATGTCTCCTTCTACCTACACTGGCTGTAGTCATGACTGCACACAGACTGAGGCCTGGCAACCTAAAATCCGTACCAAGGAGTGTTGCTAACATGACTTACAGAAAGGAACTGATGAAGAATTGGGCATGCAATTTGGACATAGATGAGCTCTGGGAAAAGAAGGGATACCTACAAACACAAGAGAGATGGCACACTGCACACTTTCCTCTGTATTATGGAAAGGGTGTGTCTTTAATCTCAGAGAGGACTCCGAAGTCCAATCAATATTCAGTTTTGAGCAGACAATCTTACATGCTTGAACTTCATAACTGAACTAAAAATATTTAGTACATTGTTAACATATTTGAGAATTTGTGAAAAGATGTTATACATTTCAGAAGACAGAGTATGCTGCATTAGTAACAATCTTATAGTGCATGACATTTGTTTGAATTAGTAGTTAAGACCCTCCAAAAGATACCAGACCCAGATGATTTCACTTGTGAATTCTATCAAATACTTAAGGAAGAAATAATACCAATTCTACACAATCTCTTCAAAAAATGGAAGAGGAGAGAATAATTCCCAACTCATTCCAGGATCCCAACATTATCCTGATACCAAAACTAGACATAAACATTACAGGAAATCTACATGCCAATTTCTCATGAATACACAATCTATTAACCTATAAAAGTATAATACATCATGATCAAGTGAGGTTCATCCCAGGAACACAAGGCTGGTTCAACATTTGTAAACTGATGTAATTCGTCACATTAACTAACTGAACAAGAAAAACCATATGATCAAATCAACAGATGAAGAAAAAGCATTACACAAAATTCCACAATCAAGATAGTTTTTATAGGTGGTAACTCTCAACAAACTAGGAAGAGAAGGGAACCTCTTTTACCTAGCAAAGGATATGTATAAAAAACCAACAGCTGACATCATACTTAATGGTGAAAGACCTGAACATTCCCCCCGTAAAATCATGAACAAGGCAAGGATGTCCTTTCTCATCTGTCCTATTTAAAACTGTACTGGACTGTAATCCCAGCACTTTGGGAGGCCGAGGCGGGTGGATCACCTGAGGTCAGGAGTTCAAGGCAGGCCTGGCAAACATGTTGAAACTCCGTCTCTACTAAAAATACAAAAAAATTAGCCAGGCATGGTGACAGGTGTCTATAATCCCAGTTACTCAGGAGGCTGAGACAGGAGAATCACTTGAACCCAGGAGGCAGAGGTTGCAGTGAGCCGAGATCATGCCATTGCACCCCAGGCCTGGGTGACAGAGCAAGACTCCATCTCAAAAACAAAAACAAAAACAAAAACAAAAAAAAAATGTACTGGAAGTTCTAGCTAGTGCTAAACGGCATGAAAAAGAAACAAATGGCACGCAGATTGGAAAGGGAGACATAAAACTGCCTTTATTTGCAGATGATATGATTGTTTAGAAAAATCCCAAAGCATTTACATGCAGGTTTAGCTAAGTCTCAGGATACAAGGTCAGTATACAAAAGTCCATTGCTGTCCTATGTACCAATTGAACAACTGGATTTTGTAATAAGAAAAACAATAACATTTACAATAGCACCAAAAAAAAAAAAAAAAAAACCCCACTAAGGTCTAAATCTAACAAGGTATGTGCAGAAGGCAGACACAGCTGTCAGGGTGGTTGACGGCATGCGCTCTGGAGCTGCCTGCCTGGCCTTGCCTCTTGCCTTTCCCGCTCATAAGCCATGTGCCTCAGTTTCCTCTTATAGAGTGCATCCACCTTGCAGGACCTCCATGAGGGTCCAACAAGTCCTTGCATGAAAAATGCCCAAAATGGTAAATACATACAGTAAATATGAAAAACAAAATGCTTGTCACACAATCAAGCACAAATTAGCTATTTAAGCACAGCTCATTAAGTTTACACTTGCAGAGTAGGCCCAGCCATGCCTCAGGAATTGCTGCATGGTGACCTCCCTCCACGGGGGCATGCCAGCACCCAGTCCTGCAGCAGCTGTCCTGGTGGGCATGCTGGCACTCAGTGAGCAACAGCCCTCATGGACTACATGGCCTGGTAAAGACACAGCAGCCCTGGGGACACATGTTTTGGCCGTTTTTATGACAGTGACATCACATATCGTCCCTCGCCTAATTCCTTTTCTGGGGAGTTGCTTGCATCTGTAATTGGGCTGGCTAAGATGCTCTCCTTACACGGTGGCTGAGAAAGAACACTTTCTAATATCTGGGGAACACTATAGAGCTTCATTTTTAAAGATCTCATCATCTCACACCAGTCAGAATGGCTATTGATAGAACGTCAAAAAGTAACAGATGCTGACAAGGCTGTGGAGAAAAGGGAATACACTCTTGGTGGAAATGTAAATTAGTTCAGTTACTGTGGAAGGCACTTTGGAGATTTCTCAAAGAACTTAAAACAGAACTACCATTTGACTCAGCAATATCATTACTGGGTATATATCCAGAAGAAAAGAAATCGTTCTATCAAAAACACATGCACACTTATGTTCATCACAGTGCTAGTCACAATAGCAAAGACATGAAATCAACCTAGGTGTCCATCAACAGTAGACTGGATAAAGGGCCGGGCACAGTGGCTCATGCCTGTAATCCCAGCCCTTTGGGAGGCTGAGGTGGGTGGATCACCTGAGGTCAGGAGTTTGAGACCAGCCTGGCTAACATGATGAAACCCCATTTCTACTAAAAAAAATACAAAAAATTAGCTGGGCATGGTGGTGCGTGCCTATAATCCCAGCTACTCAGGAGGCTGAGGCAGAAGAATTGCTTGAACCCGGAAGTCGGAGGTTGCAGTGAGCCAAGATTGCACCATTGCACTCTATCTTGGGCAACAAGGCGAAATTCCATCTCAAAAAAAAAAAAAAAAAAAAGAAAAGGAGAAAGAAAACCAGTAGACTGGATAAAGAAAATGTGGTACATATATACCATGGAATACTATGCAGCCATAAAAAGAACAAAATCATGTCCTTTGCAGCAGCGTGGATTCAGCTAGGGGCCATTATCCTCAGCAAACTAATGCACAAACAGAAAACCAAATAAGACATGTTCTCACTTATAAATGGAGCTCAACATTGGGTAGTCATGGACATAAAGATGGGGACAGTAGACACTGGGGACTACAAGAGGGAGAAAGGAGGGAGGGAGGCAAGGGCTGAAAAACTATCGGCTACTATGTGCCTATCTGGGTGACAGGATCACTCATATCCCAAACCTCAGCATCATCCAGTGTACCCATGTAACAAACCTGTACATGTACTCCTTGAATCTAAAATAAAAGTTGAAATTATAAAAATAAAGATCTCATCCTAATATGTTATACCCCAGAAACTTATATTTACTTGAATATAAACATATAAGACAATTTTCCTGGCATAATCTAACAACAGAACTTGACTGAAGATTTGGGGATTACTGCTGTCACTTCTGACTGGGTGTAGTTTTAAAGTGTCATGTGTAATTCAACATACTGGATTTTCCAATCCACATCAAGGTACTGAAAAGCAAATTTAAGAATGTAGGAAATTTCTATTTTGTTGGTGGAAAAAGCCGGGAAAGTGCTCACAAACACTCCTAAGTGCCTTTGAGATTAATTATCATGTGTGTCAGCAGCTCCTCACAGACCA
Organism: Homo sapiens; assembly: GCF_000001405.40. Taxonomy (NCBI): domain Eukaryota; kingdom Metazoa; phylum Chordata; class Mammalia; order Primates; family Hominidae; genus Homo; species Homo sapiens. The sequence goes on along the minus strand of NC_000017.11, from coordinate 20,309,062 downwards.
TCCACACCAATGAAACCCCTGGCTCTGACAATTAGGACAACAAAATGACCTCATTCACTTCCCAGCTCACTAACTTCTATAGCACATTAGATGAAAATTAAGAAAAAGATATTATATTTAAACAGAAGTAAATATTAATTACAACACTACAAAGAAAAATGTATTCTGTGTAAAATATAATCTTCCAACAAGGTCTCATTGTATCTTTATCCTTACCTGATCTCTCTGTTGGTACTCCTTAGTTTTGTTGTTTCTGAAGGGAGATCCCTGCTACTCCACCCTGGTCAGATGTGTAAGTTTCCTCACACCTTTTTAAATTTCCCAGACTTGTAAATACACAATAGGGATATCTGCGTCTTAAAGATTTAGCAAAATCTGGGCTGATGGGGATATTTTTTCTTTGTGTGTGTGACTACATTTTAAAGCATAAATTCAACCTCTTCAATGGTTAAAGTTTTATGTCTTCTTAAGTTTCATAGGAATATTTACATTTAATATTTGAAGAAACATACTTGTATTTTTCTAGAAAACTGTCCATTCTGTTTCAAAATTACACTGGCATAGCACTGTTCATGGTGGTAAGATTTCACAATAGATGTACATTCACTTTTTCATTTCTCAGATTCCCCACATGCTTTGAGGGTTATGGAATTTTTTTTTTTTTTTTTTTTTTGAGATGGAGTTTCGCTCTTGTCACCCAGGCTGGAGTGCAATGGTGCAATCTTGGCTCACTGCAACCTCTGCCTCCTGGGTTCAAGCAATTCTCCTGCCTCAGCCTCCCGAGTAGCTGGGATTACAGGTGCCCGCCACCACACCTGGCCAATTTTGTGTATCTTTAGTAGGTACGGGCTTTCACAATGTTGGCCAGGCTGGTCTCAAACTCCTGACCTCAGGTGATCCACCCACCTCAGCCTCCCAAAGTGCTGGGATTACAGGTGTGGGCCACTGCACCCAGCTGGAATTGTTATCTCATTTTTATTTCAACTTAGATTTTCCCAATCCCTAATGAGATTGAACATCTTTAAAAATCCTCATTGACCATTCATCATCATCATCTGTGAATTTTCTCTTCTAGTCTTTGATAATTTCCTACTAGGTTGTATTTTTATTACTGGTGAGCAGAAATTTTTAATAGATTATCTGTCTTTGCTTTTTCTGTAGTTTCATTACAATATGTCTAGATGGATATTTTGTTTTATTCATCCTGCTTGAGATAAATAAAGAATCTGTGGACTCTTTCATTATCCTTTCATCATTCTGGAAAATTTTCAGGCATCATATCTTCAAATACTGTCTCCATTCCATTCTTTCTATCCTTTTCATCTGGAATTCCCTCTGGGCATGGGACATGGCCATTGTCTGATTTTTTTTGTCCCTGTCTCTTAAACTCTGAGACAGACACTATTATTTAGATAGCCCAACAGTCATTCCCAAGCTCTCTCCCTCGCAGGCTTCCCACTAAAGAAACTGAAAACTGTTCATATGCTCACTTCCTCAAATGCCCTTGCAGCTGGGGACCATGTAACAGAGTACTGCCAATGAGCTGGAGAAACCCAGGGAGCCTTTCACTTTCATTCTTTAAAGGGAAAGATAGGAGGCACTTGCTCTCTCTCTTCCCCTTCTTCCTGCCCTGTAGGTGGAAGTGATGTCTGAAGTTTGGCAGCCACCTTCAACCACAAAGAACAAGCATGGGGACAAAAGGAACAGATTAAAGATGGTGAGAATGGAGAGGAGACACTCTGGGGCTTTGATTACAATACTGAGTGGTGAACCAGTTCTAAAACTACTATTGTTAAGAAAATTAACATTTTTATGGTTTAAGCAACTGCTGGTTGGGTTTTCCATTTCTTGAAGCTGAACACATACTAATTCAACCTTACCATTATATTTTATATTTTTTAATGTCTCTTTTATATTTTGGGTGATCTCCCTGTATTTATTTTCCAATTTAGTATTTCTCTCTTCTGCTGTATCTAATGAGTTTGGCAACACATATTGTGGTCTTAATTCCAATTTTTCATTTCTAGAAGTGTTAGATTCTTTTTACAAATCTCTTTTTTAAATAGAATCATTCTTTCCTTGTGGTTTCTATTCCTCCTTTTATCTCTTTCATGTTTAAATAGTCTTTTGGTAGTCTCTTATTTATCATCTCAAGTTCTGGTAGATAATCCTTTTGTTTGCTATATCTGCTGACTAGCTCAAGTAGATCATTTTCTCAAGTGTTCTGTTACTTTTTAGCAGCCATTGTAGTATCAGCCCAGGGGCTTCCTGCATCTAAGAGTATACTAAGGGCTTCATGCAGCACAGATATTATAAATTTGGACTCTAAACCTCATCTGGCCCTGTTTCCTTTCCTTGCAAGAGACTCTCTCTCTTTTCTCTCTCTCCTTTTCCTCTCTCTGCGCGCACGTGCGCACACAATCCCAGGTGGAAACCAGCTTCCTTATCACCTCCCTGGGCTGGCTGGTGGAGTTTTAGAGATTTCTGCTTTCACTAAGAAGATCAGCATGTTGTGAGCCTTGGCTTTATGCAGGCTTGCTGCTTGCTTGGCCCACCATCCCCCACCCACCCCTGCCGAGTTTTGCAGGCTCAGTTGTGCCTGGTTTCTGCTTTGTTTTACATTTCTGGCATCTGGGTATTTCCCATTCTTTATTAAGAGCTTAGCTATGTGTTGATATTTTTTAACATAGCATTTTATTCAGATTTCTAGGTGTTCTGAACAAGAGGGCTCTAATAATAATTCAGTCCACTGTGTTTCCAGAACTGAAATTTGTCCATATGAAATCTTATGCGATTGAAAATCTCTAAATCATATGTTGATATGTGATTATATCAACTGGATAACTCTATATTAGGTATTGAGAGCAACAGACTTTCGGCAAACAGATGTCAATGTTCTACGAGAAACTGTTTATCAGATGGCATAAAGTCATTTCTCATACAATTAAAGTATCACAAGGATACAAAATAGGATACGTACCAGGCTGGGTTTGATGCCTACACTTTCAGCCGCTTCAAATGCCAACAAGAGATTCCTCTTCTAAGTTAAAAAGACAAAGAGACTGGAATCAGTAATTTAAAATATATAGCTTTTGCCAGGAAAGAATATCAACTGATATTCCCATATAGATTATTCACTATTATAAAGCGAAGAATAGTAAGTCAAGTGTACAATATTTGATCTCAGTTTAAGAAAAAAAAAAATCAACAGGTTGCAACTGCACCAAAACTAACATTACTGATTGACACCTATCAAAGATAAATTTTTGTTTACCTTTGTCAAGATTTAGGTAATTCATACTTTGCAAGATTTATGGCATAAACATTCTGTTGCATAACAAAGTTGCTTAATCATGATGCTATATCAAAAAAATTATCAAAGTAATAAATGCATATATTATAGTATATATAGATTGTATTTAAATCAAATGAAAACCTGTTCCTTCCTTCAATCCTGGTCCTTCAGAGAACTACCTTTCAATTTCTGTTTAGTTATGGATTATTTCCGTATCTCTGTAATATGCTAATACGACTACTACTTGATTTCTAAAATGAAGGCATTTTCTACTGACTTCCTCCAGGACATATGAGGACTCAGGCACCATGCATCTGCCTCCTCCTTACACTATAGACACATAGCTAATTTTAGTGCCCGTATTAATATTAGCTATGTTTGTGACCTTAAATAATATCCTTGAACTTCTATTTTTTGTCCCACTGGGTATGGACAACACTTCCTGACTCTACTTTGTATGTCAGGAGTAAATTACCCTTTCTTCCCTCCACCTGGTCAAGTTGTACATTGTCACAGCTGAGAACCTTTGCTTCCTTCCCTGGAAGCACATTTAAGTCCTCGGCGCTCTCTGACTAGAATGATTCTGGAAGCTGAAAACCACAAGCGGCATCACAGAAGCCAGCTGTGGGCACGTGTCCTCTACAGCTCCACCATCATGACCTGAGCCACTCAAAGCATCATTTAAAGGAGTTCCTCTGTTACTCTACCAGTCGCCCAAAATCACCCCACATTTTAGTGTGCCCCAGATTTGGACCCTGCCTTTCTTCAAAAGTTTGTTTTTTTCCTACAGTTTCTGCTTGTTTGGGGTTTTCCTTACTGGGAGGGGGGCTTTGTGCCTCCTTCTCATCTGGCCTCTTGCCCATTCTGACTGTTGCTTTTAAGTCCTAACATTCTCCTTGTGGCTGCCGCCATTCTATTCTGACACAGAGGGCCTGCCTCATAGTTGGACCCTGGCTTCCTCGCACAGTTTCTCATCTTCTCCTTTATCACAGCCTCGAGCTCTTAATCATCTCATCATTCTATGAAACCCTACAGCCCCAAGCCCTCCAGAACCTCACTGATTTTTGGATTTTACCCCCATTCTATTGCCTAGGTTCCTTCTTAAGAAAGAATATGGGGAGACACATTTTCTGGATGTATGAAAATTTCTCCTTTCTACCATCACGTTCAGTTAACAGGCTGGCTGGACAGGGAATCTGAGGCTGAAAATAATTTCCCCTTAGAATGTTAATGGTAGTGCTCCACAATCATTCAGCCCTAGTGTGTGGCTTCTTTTGGGGACTCTTCCTGGCTATTCTCTGATGTTTGTTCATCTAGATGAACCTAAGAATCATTTGTTCATGCTTCTCCCATTCCAAAATTCATTTCAAAATTATTAGGATTATATTAAAATTAAATTGTTATATTAAGTATAATTGAGATATAAATGTTTCTCTACATATTCAGTTTTAAGTTCCTCAGTGAAATTTCCTTTTTTTGAGATGGAATCTCGCCCTGTCACCCAGGCTGGAGTGTAGTGGCTTGAGCTCAGCTCACTGCAACCTCTGCCTCCCAGGTCCAAGTGATTCTCGTTTCTCAGTTACCTCAGTAGCTGAGATTATAGACATGCACCACCACACCTGGCTTTTTTTTTTTTTTTTTTTTTTTTTTGTATTTTTAGTAGAGAAGGGGTTTCGTCATGTTGACCAGGCTAGTTTCGAACTCCTGGGCTCAAGCGATCTGCCTACCTCAGCCTCCCAAAGTGCTGGGATTACAGGTGTGAGCTATGGCACCTGGCCATTATGTTCCTCAGTAGAATTTCTTAATTTTTTTTTTGAGATGGAGTCTCGCTGTGTCACCCAGGCTGGAGTGCAGTGGCACGATCTCGGCTCACTGCCACCTCTGCCTCTTGGGTTCAACCAGTTCCCTTGCCTCAGCCTCCCTAGTAGCTGGGACTACACGCGCCCACTACCACGCCTGGCTAATTTTTGTATTTTTAGTAGAGACAGGTTTTCACCACATTGGCCAGGCTGGTCTTGAACTCCTGACCTCAGGTGATCCGCCTGTCAAAGTCTTCCGAACTGCTGGGATTACAGACGTGAGCCACAGCACCTGTCCAAATTTCTTAATTTTGTATGTTTAGATTTTATACATAATTATGTATTTTAGATTTCATACATCATTTTATACCCTTTTCCATTTCCCCCACGGCTCTCACTCTCTACCCTTGCTTGAACATCTAGAGCCTGAAGCGACGGGTTTTCCCTGACACTGAAGCAAACTCTAGGCACCAGGTCACCAAAAAAACAGAAAGATGTAGCCACCACATTTTCTTCCAGTCTGTGGCCCATGCCTTGGAAAGCTGTTGATCTGTGGTGATCCTGCCCAAGCTGCCATGCCCCTTCCTTGAAATTAAAGGAAAGGAGCGGGCATGGGCTGGAAACTGCACACTTGTTACCCTAACACTACTCTGTTCTGCTGAGAGGGGAGCTGTGAACTCCTGGCTTCCTTCCATTTAGCCCAAATTAATGGCAGCAATCTCCTATTTTGGTGCTATTGAGGTCTTTGTGTTTACTTCAGTCCTTTTGGTTTTTAGCCAGTTTTTAGGCCACCATTATTCCAGAAGTCAAATATTTTATGGCTTTTAATATGTAATGCCAAACATTGCTTTCTAGAGCGTTACCCCAATTTTTGGCTCCAGCAATAGTGTATAAGTGGCTATTTTCCTGTACTGTCTCTGCCAAATGTATCAGGCTAAAAATATTTTATTGTTTTAATTTGTATTGATTACTAGTAAGGTCTAACGAGAAAGCATTTTTAAACTCAACGTTTTATGCAAAAACCTTCTAGTTTGATTCTAATGAAACCACTTGTTTTCTTTCCTCTTTTTTTTTTTTTTTTTTTTTTTTTAGATGGGCTCACTACTGCAGCCTCAAAATCCTGGGCTCAAGGGATCCCCCAGCCTCAGGCTCTGGAGTAGCTGGGATTACAGGCATGTTGCCACAACGCCTGGCACCGCTGTGTTTTCACAGTGTGCTGCATGCTGTTTCTTCTATGTTCAGTATCTGTTGTGAAAACACAAGCGGAGCAAGACGTGGTGGCAACATGCCTGTAATCCCAGCTACTCTGAAGCCTGAGGTGGGAGGATCCCTTGATGAAAAACTGTCTCAAAATACCCTGAAATAGTATACAGGGTGACATAGAATACAGAGAGGGGGTGGTTTTTTATTCACAACAGTAACTTTTATTCATTTTTGCAGCAGCAGAACATCTGTGACCAAGTGTTATTATCCCAATGCTCTTTCATTTGATCACTGTCACCACCACTGTGCAGAGGCCACCTGGGAGGCAGAAGCCACAGACAAGCAGCAGCTCCGAAGGGCCTCACTTCCCCCACGGGCTGTAAGCTTCAGATGCAGCTCAGCCCACAGGAGCCGGGCAGGGTGACGCCATCACTGCTTCAGTCTGCCCTGGTCGGGGGATGATGGTGCAGGCCTGGGACCTTCCAGTTCCAGGACAGCCTAAGTGCCCAACCTGTGGCAAAACTCTTAGTCACCAGCAGGGATTGAGGGGTTGGGCCCGTTGGGCCTCACACTCAAAACCGACGGGAGAAAGATGCCAATCCTAGAGTTCCCCCTCTCAGGGTCACACTTCATTCATTTCAGATACTGACATAAGCAAGGTCCAGTCCACTACCTGAGTCCGTCTGGACTAAGCAGAGAGTTGCAAAGGCGGACAAGTGAATGCCCTATCTTTTTACTGAAAACAATAAAAACAAAAATGGCTGGGCACAGTGATTCACCACTGTAATCCCAGAACTATTGGGAGGCCCAAGCGGGTGGATCACCTAAAGTCAGGAGTTTGAGACCAGCCTGACCAACATGATGAAACCCCATCTCTACTAAAAATATAAAAACTAGCCAGGTGTAGTGCCGTGTGCCTGTAGTCACAGCTACTCGAGAGGTTGAGGCAGGAGAATCGCTTGGACTTGGGAGGCGGAGGTTGCAGTGAGCTGAGATGGTACCACTGCGCTCCAGCCTGGGTGACAGAGTGAGACTCTGTCTCAAAACAGCAACAACAACAACAAAATGACAAAATCTTTCATGGACTGTAAATCGCACCCTGTGATCATATATCTCTTTACTATCATAGAAGACATGCTTGTTAGTTTTTATCAGAAATTCTCTACTTAATACCAATGTCAGACATAGTTTAATTGCTTCCATCCAGGTGGGGACACCTCATAATTTCTATACATTCTGGGCTATCAACAACTCTATCACATACTTTTTAGATTTTGATTTTAATAGTTTTACAAACATTAAAGGCTTCTCTTGGTGCCCTTTCTGATGTAAGTGTAAATTAAAAAAAAAAAAAAATGCCCTGGCACTGAGCACATAGGGGAACACGGCTCCAGGCTGGGGCTGGACACATGTGCCTCTCATCCTGATGACCCAAGGTATGTGCTGTATTCACATCCACTTGCTCCCTGTGAATCCCAGCTTCTAACACACTTTTAGGAAATCTTTCCTGCTCTTTCCCCTCTCTGCTCTAGTAAGATTCCCCCCGTGTGCTCAGTTTTATATGGTACGAGTCTGCCTGTTGGGATACGTTACTTTGAAAACCCACACCCGTAACTGTGATAGATATGGCCTCTCTCACCAAAAAGAACGCCAGCATCCCCCAGGGCAAGCCACACACCAAGAAGTGGCGAAATGTCACTGCAGCCACTGTGGCTCCTCCAGAGTGTGGCCAGGATGGGGCATTTAGGAAACAGGAGGCTGGTTGTTCCTTCAGAGAGTGGCAAACGGGCTGTAATTAGCAAATAAAATCCTAGGCTCTGGGACACAACCCAATTCAAGATTACTGTGAGGCCAAACAGATCCTAAAATGAAAAATTCCAGACATCCAGGGCTGACTCAGACTCTCATCACAGACCCACAGTCTTCCACACGCTGCCTTACACACTCCCTGGTGGTCGGGTGATTGGTCTGGGGAAGAAATTCAACCCTGCATGTAGGGAGCAGGGGCCTATACCATGGCCTCAGCCTGCCCCCACTGCATGCTGCCACGGCTGCGGGAGGCCTGGGCAGCTGGCGGAGCCTCTGCGCTCAGAATCGCAGAGACTAGGGCCAGACACAGGGGCTCTGGCCCAGGAGGCAAGGCTCACAATTTGGAGCCTGAGAACAAACACTTTTAGGTCCATAATTTTCCAATACAGCCATGCTGATTCAAGGACAAAGCAGCCAGTCTGTCTGGATGACTGCAGGGAGTGACGCACACACACTGTCAGGAGGACGTAGGTGTGTGCATGTGTGGGCTTCACCCAGCACAGTGTTAGAAAGGCCTTCTGACTATTTTCAGTGCTTTTATGCCCACTATTTCCTCAGTTATCTCTCCAACATCGTATCAGAAAAGCAGACACTAAGACATCAAGAGGGCAGGGAGGGAATAAATGCATAGATGACACCTGTGACCCGTGAGGCCGCTGAAGCCTGTGGCCCCAGCTCAGGCCACCTCTCTGGCTGCTCCTTCCTGGTCCCCTTTGCTGTGTCCTCCTCCTCTACCTCCACAACAAACACTGGGGTTCCCAGGTGTGTTCCTCGGTCCTCCCTCTGTATGCTTCCCTAAGACCAAGGGACTGGGTGCTCTCCTCCACTCTTAATGGCTTTAAATTCCATTTGTGCCCATGCTGTCCAACATGGCAGCCACACATGATGTGGTTATTTAACATGAAAATTGAAATTAAAAATTCAGTCTTCAGTCACATCTGCCACATTTCAAGTGCTCAAAAGCAGGTGTGGTTGGTGGTTGCCCTGTGGGCAGTGCAGATACACAACATTCCCATCATCCCAGGAACCTGCATTAGACAGCATGGATCTCTTCATGGACGACCCCCAGATCTGTGTTTCAAGCTCTGCTCTCCCATCCAGCTCCGGATTTGCTGTGCAATCGCCTGCCTGCCATCACCACCTGCATATTTCACAGCCCCTCAGACTTCACATGATTTAAATACAATCTTTCCCCCAGAATGTTTAATAATCCTGTACAGCCTGCTTCACAAACAAAGCACCCCACAGAAAAGTAATTTAAATATTTTAATACATTCTGTGATGGTTAATTGCATGTGTTAACTTGGATAGGCATGGCACCCAGATACTTGGCCAAATATTATTCTAGATGTTTCTGTGAAGGTTTTTTTTCTTTTCTTTTTTTTTTTTTTTTTTTTTTTTGAGACAGGGTCTCTGTCACCCAGGCTGGAGAGCAGTGGTACAATCATGGCTTGCTACAGCCTCAAACTCCCAGAGTCAAGTGATTCTCCCACCTCAGCCTCCTGAGTAGCTGGGATCTCAGATGTGCGCCACCAAGCTCAGCTAATTGAAAAAAAATTTTTTTTGTAGAAATGGAGGTCTGCCTATGTTGCCTAGGCTGGTCTTAAACTCCTGGGCTCAAGTGATCCTCCTGTCTCAGCCGCCCAAAGTGCTGGGATTACAAGTATGAGCCCCCACACATGGCCCAAGTTTAACATTTAAAGCAGGAGACTTTCGGCAAAGCAAATGACCCCAGTTAGTGTGGGTGGGCCTCATCTAATCAGGTGAAGGCCTTAAAAGAAAAGGCTAACCTCACTGAAGAAGAGGGAATTCCACCAGCAAATGGCCTTCACATTGGGACTGTAGTATCAGCTCTTCCCTGAGTCTCCAGCCTGCTGGCTTACCCTGCAGATGCTGGACTTGCTAGCTTCTATAATCTCGAGCTAGTTCCTTAGAATAAATCTCTCTCCCCAGCCCCCACCTCTCTCTCTCTCTCTCTCTACATACACACACACACACACACACACACTCTCTCTCTCTCTCTCTCTCTCTCTCTTTTGGTTCTGCTTTTTTGGAGAATTCTAACACCTTAAAAATTAAATTACTTTGCTCAGTTTTTGTCATTGCTATGATCCTTCTTTGTACTTTATTTAAATCCTGATGTGGGATAATCGAAACAGAGCTTTTAAACATATCTATGCCCTCCCCATCTCAGAAAATGGCCCTTTCAAACTAGACACCAGGGCGTCATCTTTGACTCCTTCCTCTCCTCCTCCCCTACAACCAATCTGTCACTAAATCCAGTTGATTCTGTCTGAGACATATTTCAAATCCTTCTATGTCTTTCCGTCTGCGTTGCTACCACCCTCATGGTTAGTGGGTGAGGCCAAACCAGAGCTGTGGGGAAGCTCTGTCGCCTCTCCCGCCCCAGACTCCCCAGATCAGCCCAGCTATGGGGGTCTGCCCCCTCCACTTCCCTGGATCAGCACAGCCTCTCTGGCCCCACTAACTGCATCCAGCCAACCAGCCTTCTTCCACGGCCTGGACAACACCAAGGTGTTCCCCAGCTGCTGCTGCTCCATAGCCCTGGCTCTGCACTGCTGCCTCCTCTACCTTCCAATGCCAGTTTGTTTTTCTTTTTTTTTTTGAGGAGTCTTGCTCTGTTGCCCAGGCTGAAGTGCAGTGGTGCGATCTGCCTCCCAGGTTCAAGCAATTCTCCTGCCTCAGCCTCCCAAGTAGCTGGGATTACAGGTGTGCACCACCATGCCCAGCTAATTTTTGTATTTTTAGTAGAGATGGAGTTTCACCATGTTGGGCAGGCTGGTCTTGAACTCCTGAACTCAAGTGATCCACCCGCTTCGGCCTCCCAAAGTACTGGGATTACAGGCGGGAGCCACTATGCCCAGCCCCAACACCAGTTCTGACATCACCGCTGCAGTCTCCCTGGTCTAAATGTGATCCCCGTCACTCTGTCTCACAGCACTGAGTTTCTCTCTGGGCTCTTAGACCACTTATCCTTGCTAATTTATAATTTTACTTGTTATAAGTCTACTCGCTTGCTTATTATCTGTCTAGCTCATGAGGGCATAGAACGTCTCTATTGTTGCCTGTTTTCTTATGATAGTGCCCGATGCTTGACAAGAAATTCTTGAGTGACCAACAGCGGGACCCAGCACAGTATTTTCCAAAGTATGCTCTGTGGGACATTTTGTAGGAGGTTCTAGGTCAGGGGTTGGCAAACTGCTGTCCCAAATCTGGCTCATAGCCTGTTTTTGTAAATAAAGGTTTGTTGGGACACAGCCATGCACATTCATTTACAAAGTGATCAATGGCCTCTTTAGCCCGATGGTAGAGTTGAACAGTTGTGACTGGACCACCTGACCCACTGAGTCTATTACGTGGCCCTTAACAGGGAAAATTTGCCAACCCTTGTTGTGTGATTGTAGTAAAACAAACAAATATAAGTAAAGAGGTTAAGTGGATCTGATCTATGCTGTGTTAAACAGTCACATAGATTTCTTAATGTAGGACTTCTTGAAGTCTTTAATGTGTTAACAGGCACCATGCTCTCTGAAAATGTGATGCAATATACAGTGTCCAAGACTTATTTGAACAGGGAATTCTTTTTGTTGGTGCTTGCTGGTTCTTTGGAATAGGCTTTGAAAAATGCTGGCCAAGGTCTTGAAACCATGAAGCTGAGATTCCTGAGAAGGGAAACTGAGGAAGATTTGCTGAGGATGGGATTCCACGGTGCAGTCAAACATTCAGGAGTTATCTGTACCTGGTATCAATATCCCAACTTCTACTTCAGGCCTGTAAGCCCCCTCCCACAGTGGGGTTTATCAATTAGGACTCCTGCATTTCTTAGAGGATAACCAAGGTGACAGGGCCATGACTTACTTTCTCCTGACTATTCAGCTCCTGGTAGGGGATGTGGGCAGGCAGGTAGGTGTGGAGCAGAGCACAGAAGGCCAGGCCATCGCTCCAGCTGCTGCTGAAATTGGTGATGTCAATGTTCTGCAGGAGAGAAAAGTAGTAATAAACAAGAACTATTGCAAACTGTGCAGTATCACAGATGAGGAAGATTGTGATAAGATGGGAATCTACACAAAATCAATGTGCAAAAATCACAAGCATTCCTATACACCAATAACAGACAGAGAGCCGAATTCACGAGTGAACTCTCATTCACAAATGCTACAAAGAGAGTAAAATACCTAGGAATCCAACTTACAAGGGATGTGAAGGACCTCTTCAAGGAGAACTACAAACAACTGCTCAACGAAATAAAAGAGGACACAAACAAATGGAAGAACATTCCATGCTCATGGATAGGAAGAATCAATATCATGAAAATGGCCATACTACCCAAGGTAATTTATAGATTCAATGCCATCCCCATCAAGCTACCAATGACTTTCTTCACAGAATTGGAAAAAACTACTTTAAAGTTCATATGGAACCAAAAATGAGCCTGCATTGCCAAGACAATCCTAAGCAAAAAGCACAAAGCTGGAGGCATCACGCTACCTGACTTCAAACTATACTCCAAGGCTACAGCAACCAAAACAGCATGGTACTGGTACCAAAACAGAGATGTAGACCAATGGAACAGCATAGAGCCCTCGGAAATAATACCACACATCTACAACCATCTGATCTTTGACAAACCTGACAAAAACAAGCAACGGGGAAAGGATTCCCTATTTAATAAATGGTGCTGGGAAAACTGGCTAGCCATATGTAGAAAGCTGAAACTGGATCCCTTCCTTACACCTTAGACAAAAATTAATTCAAGATGGATTAAAGACTTAAATGTTAGACCTAAAACCATAAAAACCCTAGAAGAAAACCTAGGCAATACCATTCAGGACATAGGCATGGGCAAGGACTTCATGTCTAAAACACCAAAAGCAATGGCAACAAAAGCCAAAATAGACAAATGAGATCTAATTAAACTAAAGAGTTTCTGCACAGCAAAAGAAACTGCCATCAGAGTGAACAGGCAACCTACAGAATGGGAGAAAATTTTTATAATCTACCCATCTGGCAAAGGGCTAATATCCAGAACCTACAAAGAACTTAAACAAATTTACAAGAAAAAATCAAACAACCCCATCAAAAAGTGGGCAAAGGATATGAACAGAAACTGCTCAAAAGAAGACATTTATGCTGCCAACAGACACATGAAACAATGCTCATCATCACTGGCCATCAGAGAAATGCAAATCAAAACCTCAATGAGATACCATCTCACACCAGTTAGAATGGTGATCATTAAAAAGTCAGGAAATAACAGGTGCTGGAGAAGATGTTGAGAAATAGGAACACTTTTACACTGTTGGTGGGACTGTAAACTAGTTCAACCATTGTGGAAGACAGTGTGGTGATTCCTCAAGGATCTAGAACTAGAAATACCATTTGACCCAGCCATCCCATTACTGGGCATATATCCAAAAGATTATAAATCACGCTGCTATAAAGACACATGCACACATATGTTTATTGCGGCACTAATCACTATAGCAAAGACCTGGAACCAACCCAAATGTCCATCAATGATAGACTGGATTAAGAAAATGTGGCACATGTACACCATCGAATACTATACAGCCATAAAAAGGATGAGTTCATGTCCTTTGTAGGGACATGGATGAAGCTGGAAACCATCATACTGAGTAAACTATCACAAGGACAGAAAACCAAACACTGCATGTTCTCACTCATAGGTGGGAACTAAACAATGAGAACACTTGGCCACAGGGTAGGGAACAACACACACCGGGGCCTGTCATGGGGTGGGGGGAGGGGGGAGGGATAGCATTAGGAGATATACCTAATGTAAATGATGAGTTAATGGGTGCAGGACACCAACATGGCACATGTATACTTATGTAACAAACCTGCACATTGTGCACATGTACCCCAGAACTTAAAGTATAATAATAATAATAATAATAATAGATGGGAATCTACCTTTGGATTTTTCAGTAAGGCAACATAAGAATAAACTTCCCAAATTTGCTCAGAGTACATTTTGTTTTGGTACCAGGAATGGCCTGGTGTTGCCCAAATCCATTCACAGAATAGTATTGAGGAAAAGCCTTCAGTGCTCAAAACAGTAGAGGATTTCTGTCCATCCCTCAGGAGAGTCATTAAAGGCTCAAAGATATCTTATTCTCAAATTAACCCACCTGATTAGTTTTGTACATGCCAGCATTTCCCAGACTTATTTGGTCAAGGAGGAATCACTACCACCACCACCATCATCAGTACCTTCATAACCATGACCATCATCCCCACCACCATCATCAGTACCTTCATAACCATGACCATCATCCCCACCACCGTCGTCATTACCTTCATAACCATGACCATCATCCCCACCACCGTCATCACTACCACCATCACCATCTCTGTATAACCCCAATTCGCAACAAGCAGACCAAGATGAGAAGGTCTTAAAGACCTACAAGACTGTCTCTGGATTGCTCTTCCTACCACACTCTTCTCCCCACAATGTAGGAGGCTTCTCAGGGGGAAAAGAAAACCCGTCCTGTTCAGCAGCCCCGTCAGCACACCAAACAAGCAGGGAGCATGAGGCTGCATGGGGAGAAAGAAGCTCCTCCATCGGGATGGGTGCAGCCCCCAGCAGCTGCTTGGTACACAGTGATAAGGAAACTAAAATCCAACTCTAGCTGGGCATGGTGGCTCACGCCTCTATTCCCAACACTTTGGAAGGCCGAGGCAAGTGGATCACCTGAGGTCAAGAGTTTGAGACCAGCTTAGCCAACATGGTTAAACCCCGTCTCTACTAAAAATACAAAAATGAGCCAGGTGTGGTGGTGGGCACCTGTAATCCCAGCTACTTGGGAGGCTGAGGCAGGCAAATGCCTTGAACCTGGAAGGCAGAGGTTGCAGTGAGCTGAGATTGCACCACTGCACTCCAGCCTAGGTGACATTCTGTCTCAAAAAAAACAAAAACAAAAAAAATTCAATTCTAAGTCCCTGCCCATCGAGATGGTGGCTTCTGAAGACTCCTGTACCGGTCCCCTAGGCCAGCTGGGGACTCCAGTGCATCCCCACCTCTTAGATCCTCAGTCCTGTCGGCCACCTGCTCACCCCAACAAGGTTTTCTTCCCTGGATCCACAAAGTTTGTCCCAAATGAAGCATCAAGTTCCCAAGCCTACTAAAGCTGGGAGCTCAGGTTGTTTAAGCAGGGGCCTTGCAAGAGATTGCAGAAGCGGGGCATAGCTTGGGCTTGGCTGAGTTTTAGGTCTGTGTTGGGTTTTGGGACAAGAAGAAATGGGCAAGTCTAGGGCTCCTTCCTGCACTCTCCCCACAGCCACTGAGGAGCTCTTCCTCTTCTTGCCCTGTCCTGGGAAATGTGAAGCCAGCAAAGTTGGAAAGCTGTGGTGGGTGCTGCCTCCCTCCCACAGGGTGGACACTGACCACTGTTTCCTCCCTCTGCCCAGATGGCCAAATGCAACCCTACAACAAGTTAACTCTCTGACTGCCCTGGGAAGGTCATTTAGGGTGTTTCTATCAGAATCAATTTGTAACTGAAAAGGAGAGGCAGGATGAAGAGAAATAATGCATGACATTAAGATGGAATAAGAGAAGGAGGTTTGATGGAACTCTCCTCAAAGTGTGTGTGAAGAGGTTCTGGAGAACATGCATAGGATGGAGATGTGTACTAAAATATGGTACCATGTTTCCTGTGAAGTTTCCTTAGGGTTCTGGAAGCAAATAATCTTAGGCAAAAAAAAAAAGCCTATAATCTCATTTAGGTTTTTATCTAGATTTCTTGAGGGTTATTTCAAGCTAGCCTGACCCTTAGCAATAAGGTTGGTCAAATATCTCATTTGAAACTGAGGTCAAAAGAGATGGTGTCACATGTCACATGTAGGGTTTACCTGAATGACATAGATACAAAGAATCTGTCCCTATCTTCCCAGCAAACCTCTTCTCAGTTCCAGTCAGCATCCAGGATGACCCTGGTGGGCCCCAGAATGTCCCCCAAAAGCACCGGCTTTCAGGAAGACAGTGTCCTGGAGTCTGCTTTGCAGTTACATTTCCCCAGCGAGGAGTATCTAGCTGAAAGCAACACACAACCATAATAACGTCTCTTCATCTTGGCTTTCACGACACAAGCACAGTCAACTTTCAGCAGTCGCTAAGCACACCAGCATTACGTAAAAGCCTGAGGATGCCTTTTGTTGGGAGGGCCCCATCTTGTAACTTCTGGGGCCACTGGGAAGCTGATCCTGTGGACTCTTGGCTTCAAAGTCTCTTTGGGTTCGACAGCTACCTGATGAAACCTGGACACTGCTTTAGAAATGGGGAAATGCTTTCATTTTACACTTTCTGAAGAGGTTTGTAGGTTACAGAGGCTGAGGTGAGCGGATCACCTGACGTCAGGAGTTCGAGACCAGCCTGGCCAATGTAGTGAAACCTCAACTCTACTAAAAATACAAAATTAGCTGGGCGTGGTGGCTGGTACCTGTAATCCCCGCTACTCAGGAGGCTGAGGCAGGAGAATTGCTTGAACCTGGGAGGTGGAGGTTGCAGTCAGCTGAGATAGCGCCACTGCACTCCAGCTGGGGTGCAGAGATTAACTCCGTCCCCCCCCCAAAAAAAAAGATGAAAAAACAGGCGGTGGTGGGGCAGTGGGGTGCCCCATCCAGTTCGCTGGAATCATTCAAACCAGATGTTATGGACATCAAACCCTGGGAAGGTGAAAACAAGGAGGGCCTCTAACAGAGGGTCTGGTTTCTGCTTTCCTCTTGGGAAGGGCAGAGAGCACTGTGGCCCCTGCCAGTACTCAGCTCCCCCTTCCTTCCTCTGCCACGCACAGGCTGGCTGCGACCCTATCTCCAAACCCATCTCTTGCACTGCTGACCTGGAAGAAAGCAAGCCAGGCTTTAGATCCAGAAACCCGTTTTGACGTTTACATTATGCTGATCTCAAGGCATCTGTGTACACAAGGCAAGTGCTTGCCCTGCCTGGAAGTGTTCTTTCCCAAGAGCAATGCTGACGGATACTAGATCGTTTCCAACAGAAAGACCACATTTTAAATAGAAAACCAAATGCTCAATGAGCAAGACCAAAGTCCTTTAAGTATGAGTCCCTTGGCTGGGTGCGGTAGCTCACGCTGTAACCCCAGAACTTTGGGAGGCCAATGCAGGCAGATCACTTGAGCTCAGGGGTTTGAGACCGGACAGGCCAACATGGTGAAATCCCATCTCTACTAAAAATACAAAAATTAGCTGGGTGTGGTGGCACATGCCTGTAGTTCCAGCTACTTGGGAGGCTGAAGCAGGAAGATCGTTTGAGCCCAGGATGCGGAGCTTGCAGTGAGCCAAGATCATGCCACTGCACTCCCGCCTGCATGACAGAGCAAAACCGTCTTTTAAAAAAAAAATGGTGGGCTGGGAAGGGCAGTGGCATTTGCTGAGTGCCTGTGATAAGCCTGTCACTGTGCATTTTCTCATTTACAGCCATGCACGGTGACTAGTGTTATACCCATTTTACAGATAAGAAAGCCAGAACAAAAAGAAATATTTCTAGCGCCAGAGTCAGGGCCAGAACGCCAGCTCCATTTGCCTCTGAAGCACATGTCCCATTTGCAGTGGACACTGCCAGCAGACCCTGCTGAAAGAGGCCCTGCAGCTTGCTCAATTCATGTCTTCGACAAGAGTGAAAGGAAAGGCTGAGGGTGGGAGAGGGCAGATTCTAGAGGAGTGAGTGGTGAAACTTTGATTCCTTCTTGTCAGTTAAAGAAACTAGAACCCCATTTTCTGAGGCCAGGCCAGGCCCACCAGGAACAGACTCTGGGGTGGATGGCACTGCTCTCTGCACTGGTGAATGCTACCGCCCCAAGGAACTTGTGCATCCAAACGGGCCAGGTTCTCCTTCTCACCCTTCCTCGCTCCCTTCCCAAATTCACTTTAACACTTGCTAAATCCTTCTTTTCCAAAAACATGAGAACATTATATACACACTTACATCTTCTATCATTTCTGATACAAAACAGCATTTTTCTTCATCTGCAAAATCTTCAGAAGCATTTGAGAGGTCAGATGGATCCGGAAGCTCAACAATGCCACCATCTCCCACAACCAAGAAGGCGCCCATATGCTAGTTCATTGAACACTGTCAAGAATAGTTTTTGGGCTCAGAGTGGTGGCCCAGAACTTTGGGAGGCCAAGGTGGGCAGATCACTTGAGGTTAGGAGTTCGAGACCAGCCTGGGCAACATGGTGAAACCTCACGTCTACCAAAAAAATTTAAAAATTAGCCAGGCATGGTGGTGTGTGCCTGTAATCCCAGCTATTCAGGAGGCTGAAGAGGGAGAATTGCTTGAACTCAGGAGGCAGAGGTTTCAGTGAGCAGAGATCATGCCACTACACTCCAGCCAGGGCAACAGAGTGAAACCCTGTCTCAAAAAAATAAATATAAAATACATAAAAATAAAAATCAGACAAGTGTGGTGGTGCATGTCTGTAGTTGCAGCTACTTGGGAAGCTGAGGTGGGAGACTCACTGGAGCCCTGGCATTCAAGGTGGCAGTGAGCCATGATCACACCAGCCTGGGTGACAGAGTGAGACTCTCTTTAAAAAAAAAAAAAAAAGTTATTTTTTTGTTTTCCTTGTGTAGGGTCCCTGCCAGTCTTCTCTGTATCATTTCCATGTTGGTATGTATGTTGCCAAAGTGACCACTAGTTCTTGATCTGTAACTATAAATGGGTCACAGGTTGAGACTAAAGTCTGGCAAGATCAAAGCCATGGTTGAAAAACCAAACAAAATGACTGAAACCCGCAGGAGAGCTCTGAGAGTCCAGTGCCTCAGGACAGACTGCACTGGTGGTGCTCTGGGGGCTCGGCCGTATTTGAATGCAGATCCTGGCACTGCAGCAGTGAGACCACAGAGAAACAACACAGGAAAAAGGAGAATGTGTACCATCTTAAAAAAGAATTATTATAAAAGTCCAAATCTAGTCAGGTAGACAAGCCCAAGCCCATGATCAGGAAACACTCTTCTTCTCTCTAAAAAGTTTCCCTGCCTCAGACTTTTTATTGCTGACGTTGGCAGAGGTAGAGGCCACCCAACTATGGTTTGTGACATAACACTCGCTCCAAGAACATTATACTCCTAAATAAAGACGTTCCCTTTCATCTCAGAGTGGAACAACCCCAACCGAGTCCCCTAGTTGCCATCTAAAATTATCTCTAATTCTAGCTGAGCATCAGGAGCACCAGCAACTCCCAGTCCAGTGCAGCTGGGGGACAATTCAAAGCCGTGTGCACTGTCATCCACAACGGCTGAACTAATTTACATTCCCACCAACAGTATAAAAGTGTTCCCTTTTTGGCCAGGCACAGTAGCTCACGCTTGTTAATCCCAGCACTTTTTGGGAGGCCTAGGCGGATGGATCACTTGAGGCCAGGAGTTTGAGACCAGCCTGGCCAACATGGTGAAACCCCATCTCTACTAAAAATACAAAAAATTAGCCAGGCATGGTGGTGTGCACCTATAGTACCAGCTACTTGGGAGGCTGAGGCAGGAGAATCACTTGAACCCAGGAGGCAGAGGTTGCACTGAGCCTAGATGGCGCCCCTGCCCTCTAGCCTGGACATCAGAGCAAGACTCCATCTGATATGGTCTGGCTGTGTCCCCACCCAAATCTCAACTTGAATTGTATTTCCCAGAATTCTCAAGTGTTGTGGGAGGGACCCAGGGGGAGGTAACTGAATCATGGGGGCCAGTCTTTCCCATGCTATTCTCGTGATAGTGAATAAGTCTCACAACATCTCATGAGTTTATCAGGGGTTTCCACTTTTGCTTCTGTCCTCTTTTTCTCTTGCCACCACCACCATGTAAGAAGTGCCTTTCAGCCAGGCACGGCGGCTCATGCCTATAATCCCAGCACTTTGGGAGGCTGAGATGGGTGGATCACGAGGTCAGGAGTTCAAGACTAGCCTGGCCAAGATGGTGAAATCCCATCTCTACTAAAAATACAAAAATTAGCCGGGCACGGTGGCAGGCGCCTGTAATCCCAGCTACTCAGGAGGCTGAGGCAGGAGAATCACTTGAACCCGGGGGGGCGGAGGTTGCAGTTAGCCGAGATCGCACCACTGCACTCCAGCCTGGGCAACAGAGTGAGACTCCGTCTTGGGACAAAAAAAAAAAAAAAAAAAAAAAAAGAAGTGCCCTTCACCTCCTGCCATGATTCTGAGGCCTCCCCAGCAATGTGAAACTGTAAGTCCAATTAATCCTCTTTTTCTTCCCAGTCTCAGGTATGTCTTTATCAACAGCATGATAATGGACTAATATACCGTCTCAAAAAAGAAAAAAAAGTGTTCATTTTTCTCTGCAACCTCGCCAGCATCTGTTGTTTCTTGACTTTTTAATAATCGCCATTCTGGCTGGTGTGACATGGTATCTCACTGTGATTTTGCTTTACATTTCTCTAATGATCAGTGATGTTGAGGTTTTTTTCATATATTTGTTGGCTACATAAATGTCTTCTTTTGAGAAGTGTCTGTTCATGTCCTTTGCCCACTTTTTAATGGGGATGTTGTTTTTTTTTCTTCTAAATTTGTTTAAGTTCCTTGTAGTCCTCAAAGATCTAGAAGAAAAACCATTTGACCCAGCAATCCTATTAGTGGTTATATACCCAAATGAATATAAATCCTTCTATTATAAAGATACATGCACACGTTATGTCCACTGCAGCACCATTCACAATAGCACAGTCAAGGAATCAACCCAAATGCCCATCAGTGATAGACTGAATAAAGAAAATGTGGTACATATACACCATACTATGCAGCCATAAAAAAACAAGATCATGTCCTTTGCAGGGACATGGATGGAGCTGGAAGCCCCTTTCCTCAGCAAACTAGTACAGAAACAGAAAACCAAACAAAGTATGTTCTCATTTATAAGTGGAAGGTGAACAAATGAGAACACATGGACACATGGAGAGAAACAACATACACTAAGGCCTATTGGGGGTGGGGGAGGGAGAGCATCAGGAAGAATCACTAATGTATGTTGAGCTTAATACCTAGGTGATGGGTTGATCTATGCAGCAAACCACCATGGCACACCTATGTAACAAACCTGCACATCCTGCACATGTACCCTGAAATTTTAAAATAAAAGTTGATTTAAAAAAAGAACTAAAATAATTAAATTTCTCAGAAATAAAACAAAAAAAAAAAGCTATGTGTACTTAGGCCTTACTCAGACATAAGGCCAAGCAGCAACCTGCAGAGCCCTGTGCACCTCAGAGGCTGCTCTGCTGCTGTGCTTACAACAAAAGTGGCTTCCTTTCCAGTAACTGGGGTGTGCTTTCATGAGCTCTAAGGTGTATTTTCAGGAACGAGGGGGTCAGTATCAATGTGGCACAACTGGTATCATTCACACTTTCCACATGGATGGAAGATGACTTGCAGAAAAGAGATGAATTGAGTTATGCTTTATCAGAGCTCTCAGTTCATTCAAAGCCATGTCATTTTTTTTTTTTTTTTTTTTTTTTTTTTTTTTGAGACGGAGTCTCGCTCTGTCGCCCAGGCCGGACTGCGGACTGCAGTGGCGCAATCTCGGCTCACTGCAAGCTCCGCTTCCCGGGTTCACGCCATTCTCCTGCCTCAGCCTCCCGAGTAGCTGGGACTACAGGCGCCCGCCACCGCGCCCGGCTAATTTTTTGTATTTTTCGTAGAGACGGGGTTTCACCTTGTTAGCCAGGATGGTCTCGATATCCTGACCTCATGATCCACCCGCCTCGGCCTCCCAAAGTGCTGGGATTACAGGCGTGAGCACCCGCGCCCGGCCAAAGCCATGTCATTTAAATTACTGTTCCCTTGCAGACCACGTACAGAGGCTATGAGCTATGCAGTGTGTTGCACCCTCATCAGCAGAGCCCAGGGGAGGCAGGGGAGGCTGCTGACGGCAGCCGATGGCCTAAGGAGTGCAAGGGGATCAGTCCTCCAGGAGCCAGGACTTTCTTGGGGCTAGCACAGTTTCCAGGAGCTCCTGCAGCCTGGGCCCTGGGGGCCAGTTCGTGGGGGTTGGAGGGAAGAGGCAGGCAGCAGCGATGGGATCATGCCATCATTCACCAGTCTCTTGGGGGCTGGTTTCCTGGACTGGAAAAGCATCCAGCCCTGGGCAGCCAGGAGCTAGGCAAGGTCTGTGGGTCCCAGGTAGGTGGGTTAAGATCCAGTCCCACTGCAGTGACCAGAGAGGTCAAGGAAGCCATGGCAGCAAGGTACTCGTGTGGGCAGGGCCAATATACTGGGCACCAGGCAGAAAAACAGCAGTTTGTGGGACATGGGTGGCCGGGCAAGTCCTAGGCACCCCAGGGAGCAAGCTGAGAACTCACTCCAGGACCTACCCCTGGATGGAGGTGAAAAGTCTCATTTTTGGCGAGGGGATGACTAGAGCTGGCACAGGCCTTAAAGTAGAGAGGGGTGAAATCTGGCTGAGCTGCTGCGCGACAGTCCTCAATGCTCACAGAAGCAGCCAAAACTAAGAAGAAACACAGACCACCCCAGGGATGTTAGTATGGTAAGGTCTTTTCCCAAGGACCACTCATCTGAGACTCAGAGGTTCATCAAAAGAACCATGAGAAGAAAATGAAAAGCAGCCCAGCAGGCATTCTGTAGGCTGTTACCTTCTGGTATTTTCCTTGATATTCATCCCTGAATAAAACGGACTAGGATCATTGTTATCCTTGAGTGGAAGCTGGTAACCAGGGGAACATGAAGAGGATTCTGGGGGGCTGAATGCTGTGCTTTCTAGACCTGGGTCACCTCGTGAGCATCCCCCATGCACATGTGTATGTTATACCTCAATTAAAAAGGAGGTCATGTGCGATGGCTCACAAATCCCAGCACTTTGGGAGGCCGAGGCAGGAGGTGCTTAAGCCCAAGAGCTCAAGACTAGCCTGGGCAACATGGCGGGACCCTGTCTCTACAAAAAATGTAAAAATTAGCCAGGCATGATAGTGCATGCCTATAATCCCAGCTACTGGGAAGGCTGAGGCAGGAGAATCACTTGAGCCTGGGGAGACTGGGGCTGCAGTGAGCCATGATCAAATCACTTCACTCCAACCTGGGTGGTAGAGCGAGACCCTATCAAAAAAAAAAAAAGGAAGGAAGGAAGAAAGAAAGGGAGGGAGGGAAGGGGAGAGAGAAGGAGGGAGGACAGGGAGGGGGAGGGAAGAAGGAAACAAGGAGGGAAGGACCCTGATTGTCTTAAGGGGCTAGAGTGTGGTGTCCACTCTGAACACTAACATTTGGAATTTATGTACAAGATTTTTGGGGAGGAAAAAGTGGAGCAAAAACAGAAAGAAACTTGCTGATTATTTTTACCCAGGGAAATGCTAGTTACTAATTACAAATTAACTTTTCCCAGGATATAAATACTTTAGCAATATTTCTGAGTGGAATATGGAACTTTTTGATGAAAGTCTTAGATGTTTAATAAAAGGGTAACAGTCCAACCATCTCCAAAACTGGTTATAGGTCTCTAGGAGGGTTTAGGAAAAAAAAAAAGTAAGATACAGAATTTTGTCCACCTCAATGAAGCAAAAGTCATTTGAGAAAAATGAAGACATTGAATTACACATGGGAAGGTAAAAATCTAATTTTAGTGCATATCCAAGAATATCTTCCCAGAGTGTTGAGGTTGTACTAAAGTTGCAGACGGGGGAATGTAGAGACAGCACTCATGAATAACGCAGCAGGACAGGGCAAAGCAAAACCACACAGCCTGCGCATTTGCTTCTAGAAGATGCTTTCGCTTGCCTTGGTTGCCTGGTTACTTGCCTTGCCTTGGTTATTAACATTTGGTAAAAAACATCAATCACTGGGGGGACAAGCTGCAGGGTACACACTGAATTGTGTACTGTGCTAAATTCAATCGAGGACACAGCTGGATTCCGTGGCTGCATTCCCAGTACTTCTTTACCTTCACCAAGGACCTCCAGGTGCCTCCATGAGGTGTCTGTGAATGAACTGACTCTGTGTACACTAACTGCAAAAGTCAAAAAGAAAAAAGCAAAGCTTCTTGGGAAAAAGGCAGGAGACTGATTAGAAAATGCTGTACATTCATTCTTGCAGGAACCAGCTGTCTCAGGCTCATGGTGATCTAAACAGTCTCACTCCCTGAATCTCTCTGGGGTTTTCCCAATTGGTCTTTATTATCACAGCTGTGGAATCAGATTGAGTTTTTAGTTTTTGGAAAGTTTAACAGTTTACAGATCACAGAGGATAAAAGCAGCTCATTCCTCACTGGAGCTCAGCATGTGCAATAAAAGCCCAGGGAGGATCACACTTACTTTGAAGGTCTGGTCAGAGAGGATACAAAGCAAATGCACACATAACATTTCATGTGAAATCTCAGCAAATGCAGCCTGTGCTCCTTCCCTGCCGTGCATTCAGTGTTCGGTCCTTGCCTGGGACAAGTGTACACACACATCCAGTTTTAGTACCTCTGTTCTGATCTCAGACTATCTGGTAAACCTCGAGTGGCCTCGTCCTGCACACGGACAGCACAACCCTTGGCCATGACTTGTGGAGACCTGCACATAGACTCCTGGGCCCCCTATCTTCACAGCATCCTCCTTTCTGATGCCCCATTCCATAAAATGTGCAGCTTTGGCTGCCCCTCTCTGATCACCGCCTCCTCAGCCAGTGGGGCTGCTGTGCTCTGCTCAGAGGCCAGCTCCCTGCACTGGGAAGTGGATATTGTTCCCAGGCAGAGAGCTGGTGAGCTGGCCATCACTGCAGGAGTTTCCCTTCTCCCAGGGATTAGTCTCGCATCGCTTGTTTCCTAGAGATGAGTTCCAGATGGCTAAGCTTAAAAACCAAAATTATAACATTATAAAAAGAAAAATATAGAAGAATAGGCTTATAATCCTGGGGAAAGAAAGCCATCTAAGGCACAAAATGCAAAAAGTATAAAGGAAAGGATTAAGAAATCTGACTTAAAGAAAGTTTCTATATGACAAAATTAAAACCAATATATGTATAGCAAACGACTAATACTCAAAATATATTCCTGTAATCAATAAGAAAGAGGACAGACATGGTAGCTCATGCCTATAATCCTAGCACTTTGAGAGGTTGAGGCAAGTGGATCGCTCGAGGCCAGGGGTTTGAGAACAGTCTGGGAAACATGGCGAAACCTCATCTCTACCAAAAAAATACAAAAATTAGCCAAATGTGGTGGCATGCAGCTGTAGTCCCAGCTACTTGGGAGGCTGAGGTGGGAGGACTGCTTGAGCTCAGGAGGCAGAGGTTGAGGTGAGCCAAGATCGTGCCACTACACTCCAGCCAGGGTGACAGAGCAAGACTCTGTCTCAAAGAAAAAGACAAACAACTCAAGTAAAAATTGGCAGAGAAATGAACCTGTAATGTACTGAAGAGGAAATACAAATAGTCTGAAATGTATGAAAAGATGTTCAGTCTCACCAGAAAATAAAAACGGTAAAATATCATTTTCACTCATCAAACTGGCAAAAATTAAAGACATTTAATTCATAAGGTTAATGAAGATGTTATTGTAATCCACTGTTTCGGGGTGGTTTGCTCTACAGCTACAGACAATCAGAATGCCTGAAGTGACTTCTTTTATATTTGCTGCAAAGGGCAAGTCACATCTCTGGCAGCGGAAAGCTACCTTTTGTCCCTCATGGAATAACTCTGGGATTCCTTGGAATGCCTTTCCATTTCTGCTCCTGTTCATATTATTGCTTTAATCTTTTTTGTTTGTTTGTTTTTCTAAGATAGGGTCTGGCTCTGCTGCCCAGGTTGGAGTGCAATAGTGTGATCAGGGCTCACTGTAGCCTCAATCTCCTGTGCTCAAGTGATCCTCCCACCTCAGCCTCCAGAGTAGCTGGGACTACAGGTGGAAGCCACCATGCCTGGCTAATTTTTTTTTTCATCTTTTCTTAGAGATGGGGTCTCACTATGTTGCCCAGGCTGGTCTTGAACTCCCGAGGTCAAGCAATCCTCCTGCCTCAGCCTCTGAAAGTGCTGGGATTACAGGCGTGAGCCACTGCACGCACCCAGCCAATTATTTATTTTTCTACTTTAGATTTTATATGGCTCATTATCTCCCAAATCAAATCTGACAACTTCTACTTATCTTTTAAGATTTAAAAAAATGCAGACCTCCTCAACCCGTTCAAGTCAGTGTCATTACTATTCTGAAACATGAGCTGCAGGGGCCATGCTCATGGCTGTTTCCACTGTGTCTTTGCTTCTGCAACGCTACGGTGGGCAGAATGACGTGTGAAGGGGGTCTCCTCTGCCGTGGCTTCATTGCACCTTTCCAGTCAGGCAGGGCAACCCACTTTCATCAGCACTCTTTCTCTAAACTTTTTTGGCTCTTCTTAGTTGCTTATTCTTCCAGGTGAATTTTTAATTACTTTGTTAAGTTCAAGAATAAAGAAAGTCTGTTGGGATTTTAATCGGAATTGCATTAAATTTAGAGACTAATTTGGAATAATTCACTTTTTAAATGTTCCTCCCACTCTTTTATCCACACTGAAAGCACCGAGGGTTTGAGACTGCGAAAATGGAGACAGCGGCCACGGTGAGCTGGTGCAGGAAGCAGCGCCCTTCCCTTTACTCCTCTGTGGACAAGAGCCTTCCTATGGCGAGAGGACGGCTGTGTCCCAGAGATGTTCAGGCAGATGCTGCACAGTCCCTCCCTGGAGACAGAATCACAGAAGATACACATCTCAGGAGCAGCTGGGGCCCTGTCTTTCTTGCTTCCTCCATTTTCACTTGACAAACACTCAGAAGTCCCCACCCACGGCGTTTCTTCCCCGAGGTTAACTGGCTTTGGCATTGTGACACAGGGTCTGGTTGCCTTGCAAGCATGGGCCTGCGGCCAACACCTCCTGCCCCCTGGCTGGGTCCACTTCCTCCAGCCCAACAGCAGTTCCACTGGCAGTGCTAGCCTCACACAGCACCCGAACGCAGGCGAAGCCCCGCGGCTCAGCAGGGGCCTCCCAGTTCTTCCTTGGCGTCCTGAGAACAGGTCTTCTCTGTGCCCTCACCTCGGATCCCAGATGATTCCCTGCCATCTTCTGACCCCTAGGACCATGCTCAGGCCTCTGGGGAAACACTTCCCTGGAATTTTCTTTCCTCTTCTGCCTTTCTGTTAAGTTGGCTACCTCATTTTCATTAATTCCACTCTTCCTCCTTGCTTGCTGCTTCTAAAAAAGGTCATGGTCATGCATAGCTCTGCTGGCTCCTCTCCTCCTGGAGTCACCCAGGCTCAGTGGACTAGCAGCCCCCTGAAGCCCCATTCTGCTCCTTGCTGAGTGTTTACCTGTGTCCAGCAGCTCCCTCAAGGAAATGTTGGAGAAATCTCCTCATGAGCCATCTGCACAACTCACTAGCGGTTCAGCCCTCGAGGCTGGGAGTAGAGTCCACACAAACATTTCCAAAGCCCTCCATGTGTGAGGCGCTGAGGAGTACACCGCAGGGAAGCATGGTCCTACCATGGTTCACCCATGCTGTGGTGCAGGCAGGCAGGACAGCCTGAGCCTGGGGTGTGCAGGAGGCAGGATGAACTCTGGGGCTTCAGGAAAGGGCGAGCCACTGCAAGATTCCTCATGGAGTTCTGGGAGCCCAGGAGACAAAAGTCTGGTTCTTTCTTTCTTTTATAGTAAGTCCTCACTTAATGTTGGGAGGTTCTTGGACACTGTAACATTAAGTGAAATGGTGACACGCTGTATAACAAAACCAGTTTCACCGCAGGCTAATTGACATGGGCCAGAGTTGAGTTCCCATGGCTTACAGCACATGGTTTCACCCAAAGCCGCCATTTCCAGGAACCGACCGGCCATGCTAAGAACTGAGCTGACATCAGATTGAATGAAGCCCCTGGCAAACGAGAATGTCCGATGCTCTAAAGAGGAACAAACCAAACCAAACTGTGACCCGCTCCTTCCTCCTCACACTAACGCAGCTGAATATGACTTTAGGAAAGTGACTCAACTTTTCTGCCTTAAGTTTCCTCATCTCTCAAATGAAGTGGCTAGATTAAATTAGTGGTTCTGAAATAAACAGTTATGAAACCCGTTCTTCCAATGATGCTTCTGCAGAAGGTTTTTTAAAAGTAGGGATTGCAAACCACAAAATCCGGTGATCTTTTCTTTAACATCCATCTGTCTATATTCTACCTTGCATTGCCCCATACGACAGCCACCAGCCCCATGTGGCTGTTTAAATTAGTTAAAATTAAATAATATCAAAATTCCATTTCTCAGTCACATTAGGAATCTTTTAAGTGCTCAGCAGCCACCTGTGGCTACAGGATTGGCCAGCACAGATATAGAACATTCCCATCATCACAGAGGGTTCTACAGGACAGTGCTGTCTTGCACTTATGCAAACATGCATGTGTATTTCCCCCTTTTATGCAGATGGTGGCATGTTCTGCACCCTTACCAAGATATATAGAGCTAGGTCCTTCACGACATCTGGATGAACAGTTTCAGTGTAGAGACCAAGGGACTGGATGCTGGGCCCAACAGCAGGAGTTCAGTCCCAGCTCTATCCCTTACTAGGGTGTGACTCTGAGCAGTCATGGAGCCTCTTGCTGCCTTAGTTTTGTATTTGTAAAATGGATACAAAATGCCTAACTCATGAGATTGTGGTCAAGATTAGATGCACTTAGACAATGTCGGTCACGTGGTAAATATTTTGTCACTGCTAGCTTTACTTCCATCACCATTCGCTACTTTGTTCTCTGACGACACATGCAGGTCCATCACATGGATGGAGACAGCAGCCCGTTTAGGTTGTTTCCAGTTTTCTGTTATCACAAACAGTACTGCGATAATTGTCCTCCCATGCACCTCTCTGCACACAGGTGGAATCCATTTTGATGGATTCTGCCAAATTGCCCTCAAAGAGGTTCTTCCACCTTAAACTCCACCTCCCAACAACACACATGCGACTATGTTCCTCCACCACACAGCACGTGCCCTTTGGTGATGGGCTGATTTCACTCACTGAAGCATCCTCAGACCCATCTGTGTTGCAGCGTGTGTCAGCCACTCTGCTTCTGCATCCATCTGTCCACCTTCTCCTCTCCATATCCCAACCCCCATCCTAGTTCAGGAGTTGTGGTCTTCCTCATGTCTTCCAAAACCACAGCTCTGGCTGGGAGACCACCTGTCACCATGGTTTTTAAACCCTTTCTGACTCTGTAGTCAGCAGAATTAGAATTGTACTAAGAAAATAATATGCAATAACTGAAAAATTGATTATAAGGAATTTTGTTCCAAGATCAAGTTTAGTTTATACTAGAAAAGTAACCTTCAAGGCTGGGCGCGGTGGCTCATACCTGTAATCCCAACACTTTGGGAGGCCAAGGCAGGCGGATCACCTGAGGTCGGGAGTTCAAGATCAGCCTGACCAACATGGAGAAACCCTTTCTCTACTAAAAATACAAAATTAGCCGGGCATGGTGGCGCATGCCTGCAATCCCAGCTACTCGGGAGGCTGAGGCAGGAGAATCGCTTGAACCCAGGGGGCAGAGGTTGCAGTGAGCTGAGATCGCACCATTGCACTCCAGCCTGGGCAACAAGGGAGAAACTCCATCTCAGAAAAAAAAAAAAAAGAAAAAAAAAAAAAGAAAGAAAAGTAACCTTCAACTCCGTTAACCTTCTACCCTCAGAAAGACTGAATTCAGCCTGTGAAATCATAAGTGTCTTGCCATGAAATTACTTCTTTTTCCCAAATGAACATTTCACGAGTAAGAGAATGGAAAAAATGCTCAGTGCAGATTCACCTGGGACTGTGATTATCTAAATAGACTCACATGCTGTCCTGGGGGATGGAGAAGGAACAGCAGCAAAAATCAAGGCCTCCTTTTTCTGAATGGTGACAAGATGATGGCTTTGGTGTTGGGCAGTGTTATGCTGCAGCAGCAGCTGCTGGCATACTTGACCCATGGAGGCCCTCAGCTGGGGACAAACAGCCCATGGGAGGAAAGAAGACCAAGGGACTTAAATCACCCTCAGTCCCCAGGAGGATGACACATTCTTATAACATTTTATTTTGAAAATCCTGTTTTTCCTTCCTGAAGCTGGCAAAACATCTAACATTTATATAAAAAATTTTAAAGTGTAAATTGGCAGTTTTGATGCAGATGCTTCCTTCAAATGACCCTGGGAAGTCAGAAGACGAGGCTAACTCATGGTAAGAACCTTTAAAAAAAAAAAGAGAGAGAGAGAGAGAGAGACAGGGTCTCACTCTGTCACCCAGGCTGGAATGCAGTGACACAATCATAGCTCACTGCAGCCTCAAACTTCTATACTCAAGTGATCTTCCTGCATCAACCTTCCAAAGTGTTGACATTACAGGTGTGAGCTACTGTGCCCAGCCAAGAACCTTTAACCAGATTAATAAGCTCACCTTATTAGTTCCCTCACTTTCTCCTGCATGTTGTAGGAATTTGGCAGGTCAGAAGAGGGAGGATGTGGGCCCTTAGCCTGTAGGGTGGCTGAGTTTCCAGTCTTCCCAGTTCCACCTCTCAGCCCCCGGCCACCACATCCAAGGGCGCTGGCCTCTGCTCTCCCTCAACCTAAGCCTCTGCTCTTATCCTCTGCCTCTGTTACCCTCTTGCTTCTAATTCTCCAATATGGACCTTGATGACTTACAGAAGCCTGGAGCCCAAATTGTTGGCAATCAAAACACTCTCTTCTTTTCCTTAAGGACATGGTGGATCTAATCTTCCCGTTTTTCAGGTAGGTGTGGTGAGGGTGGGGAGGGGAGCTATGTTCCATACCTCTGAGAAAAGGGAGGACAAATAATACAGCTAAATAGTCCCATTAAAAAAAGCCGGTCTTTCACACAGGCCAGGAATATGGGTCCAACTCTGCTGGCTGCAGAGTCGTTAAGGGTTTTCAAGCCATGGTAGCAGGCGATCTCCCAGCTTTGGTTCTGGAAGACACAAGGAAAAATCACAACTCCTGACCCAGGATGGGGTGGGGACTATGGAGAGGAGAAGGTGGACAGATGGATGCAGAAGCAGCGTGGCTGACACACGCCACAACATAAGTGGGCCTGAGGACGCTGTGCTGAGTGAAATCAGCCCCTCATCAAAGGGCACATTCTGTGTAAGTCCACGTCTACAAGGTGGCTAGAATGGGTAAATTCAGAGACGAAGCGGAACGGTGGTTAGGCGCTGAGGGCGGGGAATATGGAGTCCCCTACCCCGTGTTTAAAGCATACAGAGCTCAGTTTGGGATGATGAAAACATTTCGGAAATAGAAAGCAGTGATGGTTGCACAACCATGTGAACGTGCTTCATGCCCCTGAACTGTACACTTAAAATAGTTAAAATGATAAATTTCATGTTATGTGTATTTTACAATAAAAAAGAAAAAAAGAAAAACCAGATCAAGAACTATAAGGCTAAAGGGACAGACCACACCCCCTCTTCCCCAAAGCACCAATAAAAGGAGCTAAGTGAACTTCATTTGGCAAAAACAGATCCTCCCTGTGAAATTAAACATACTTTCATTTAGCAGCATCATTTTAAAAAAAAAGTTTAAAAAGTACTTTAAGCATATGCCCTACTTAGCAAATTGGTAAGCCATCTTACCCAATTAGGTTGGAGAGTTTCCAGTTATCCTTTTAAATGGCTGCTAAGGAGTTCTGCTTGGTCATGTGGTTGTTTCTGTCCAGGGGCACCCTGCTACCGTGAGGCTCAGTCAT
This sequence comes from Homo sapiens, assembly GCF_000001405.40. Taxonomy (NCBI): domain Eukaryota; kingdom Metazoa; phylum Chordata; class Mammalia; order Primates; family Hominidae; genus Homo; species Homo sapiens. The sequence goes on along the minus strand of NC_000017.11, from coordinate 20,277,221 downwards.
GCAGAAGCATCAGCCCAAGTGTCCAGGCATGTCCCCATGCATGCTGGTGACTAGACATCAGATGCCATGAGACACTGGTCTGGATCCCTGAATGGGCCACATCTGTCCCTCTCTGTCCATCTTGCTTTCTCAGCACCCTCACCCTTGCAGGCTGCTATCCGAGCCCGACTCCTCCAACTCACAGTGCTCCAGATCTGCTCCAGGTCTTTGGAGTCCTTCTTGTTCCCAGGTACGGCCCTGACTTCGGGCTGCTCCCCTGGTGACAGTGGCCAGTGGACTTGGCCCTTGCCCATGGCTCTTCCTCCATTCTACCCCAGAAAGCAGCCCTGGCAAGAGCAACTGGGCCCAGGCCCTGCCTCCAATTCTGACTTCTGACCCCAAAGGGGCCGACGGGGCTGTTTCTCACTAATGCAGCCGGCTCTGTAGCTCTGCATTTTTTAAAATGTGTTTGATTTATGATTCTGCTCCAGTTTAACAAAAACAGACTCTAGCTTTAAACTTTATGATTATTCCACTGTGGTTACCCCTCAGAGTCTCAGGCCTGGGTTTTTCCACCTCTTCAACTCACACACCTTACCACGCTGCTAGGTGCCTGGGAATCAGTAAGAAGGAAGCCAGCAAGAGAAGTCTACTAAAAATAGAAAGTGAGACAGAGGAAGAAGATAAAACACATACAGCCACAAGAAAATGTGAACAGGCTAAGCTGCCCTGTTAGAGGAATTTTCAGATTACATGTAAAGCCAAACTATTTATAAGACATAACCCTGAAACAACCAACTAAGAAAGGCTGAAAATAAAGGAGCTGGGCAAAGTGGCTCCACACTTGTAATCCCAGCTAAGTGGGGAGACTAATGTGGGAGGATCTCTTCAGCCCAGGAGTTCAAAATCAGCCTGGGCAACATAGCAACACCCTGTCTCTAAAAAAATTTTTTAAAGAATTAGCCAGGTGTGGTGTCATGTACCTGTAGACCCAGCTACTTAGGAGGCTAAGAAAAGAGGATTGCTTGAGCCCAGGAGGTGGAGGCTGCAGTGAGCTATGATTGTGCCACTACACTCTAGCCTGGGCAACAGAGCAAGACTCCAACTCTGGGGGAAAAAAAGAGAAGAAAGGAAAGAAAGTACAAAGATATATCATGCAAATAACATAAATGCAAAACATAAAATGCACAGAAAACATAAATGGAAATAGCAATATTGGTATATAAAATGTAAGCTTCTAGATCAAAAGGATTAACTGAAGTAAAAGGTAAAAACCACCAAGAAGATAGAACAAGAAACCTTTACGTATGGTTCAAAATATCTGGAACATAATCTCTCAGCAATCAAAGCTTTTGACACAAACCACAGTCAGAGTAAGAGATTTCAACACACCTGACTCAGAATCCAGCAGATCAAGTGGCCACATGGGGACAGGGGACACTTGAGCTCCCACTGAGGTAACTGGGACCACTGATGGGCCTTCGGCTGCTCAGGCCTTGAGCCCTGAGAATAGGCAGGGGCCTAGCCTTACCTCTATGCAACTAACAAGTCCTTTCAGAGGACTTTCATCAAAACAAAAGAGCATCAGTTCCAGGAAAAATGTTAAGTCTTCACTCTTATACTTTTCACAAAAATTGTCTGAAGCTTAAATGAAAGGTTTCCCAACTTCTACCCAACAACATTTTTGGGGTTTTCAGGTTTTCATTTGTCAGACTGGACAGAACTTTGCAACTAGAGTATAAAACATTCTCTTTGGCTAAGAATTAATTCTGTCATTAATCCTACTACAGAAGGTGGTAAAATAAATACCTATTGCACTTTTTACTATATACAGATGATACAGGGTTTTAGAGCTCACTAACATCATAACAAAAACAAAAACAGGCCTTATTGAGACAAAACTTCATTTATACCAAAGCAACCAACAAGAAGCCAAATGTCTCATCAATAACTGAGTATAAAAAATCGTATATTTCACATTAAAGAATAACCACAATCAAGTAGAGTTTCCTTCAGGAATAGTATACCATGACCAAGTTGGAATTTTGCCCCCAGATATGTACAAATGTTCCCCTACTAGTAAATGTATTTATGTTATTAATTACATAAATGGGTCAAAAGAGAAGAAACCATATGGATAGCTCATTAAAAGCTAAAAAGGAATTTGATATAATTCTTACCTATTTCTGGACTTAAAACATCCCCCGGTAAGCTCAAAACAGATGCAAGCTTCCTTTAGTTGATAGAGTATTTATCACAAAACAATACAAGAATCTCATTTAGGTGATTATTAAATTATTATTAAATTATTTAATAATATTATTAAATCTTATTTCTGTTATTACGAACAGAAAATAAAACAAGAATATCCACCATCAATAGCATTATTCAACAGTGACCTGGACTTTCATGAATGCAATAAACCAAAAAAAGTACAAGAGGTATAAATATTAGAAGAAACAAGGCTGGGCACAGTGGCTCATGTGTGTAATCCTAGCACTTTGGGAAGCCAAGGCAGGTGGATCACAAGGTCAGGAGATCAAGACCATCCTGGCTAATGTGGTGAAACCTCGTCTCTACTAAAAACACAAAAAATTAGCCAGGTGTGGTGGCACGTGCTTGTAATCCCAGCTACTAGGGAGGCTGAGGCAGGAGAATCACTTGAACCTGGGAGGCGGAGATTGCAGTGAGCCGAGACTTTTTTGAGACTACCTCTCAAAAAAAAAAAAAAAAAAGAAAAAAGAAAAAAAGGAAACAAAACTATTGTTATGTGTAATAGTTTACCTAGAAAACCAACAAGTATAATCAAATAATGAAAAATGCCAGGGCATTAAATTCATCAAAACAACGCATGCCACAGCACTGACTGACACTCACAGGACCCTGGCTGAGGCCCAGGGCGCTGTGCCGCACTCAGGTCCTGCTCTCATTTCTCTGCTCGGCAGCAACCTGTGGCAGAGGCCAGACCCACAGAGGCACAGAAGGGAACAGCAAGTCCAGACACCACTCAGTTCCCATTCATACCTAGGCCTATCAGTTAGTTCAAGAGAGATGATGAAATAAGTGATGCTGAAATAAATAGCCATCCATCTGGGGGAAAAATAAAACTTGACCTAACAAACACAAATGCACTCCAGAAGGAACAAAAGGGTGTGTGTATTTGTATATAATATAGTATATATGTAAAGGGTACTTGGAACCTCTATGACAGATAATGGTTAATATCCTTAAGGAGAAAGGAATAAAGCTCTCTGAGGCCTCCAGGCTGATGGCAATGAAACGCATGCATTCACAATCTCACCCCCTCGTGAAGCCCCAGAAAACCACAGAAAGGAATTTTTCCTCCAAAGGCATTAACAGACAAGGAAAAAGGGAACATGAAAGAAAGCAAAAAGACAAAACATTGGCAGCTGAAAAGTCAATGGACAAGAGATAACTAACATAACAGACCGAAGCAAACTAAATCCCAGGCCAGCAGTGGCGAAGGGCAAAGACCCAACCTGATTTATGGTGCAAAATCCCTCAAAGACACAGGAAATTGGTGGCAAGAGGTGCTTCAGGTGGGGGAATGAAGGTGGTTAAAAACAGGAAGAATGGGTTGGAGATCTGTTTATAGAGCAGCCAAAGCTCCAAACGTTCTCTCTTCTGTGCACACCCAGAGGACAGTGAGCAGTGGAGGCATGAGTGATGCAGTGAAAACAAGGGAATTAAGTGAATTTACATGGTGAGGGCTGAGGTAGTCACTCTCCACCCCCAGGCCTCTTCTTTTTTTTTTTTTGACAGAGTCTCGCTGTGTCACCCAGGCTGGAATGCAGTGGCACGATCTCGCCTCCGCCTCCCAGGTTCAAGAGACTCTCATGCCTCAGCCTCCCAAGCAGTTGGGACTACAGGCGTGCACCACCATGCCCCACTAATGTTTTTAGTAGAGATGAGGTTTCACCATGTTGGCCAGCCTGGTCTTGAACTCCTGGCCTCAAGCAATCCACCCACCTCGGCCTCCCAAAGTGCTGGGACTACAGGGGTGAGCCACTGTGCCTGGCCCACAGGCCTCTTTTCTGATTAGGTCCCACAATTCTGGTTGCCAGGTTGATGTCCTCCAGCAGGAGACTAGAAGGCCTTTCTCTGGAGAATGGATGTGCCCAAGAGGAAGGACCACCTAAAGACACTGACACCAGAAGTTCGTCATGGATATGCCACAGGAACATAGTCGCAGGCCTCATACGCAGGCCAGGGAGGGGGTCAGCTTTGCAGAGCCTCCACCTAAACATGAGCAGTCAAACCTCCAGCATAAAGATAGAGACCTAAAGATACCAATGGAATAAAGGGACTGTAGGAAACAATCTGCATAGAGAGATTTGGTGATAAAATCAACCTACAATCCTCAGTGAAATTCATATGTAACATTGTATCTGTGAAACAAGAACAGGATGCTATAAAAAATTTCAGGGAATAAAAAAGAAATCCTAGAAGTTAAAAATATGATAGCAAATATAATCAACGGAATTTTATTCAGTCTTAAAAAGGAAGGAAATTTTGACACATGCTATAACATGGATGAACCTTGAGGACATCATGCTAAGTGAAATATGCCAGACACAAAAGGACAAATACTGTATGATTCCGTTTATATGGGGTACCTAAAGTGGTTAAATTCATAGTGATACAAAGTAGAATGGCTGCTGCCAGAGGCTGGGGGAAGAGGGGAATGTCAGATTAGTGTTTAATGGGTATAGAATTTAAGTTTTGCAAAATGAAAACATTCTAGAGATTGGTTACACAATAATGAGAACATACTCAACGATACTGAACTGTACATTTAAAAATAGTTAAGATGGTAAATTTTATCCTATGTACATTTCACAATTAAAAAACAATTGAAATGATGCAAAAGCAAAAAAAAAAATGCAAAATTAAGCATTTAATAGAATTTGGAAGATTAAAGTTAGGGAAGCCTCCCAGAAAACAAAACTGTAATGCAAAGAGATAGAAATAGGGGAAAAAAAGAATATGATAATTAGAGGGCCAGGCCAGGGGGATTTCCAGAAAAAGAAAACAGAGTAGAAGAAATTACCAATGAAATAATTCCAGAAAATAAAGTCATGAATTACATATTGAAAGGGTGCAGTGAGTGCCTAGCATGATAGAAAACACAAAACTTAAGCTATAGAGCAAGGCACATCACCCTGAAATTTTAGAATCCTGGAGACAACCAGAACCTCCTATGAGCTTTTGCAGAGGAAAAAAAAATCACAAACGACTGTAATCATTCTTTTCTTGCTGCAACACTGGCAAATAGAAGACAATGGAGCGATGCCCACAAAATTATGAATGAAAATAATTTCTGACCTAAAATCTTATACCTAAAGAAACCATCAAGCATCAGGGTAAAACAAAGATGCGAGGTCATAAAATTTTACCATCTATGAACTCATTCTCAGGGAGATACTGAAGGGAAAAAAAAACAAAGGGAAAAAAAAACAAAGGGGAAAAAAAAGAATAGGATGTAGGATACAGAAGATCAAAAAAGAGAGAGGCAAAGAACTAACAGGGACTCTGTGCACCAGGCATAGAGGGCAGCCATGATGGAAGAGGTCAGAGGCTCCAGAGAGATCTCCTCAGGATAACACAGCTGCAACCCCTGACCCTTGTGATGTGTGGGGATATCTCATGAAGAGTTGCGGTTGAATGAGTATCATTTACATACAAAACTAAGTAAACAGACAAAAACAAGACGATTTTAAGTGTAAGGCAAGTAACAGGTTGTGTAAAAGAAAAAGCTGCAGCAGTGTATACTACTACATGGCTAATCTATGAATGACACTCACAGCATCTTAATGTGAACTCCAGATATGTACAACCATGAAAGAATGCAAAGACAGGAAGCATGGGGGGGGTGGGAGTGAAAAAGAAATAAACCCTCATCTTTCACAGTAGGAGATCAAAATACAACATCTAAAATGAAAAACTAGAAATAGCAGTTGATAAACGTGCTAGTCAGCAACGTAGAGGTAAATGACAAAAAAAAAATCAGCAAGGTGACTTGAAAATGCTTGACTCTGGGGAGCAGGAAGCAGAGCTCTCAGGCCGGCTGACTGCTTTGCTCATCAGGATCTCTGCATACCTGATTGTGGGCATGCAGAGCTTTGATAAAAATAAAAACCAAAAGAAAACCAAAAAGAGCTATCACAAATTTTGAGGAAAAAAGATGAACATACAAATAGAAAAGCAAGCAAAGCAACTGTAGTAGTAATTCACAGAAGAAAGATATAAATAACTAACAAGTTGATAAAAAGTGCTTCTCCTTCATCTGCAATGAAAAATTAAAAGAAATGCCATTTTCTCCTCTTAGGCTGAAAAAGATCAAAAGAGTAGGTGTATCCAGTATTGGGAATGTATAATCTTGTACACTGTATAGAGAAGTGTAAACTAAATAACCTTAATGAAGGCAATTTGAGAATATATATTAAAATGGAAAGTGTAACACACCCTTTTGCAAAAACAAATTCACTTCTAGGAACTTACTTTACAAAAATTTGGCACTATTTCACAACTATTTAGCATAAGCATAAAAATGCATGGTAAGTGATATTCATCATCATGGCACACTTTTTTTTTTTTTCCCCAGAGACAGGGTCTCTCTCTGTTGCCCAGGCTGGAGTGCAGTGGTGTGATCATAGCTCACGGAGGCCTTGAACTTCTGGGCTCAAGTAAGTCTCTGTCTTCAGCCTCCTGAATAGCTGGAATCACAGGTGTACACCATCGTAGCCGGCTAATGTTTTTTTTTTTTTTTTTTTTTTTTTTTTTTTTTTGGTAAAGACAGGGCCTTGCTATGTTGCCCAGGCTGGTGTTGAACTCCTGGTCTCAGCAGTCCTCCTGCCTTGGCCCCTCAAAGTGTCTGGATTACAGGCATGAGCTATCGTGTCTGTTCATAACACTGTTTTTTTTAAAAAAAATTAAGGTAAAATTAATGTATCACTTTCACCATTTTAAACCAGTTTAAAGTGTATAGTTCAGTGGCTTTTAGCACATTCCCAATGTTGTGCAACCATCACCACTACCTAGTTCCAGAACATTTTCATCACCCAACAGAAAACCCTGTACCCACTAAGCAGCCACTCCAGTCCCTATTGCCCTCTCTCCTCAGCCTCTGGCAACCGCTCATCTGCTTTCTGTTTCTGTGAATTTGCCTATTCTGGATATTTCTTATAAATGGACTCATACAAGATGTAGATTTTGCACCCAGCTCTTTCACCTGGCAACACGTCTTCAGGGAACATTCATACTGCAGCCTGTGTCAGTGCCTTACTCCTTTTTAAGGCTCAATAAAAAGCCCGTGTTCAATGATCAGGGGAAGGACCCACAGGACGCAGCATGGAGTCATGGCCACGGCTATTCACAGATTTATTACTGCGAAAGGACACAAAGCCAGATCAGCAAAGGGAAAAGGCACAGGGCAGGAAGTCCCGAGGAAACCAGGCACGTGCTTCCAAGAATTCTCTCCAGCAGTCACGGACATGTTTAATTCCCCTGGCAACAAGCCATGACAACACGTGTGAAATGCTGCCAACCGGCCGGGTGCAGGGGCTCACACCTGTAATCCCAGCACTTTGGGAGGCCGAAGCAGGCAGATCACCTGAGGTCGGGAGTTTGAGACCAGCTGGGTGTGGTGGCACATGCCTGTAATCCCAGCTACTCGGGAGACTGAGGCAGGAGAATCTTGAACCCGGGAGCGGAGGTTGTGGTGAGCCGAGATGGTGCCATTGCACTCCAGCCTGGGCAACAAGACTGAAACCCCATCTCAAGAAAAAATGCTGCCAACCAGGGAAGCTCACTAGGGACTCAGCATCCAGCCCCTTCTGCCCAGCACATACTACATTCCAGACTCCCCAAAGGAAAGCTGCTGTTCAGCACATACCATGTGTTTGCACAAACAGTTTCAGCACCGTGAGCCCCTCTCATCAGTTCTGGAAACAATGGGAACCCTCCTGTAATCCCAGTTCCCAGACGCCAGCCAAGGGCCAGCCTTGCAAGCAGCCTTGCTAAAGAGAGCCGTCCCAGGCCTACTGGGTTAAGTCTTTTTTGCACAGAGGCAAAAACATGGCTGCCAATAGCATCTGGGCTTTATATTTTAGAGTAATCTTTCTCAGTTTTATTTCCAAAATTCCCAAGGAATTGGGGATGTGCCCAGCTTAGACTTGTCAGGGCTGCTTCTTCGGTGTTTGTGCAGACTAAGGTGGGAGAACGTGTCCCTCCCCATCTGCTGTGCGAACAGTCTGACAGGTCTCTACACACTTTGATATTTTTGTTCAGAAAGCCACTTTTATTCCTTGAAGTTTCATACCTCTGGGCATGCACACACCACTGAGAGTGGGAGTGGGAGCGGGTGCCCCACAGCACACTGGCTCGTGAGAGAAAACCAACCAGAAACACGGCCACCAGGAGAGGACTGTGTCTCCCACAACATGGGAAAGCCTTGCATCTTTATTTTGCAAACAAACTCCACTGTTGTCACAGGTTGTAGGACAACACCTGTGCCACTGAAAATGTCTTCACAGACCACTGTGTCAGAAACGGTACAGAAGCAGAGAAAGTGGGTAGAAAAGGCCTCAATAGAGTGGAAGCCCACAGTGCCGCGCATCTGCTATTGAGACTCTATCATCTAAGTCAGGGAAAGGACCACTCTGATGGCAGTAAATAAATCAAAGGCTTTATGTTCTTTGAATTGTGCGTGTAGCCTTCAAGAGATCTGTCTCAAAAAAGAATATAAGAAACAGAGCCCCAAGTGACCTGATATTTTAGAGGCTGCTTGCTATTGGCTAAGCAGATTTTAGTGCTTGTTTGTGGGAACTCAGAGACAGAACAACAGAAGTTGCCTGCAACATGGGTGTTCTTTCCAGATTCAAAGCAAAATTCAGTGTGGACACACAAAGACTGATTTTTTTTTCTCCAAAAGAGAAGAAGATATAGGTCTGAGCTAACAGGTTAAAACCTGGTTCAAAGACGTCATCTGTCCCTTAATGATAGTGTAGGTGTCGCCTGCTATCTGAATTCTTGCCATACAATTTCAAAAGTGGAACAGATACAGATACATTTTCAAGTAAATCCCTATCTAAACTCTTCTTTCTTTTGATCTGAAATGCAAGAACCAAACAGGAATTCAAGTAACAGTAAATACCGGTATATATTTTCGTCTAAAAGATACTTGCAAGTATCTTCATGCCACCCATGGAGGTGAAGGGTAGCTGTGCCTCATCATGCCTCCTGGGAGGTAACAGAGGACTCAGGAGAGACTTAGAGCTGAATTCCACATGTTCATCAGAGTGACTTCCAGCCCAAGATCCCCCAGCTGAGGGAAAGCAGAAGGCAAAGCAAACTGAGCGTCCCTGGCCTGGCTGAGGTCTGAGGGCATCAGGACAGAGGAGGAGACAAAGGACCCGGTGGCACTACACACAACTTGCAGTTGTCAACCTCAAAACTCCAGAGCACCCACATGGCAATTTCTGGGCACGGCCAGGACCTCAGCACTAATGCTTTAGTGCTAGAAAGTCCCTGTTTCCTGCTGGCTGCCAGCCAGGGGGCCCTTCTTGGCTCCTTCTCACGTGCCCCCTCCCTCTTCAAACCACCAAGAACAATCAGAGTCCTTCTCATGCTTTGAATTTCCCCAACTTCTGCCACAAGCCAGAGACATCACTTGGCTTCTACAGGGGTTTGTGATTAGTGGGCATATCCAGACCATCTCCCTGTGTCATATAAAGAGGAGGACATTCTACCATGGAGAGTCATGGGGGTTATCTTCAGAATTCTTCCTGTCACACCTACCCTCCCGACTTTCTGTCCCTTCAGAATTCTTACTGGAAATTACAAATGGAAATCTCTCCATCGTAACAGAAAACTAGGAGCTTAAACTAGACTTTCAGATGAAAGAAAGGGAGGGGTAGGAGTTATCTGAGTCAGGCCTGCCCTTGGCTTGGAAAACAGCCAACACACATCAGGAGTATGAAATTTGAGGACTGAGAGTAATTTAGAGGGCCTTTCCAGGAGTGACTTATTCCAAAAAGACACCAGTGTGTATGAGTTGAGCAGAATGTGAGGAAGGGCCTCCTAGGAGCGCCATTTTGAGCTTAGTGAACTGGGCCTCACTTCGTAGTGAGGGCAAACTCACATCCTTTCACTGGGTCTCAATCCTGGGCCACTCGAGATGTCAGGCAGTTGGCCCGGAGCTCGGCAGGTGGGTCTGGCTGCGATGCTCACTTCCCAGTGCTGCTGACCTGGGTCGACCACCGTGTGTCACTTCAGCTTCTATTGGCACAGTAACGACAGTAATGACCTCCTTACTCTGACCCTCCACACCTAGGCCTTGGTGGGAAATAAAGCTTCATGCAGACACCAAAGCCCTTCAAGAGAGGGGAGCAAGTGCTCAAATGTCATCTCCCTGACCACTATGTATAAATTGTACCATTCACCCAACATTCCCAACCCTCCTTCCCTGCTTTATTTCTCTCCACGGCAATACAACCTTCAAATACCGTACATATGTTACCTTTTATTTCAGTTAACTGCCAGACCCCATGAGGATTTAAGTTCCATGAGAGCAGGGACTGTTGCCTGTTTCATTCACTGTGGAATCCCCAGGACCTACAATATATATATATATTTTTTGAGACGGAGTCTTGCTCTGTCGCCCAGGCTGGAGTGCAGTGGCGCTATCTCGGCTCACCGCAAGCTCCGCCTCCCGGGTTCACGCCATTCCCCTACCTCAGCCTCCCGAGCAGCTGGGACCACAGGTGCGTGCCACCACGCCCGGCTAATTTTTTGTATTTTTTAGTAGAGACGGGGTTTCACCATGTTAGCCAGGATGGTGTCGATCTCCCGACCTTGTGATCCACCCGCCTCAGCCTCCCAAAGTGCTGGGATTACAGGCGTGAGTCACCGCGCCCGGCCCCCAGCACCTACAATATTACCTGGAGCTGAACAATATATGGAAGGAGGCTGAAAGAAACCAGCTATGACACAAATAAATGGAGAAACATTCCATGCTCATGGATTGGAAAAATCAGTATCATTCAAATGGCTATACTGCCCAAAGCACTTTACAGATTCAATGGTATTCCTATCAAACTACAAATGTCATTTTTCAAAGAATTAGAAAAAACTATTCTAAAATTCATATGGAACCAAAACAGAGTCTGAATAGCCAAAGCAATCTTAAGTAAGAAGATCAAAGCTGGAGACTCGCATTGCCTGAGTTCATGTTATATTCTAAGGCTACAGTAACCAAAACAGCATGGCACTGGTATAAAAACAGACACATACACAAGTTAGAGTATCCAGAAATAGAGCTGCAAACCTATAATCATCTGATCTTTGACAAAAACAAGCAATGGGAAGAGAATTCCCTATTCAGCAAATGCTGCTGGGATGACTGGCTGACCATACGCAGAAGATAGAAACTAGACCTCTACCTGTCACTACATATAAAAATTAACTTAAAATGGATTACAGATTTAAATATAAGACTTCGAACTATAAAAATCCTAGAAGAAAACCTAGGAAATAACTTTTTCAACATTGGCCTTAGCAAAGAATTTTTGGCTAAGTCCCCAAAAGCAAGTGCAGCAAAATAAAAAATTGACAAGTGGAATCTAACTAAACTAAAGAGTTCCTTCACAGCAAAAGAAGCTATCAACAGAGTTAACAGACAACCCATAGAATGGGAAGAAATATTCACAAACTATGCATCTAATATCCAGAATCTATAAGAACTTAAATCCACAAGCAAAAACCAAATAACCCCATTAAAAAATAGGCAAAGGAAATGAACAGTCACCTCTCAAAAGAAGACATATATACATTCAATAAACATGAAAACACGCTCAACATCCCTAATCTTCAAAGAAATACGAATCAAAACCACAATGAGATACCATCTAACACTAGCCAGGAGGCTATTATTAAAAAGCCAAAAAATAGCAGACGCTAGCGAGGCCATGGAGAAAAAGAAATGCTTATACACTGCTGGTGGGAATAAAATTAGTTCAGCCCCTGTGGAAAGCAGTTTGGAGATTTCTCAAGGTACTAAAAATAGAACATTTGACCCAGCAATCCCATGACTAGGTATATACCCAAAGAAAAATAAGTCGTTCTACCACTCGTATGTTCATTGCAGCACTGTTCACAGTAGAAAAAACATAAAATCAACCTAAGTACCCACCAACAGTGGGTTGGATAAAGAAAATGTGGTAAATATACACCATGGAAATACACAGCCATAAAAAAGAACAAAAATCATGTCCATATAAAAGAACAAAAACATGGATGCAGCTGGAGGCCACTATTCTAAGCAAACTAACGCAGGAACAGAAAACCAAATACCACATCTCACTTATAAGTGGGAGCTAAACGTTGAGTACATATGGATATAAAGGGCCAGGTGCAGTGGCCCTTTTTATGTATATGTATCCAGTAGCCCTTTATGTATATTACAGGTGTGAACCTGTAATCCCAGCACTTTGGGAGGTCAAGGTGGGCGGATCACCTGAGGTCAGGAGTTCGAGACCAGCCTAGCCAACATGGCGAAACCCTGTCTCTACTAAAAATACAAAAATTAGCCAGGTGTGGTGGGGTGCACCTGTAGTCCCAGCTACTTGGGAGGCTAAGGCAGGAGAATTGCTAGAACCTGGGAGGTGGAAGTTGCAGTGACCTGAGATTGTGCCACTGCACCCCAGACTGGGTGACAGAGTGAGACTCTGTCTCAAAAAAAAAAAAAAAAAAAAAAAAAAAAAAAATCCGTCTCCAAAAAAAGCCACATGGATGGCAACAATAGATACTGGGGACTACTAGACAAGGGAGGAAGGGAAGAAGGCCTGAGTTGAAAACCTACCTACAGAGTACTATGCTTACTACCTGGGTGACGGGACCCATAACTCAAGCCTCAGCATCAAGCAATATACCCTTGTAACAAACCTGCCCACTCACCCCCTGAATCTATAACTAAAGCTGAAATAAAAATATATATATATGGAGGGATGTAACATAACCTTTCACGCTGTATTTTGATGAAATAAAAGGAAAGTTATTTTAAGTCAAGTACACATGGTTCCCGGTTTTCAAAAAGTTTTCACCAGTTATTTTTGGCTTCCTAATTCTGAGAGAACAAGACTATGAGGTGTCTCAGACAAACAGGTCTAGACATATTTTGTGAAGGGTAAATAAAGCAGACACATGGTCATATTTCTAATTTTACAGAGATTTCATGATGAATGAAAAGTACTACAGGCAAAATGAGTTTTGGGTTTCATCAAACGTAAAATGTTTTGAAAACGAATCCAAAATGTTCACACACACACACACACACACAAATCACTCCAGCAGGAAATAGTGTTCTTGTGATCCTGACTGGAAACATCTTATTGTCTGTCTCTTCCCTGCATTACAACAAGGTTACATCATAGAAGGCCACTCCTTCTGAAAACGTGAATTGTCTTTTCATATGCACTCTGGCAGCTGCCTTGGTCCATTACTGTCAGGTGGGGAACAGCACAGGCGGCATCAGTGGAGTCATTCTTGAATGACAGCTCTTTTTAAATGTTTTCTTCAATTTCCCATCACCATTCCTATTTTCTTTACGCTAAACCTCCTGCAGGCAGCTGCCTCCCTCTGACTTCTTATTCTTTTTTTTTCTTTCTCCTTCTTGATATTTATTTATTTTCTTTTAATATATTTTTATTATACTTTAAGTTCTATGGTACATCTGCACAATGTGCAGGTTTGTTACATATGTATATATGTGCCATGTTGGTGTGCTGCACCCATTAACTCATCATTTACATTAGGTATATCTCCTAATGCTATCCTTCCCCCCTCCCCCCACCCCACAACAGGCCCCCGTGTGTGATGTTCCCCTTCCTGTGTCCAAGTGTTCACATTGTTCAACTGCCATGAAGGAAGGCCCCTTGGTTACAGCCTCCCCAGCCCATCAGTCACGCTGCCAAGGACACAGGAAAGAATAAGAAGTCATAGCTATTGGTTCTTATGGCTTCTTATTCTTTCCCGTGTCCTCGGCAGCGTGGCTGATGGGCTGGGGGAGGCTGTAACCAAGAGGCCTTCCTTCATGGCATGGTCCATCCTTGAAACAGGGCAGAGGCAGAGTGGACAGGGTAGCAGGAAGAATAAACAAGGGTCTGAGGCGAGTTTATACTTTGGGAGCCTCTATTATTGGTCAGTAGCATGACAGGTTTTTCTTTTCTTTTTTCTGACCCACACTGCACTACAGTGGTGCTATCTCAGCTCACTGCAGCCTCAAACTCCTGGGCGCAAACAATCCTGCCCCCTCGGCCTCTCAAAGTGCTGCGATTCTTTTTCTTTTTTAACATAAAGTGAAAAGAAGGTAATGGCAAAGATACAGGATACACATACTCTGGGTAGATTCTGGTTTTAAGACATCTGACTGCTGACATGACAGAGACTCCCAGCCCTGCTAATTTACTATCTGGGATGGATCTTGGCTGAGGCTGGGTTTTTCTTGCTAGCTTCTTTCATTTTCCATCCCCACCTCCCTCAAAAGCTTCAGCCTGGGAAGGGAGTATTACGGTGCTGGAATCTTCCGAAATTTTAGCAAAATATTGTTAAGAATGCAGTAGGAATTGCCAATTTTAAAGAGGGTATCTATTTGCATATGAAAAGGTGTTCAGCCTCCCCAGCCAACAGGAAAATGCAAACCAAAACCACAGTGAGACAGTACTACACATTACCCACATGACCTTGAGTAAAAAGACTGACAATACCAAGTGTTGATGTGAATGCAGAGAAATAAATCTCTCATAAATTGCTGGAGAGACATAAATTATACAATTACTTCAGTCATCTGTTTGGCACTATCCACTAGATTGTATGCATACCCTATGGCCCAGGAATTCCATTCTTAAGCATGTATCCAGCAGGAATGAGCACATATGTTTTTCAGGAAATACGCACAAGAACATAACAGCGTTATTCATAATAGCTCCAAACTAGAAATGACTCAACTCTCCATCAATAATCGAATGGATAAATAATGGTATAATCCTACAATGGGTTACTAAATGGTGAAGAAAATGAACAAATTACAGCTATATGCAACAATGAGGATAAATCTCACTGACTCAATACCGTGTAAAAAAAGCTAGCTGCAAATATTACATAGTTTTTTATTCCATTTGTAATAAAATTCAAATGCAAGCAATACTAACATAGTACTTACGGATGCATACTTTTGTAAAAATCTGGAAGGAGAATTGAGGACAATGGTTATCTTAGGGAGTACTGAGGGCTATGATGGGAAAGTCATAGGAAGGGTCTGTGGGAGCTGGTGATGCTCCTCTTCTGGATGGGAGTGGTGACTGCATGACTTTTCACTTCCTCACAGTTCAAGAAATTATGATTTATATTTTGTGCATTTTATCTTTGTGTATTTCACAAGAAAAAAACTTAAACTTACATCAGGTATTACTTCCCTTTTCTGATATTCACAGAAAACAGATACTGTCCTAGAAAACAAAAACTCTTAAACTAAACGCAAACAATTCTCAAAACAATAGAAACAAAATGTTTGGAGAAGTTTTGGAGGCCCAACTACATAGGACCTTTATGCGAATTAGGCAAAGCACTCTTCTTCAGGAGGGTAATTCAGCAAAAGCTGTCTTCTTGGGTGGAGGCATCACTGCTCGGGGAGCTTGTGTCTGCTTTTTTTTTTTTTTTTTTTTTGAGACGGAGTCTTGCTCTGTCGCCCAGCCTGGAGTGCAGTGGCGCAATCTTGGCTCACTGCAAGCTTCGCCTCCCGGGTTCACACCATTCTCCTGCCTCAGCCTCCCGAGTAGCTGTGACTACAGGCGCCCGCCACCACGCCCGGCTAATTTTTTGTATTTTTAGTAGAGATGGGGTTTCACTGTGTTAGCCAGGATGGTCTCGATCTCCTGACCTCGTGATCTGCCCACCTCGGCCTCCCAAAGTGCTAGGATTACAGGCGTGAGCCACTGGAGCTTGTGTCTTCTTCTGAGACAGCAGGGACAGGACTTGGCTTCAGCTCATCCCCACTATAGCATTCTTTCATGCATTCCCACTGATCACAAAACCCACACCACTACTTCACTGACATACCTGCTTAACAGTCATGCAAAGAAAATAGCCATACTGTTTTTCCGCACTCTCATAATGTTTAAAAGAATAAAAGAATGTTTAATTCTTTTACTTAAATAATTCCAGAAACTGGCCCTAGGAAATCCAACATATCCAACCAAAGTTGCAAATGTCCTCATCTCAGGGAAGAATGCTAAACAACTGATTTACAGCCTTGCTGCCACCAACCAGAACACTAGGTGGCCCATGACTCAAGACAACCGTCGCCAGCAGATAAACTGACCCACATCCCCTACCCCTCATATGATCTACCCAGCCCAGCCCACATTCTCTATGTTGATATCAATTCCTGCACTTTGCTTAATAAAAAAATCCCTACCAGCTCATTTCAAGGAGTCAGCCAGAGAATCCTCCCTCTCCCGTGCTTCCTCCCTCATGCCTGAGGGATAAGGGCATAAGCTCCAATAAAGCCTTGTTGAGAAAACTCTTTTGGCCTCATGACAATTTCTATCGCATTGACAGCCCAAGAACCTGTGGCCAGTAACACTCTGACCAAAGAAAAAGGTCCCCTTCCCTCGGGAGGTGCAGCTCTGCGTGCAGCCATACATTTGGTGGGTGGAGTGCAGACCGTTTTTCAGTTGCATTTGCCTCTGTCACGGTGCCTTTGGGCAGTGCACAAATATCAAACATTCCCTGGCAGCCCTGCCTAGGAGAATAGAAAGATGACAATTACATGCATATTGGCCCATCAAGCACAGGCACACAAGGAACATGTATTGGCACAGGACTACTACTGCCCAGGGGCAGCTGGAAGTTGGCTGATGTTGTCCCTTACCGCATAACCTTGTGTCTTCTTCTGGCACCATTTCAGTAGAGCATTGCGCTTGGAACCACCGTATTCCCGGGCCAAGGCTGCCAGAGGGTCTTTTCTTTCCACACTGGTTAGAAAGAAGAGCACATGGTAAGGAGAAGATGCTAATACTTAGAATTCTCAAATACACAAGAAATAAATACCTACTTTAGAAAAGCAAAAGTCTAGTTTATCCAGCAAGATTCTAAAGAAACAGCCGAATTAGTCACATTACTATTTTGTGATATCTCACAGTATAAAATAAAAATTAAATTGTGCTTCCTGACTATCATAAATTTGGGGAGAGTTTTGTTACATTTTGTTTTCAAATCCATTTGTTGCTCATCCATCTAGTCTTTCATTTGTTTACTTAAGTACAGTATCATTTGAATTAAAGATACGTAAACAAAACACACCCTACATGTTTCAAGACTAAACCAGTACCTAAATAACATGTAAAAGGTAGATTGGCTGGGTGCAGTGGCCCACATCTATAATCCCAGAACTTTACGAGCCAAGGGAAGAAGATCTCTTGAGCCCAAGAGTTCAAGACCAGCCTGGGCAACATAGCGAGACCCCATCTTTAAAAAAATAAAAAATAAAAAAATTAGCTGGGCATGGTGGTGTGCATCTCTAATCCCAGCTACTCAGGAGGCTGAGAAGGGAGGACTGCTTGAGGCCAGGAGTTCAGGGTTGTAGTGCACTATGACTGTGCCACTTCACTACAGCCCGGGCAACAGAGCAAGACCCCATCTCCAAAAAATAAAATAAAATAAATTTTAAAGGTGCATTGGAAGGGCATATTAAAAACACCAAATATCTTGCCATTGTTTATGTCAATAACGTAAGTGTAAAATTGAAATAAGAATTTTACTAATTTAACTTTTCATTAAAAAAGGTAAAATATCAATAGCATATTCATATACATATAGCCTTTTTGTATGCATTTCTGGCATAAAGAAAACGGCAACTTCAGAACAGCACTAATTCTGGTCCTTAAAACCTCTTTTGATTATTTAAATCTCTTGCACATAAACAGGACAATATGTAGTATCTGGGGCTTTACATTAAACTTCTGAAACACATGACTTCATCTATTTGGGTCCAAATATATGCTGTACCCAAAGGTGTAACAAGACCTGAATTTATTCAGACTTTTATAAATCCTTCTATAATACCCATATTTGTGATTATAAGATTTATTAAAAAGCTATTACTCCTAAACTAGCCAATTTTGTATATTAATCCATCTACTCACTCGTAAGTTTTACTAAGTGAAATGCTATGTGTGTTGCACAATGCAAGGGGCTGGAAGAGATACCAAAATGTAAGTTGAACTTTTACTGTCAACTAAATTATAGCATAAATGGAGACAATGGCATGTACTGTGCAACAGTGTTCCACACTACAAAGCAGTACAAAAACTAAACACCCAAAAAAGTGTAAGACGCCAAAGTCAGAGAAGGGATATGTCAATGTGCCAGGTGTTAGGTACAACTTCATGAAAGGTTTGACCTTGAAGGAGAAGCAGTATTTGGAGTATGAAAGGAGAAAAGAAAAACGATTCAGGCTAGAACCTTATACATAAAGACTTGCAATCAGACATGGTCATGTTCTATTACAAAGGCAGAAACTAAAACAGGCTCAGGTGGAGGGAGGAACAGGGCCATTCTGGCAGGTGGGTGGGGTGGTGCTAAGTTGTGGGGCATCTAGAAGACCAGGATGAGGAGTGCAGATGACAGAGTCATGTGAGATTTCTGCAAGGTCTGCAGCAGGATGTGCTCAGTGCATCAGAAAATTAACCAACACAGAGAAGCAGGGAAGTCACAAGGGGAGAGGAAGCAGCTGAAAGAGGTTTGCTGTGGCCTGGGCGACCAGGGGCACTGGAAAGGGAGGAGGTGACAGAGGTGTGGGAACAAAGACAAGCTCTTAGTGACCACCCTGCTGGTCTTGCCATCCTCTCCCTCTGCCAACCATTCCTTTACATCCCTGTGACAGTCCTTCTTAAACACTGATTTCAAAATGCCTCTTCAATCCTTATATACCACTGTTTTCTGATGAATCCTCCTTAAAATGCAGGTCCAATCTCACTGTACAACCTCAAAATCCGAAACAAAATCCCACAAACTTGGTGGTACTCCAGTGCTTTACCAAAATAATGCACAAACCTCTTCCTTAGCAATGAAGACTACTTACAATATGCCCTCCAGATGGAATGTCCTAGTCACTTATCCATCCACCCAACAAATACTGACAGAGAGCTTGTTATGCATATGTACAGCAGAGTCCCGGCTCTCAGGAAGCCCACAGACTAGTTCAGACACATGACACCACCCACATTCCCTGATCACTATTCCACAGCGTGCTTGTAATGGTACCTTTAGAGCCCTTGGCAGAAACACCACTTCTCTCTAGACTTCTTGATCCAACTAACAACCTCTCAAGACTTTGCTTATGCAGTATTGTTTTTTACAGCCCTTAATTCCATTTTGCGCACTACTACTATCCACTGTCATCCTTTTAGACTCACCAAGGGCAGGCACAGTGTCTTAGTCATTTTCATGCAGGAAATATTTGTAGAAGTAAATTGGCCACGGGGACAAAACGGAAGGAAGAATAAAAGGTGATTAGCCCGATGTTTTTCTGATTTCTTATTGTTTGAAACACGATACCTGAGTTTGCTTTGTGGTTTCCATGCCCGGGTGGAAGCACTCAGCAGTCTTGTGTCCCCAAAGCCCAGAGACGGGGGTCTGCTCAGTGACTCTAGTGAGGGACTCTTGCGGAGGTGGGGGTCTGGCTTCAGGGTCTCAGTCCTTCCCTTTAGAATATCTGTGGGAACAACCACATAATCACTCATTCCCAAAGAAGCAGCTCTTGACTGCCATCATACTTCATTCTCAAATACAATACAGTTCTCATTTTATCCTCAAGTGCAAACATATATATAGTTTCTGAAGTAATAAAAATGCAATAGGGATGTGGATTCTACAGGCAGGACCACTACATCATTTACAGCATCTAGCACCAAATCAACCTCCTGCTCAAAAATCACTGTGAATTTCAAGATGATGTCATCAGAGCATTACACCAAGCATGTGTCCTTCTAAGGGCCTTGTGCAAGTGCCAACGAAGCCAGCCCTGTCCCCAGGTAGTATCTTTTGTTTTAACTGACAGACATCTGAGAGAGAGTGGCAGGAAAATGCCTCAAGTGATGATCAGACCACAGGCAGCAATAAACAAGAAGCTGGGAACCAAGAAGAACTACTTGACAAGAGAAAAGGCCATTCTAGCCATAGGGCCTGGCTTGCTAAACAAGAAGTAGGAATCACTCTTTCAAGGCTCCTTTCTGCTGTCATATTAGTCTGAGTCAAAAAACAGGTAATGAAATGAACTGAATCCTCCAGATGATACTTGTTTTTCTTTTTCTCTTCTAGAGACAGGGTCTTGCCGTGTTGCCCAGGCTGGATTTGGACTTGACCTCCTAATGATCCTCTGTCTCAGCCTCCCAAGTAGCTGGGACTACAGGAAAGTGCACCACCATGTCTAGCCAGACTATATTTCTCAAAGGACCATAAAAGTGCGGAACAGGAGACATCTTTCGAGACTGTCTAGTTTATATTTATAGAGGAAACTGGAGCTCAGAGAACTAAGTGCCTTGTTCTAAGCTACAGAGCAGACCAGGGACCAGGATGAGCCCACAGTTGCCGCCCATGACCTGTGAATAGTCACAGAAGAAAGTAATCCTTCCACAGCTCACTGCCACCAATTAGGGGCAGTAAAGTTGGGAGTGAGGCTAGTCAGCTCTAAATAGCAGAGAAAAACAGTATTTACATCCAAGGGAACAACAAGAACAGCACATTAATCTTTGGTTTCTGCAGCTTCCAATGACCTCAGTGTTGACAAGCAATTCCTGGGGATTGCTAGAAGCAAGTAATTGTCACTGTAATCCTTTGCTGTAATAACAGTAAATATAATCATCCAAGCAGACAGGTGCCTGGTGGGGGCTAAGTAGGGAGGGCTGTCAATGAGATATTAACTGCAGAGCAATAAGCTATTGTGGTCTCAAGTTCAGTATGTACCGTGTCAACTAAAAGAATGGTTTTGGCCGGGTGCAGTGGCTCATGCCTGTAATCCCAGCACTTTGGGAGGCCGAGGTGGGTGGATTACGAGGTCAGGAGATCGAGACCATCCTGGCTAACACGGTGAAACCCCATCTCTACTAAAAATACAAAAAATTAGCCGGGCATGGTGGCAGGCGCCTGTAGTCCCAGCTACTCGGGAGGCTGAGGCAGGAGAATGGTGTGAACCTGGGAGGCAGAGATTGCAGTGAGCCGAGCTCACGCCACTGCACTCCAGCCTGGGTGACAGAGCAAGACTGCATCTCAAAAAAAAAAAAGAATGGTTTCTTGGCCAGGCATGATGGCTCATAACTGTAATCCCAGCGCTTTGGGAGGCCAAGGCAAGAGGATTGCTTGAGGCCAGGAGTTCAAGACCAGCCTGGGCAACTTAGTGAGACCCTGTCTCTATCCCCCCACAAAATTTTTGTAATTAGCCAGGCATGGTGACATGCACCTCTAGTCCCAGCCACTTGAAGGCTGAAGCAGGAGGATCATTTGAGGCCAGATGTTTGAGGCTGTAGTGAGCTATGATAATGCCACTGCACTCCTGCCTGTGTGACAGCAAGACTCTCTCTCAAAGAAAACCAGAAAGAATGGTGTCTCTACACAATAGAAAACTTTAAGGCTAGTGGAACAGAGAGAAGAACAAATATTATCTACCAAAGGCTTACCTAGTTCACTTAAAAATGGTTGATAAGGTAAATTTTATATTATGTGTCTTTTACCACAATTTTTCAAAAACCCCACACCTAGCACTATGCGTGTCATCAAATTATTCCCTCTTTTGTGCTACACAGCAAGCACGGAGATGGTGAGCCAAGTGGGCTTCCTGCTGTGCTCTGGTCTCCTCCACTCCCCTCCTAGTATGGGACACTCAGGCCTGGTCTCCTGGAGCACGTACTCTCTCATTTCTCTACCTCCACTGAACTCTGTTTGTTCTTACACTCTTGACTTTACACTGGCCTTTGGTCTTCATTTCCTTCTGCTGGGAAGTCACTATCATGACTTGGAGTCCCACGTAAACTTTCACCACTTTAGAAAGCTATTACTCGAGCAATCACCAGCCTCAGCACCAAGAGGCACATGGTAGAAAGAATCAGGAGACTTCCTGGCCCCACAGCCATCCAAAATCGCTGTAGCCTTTATAAGTCACTCAATTTCTGTAGGGCTTGAATCTCTCCCATGTAAAACTCGAGGAATGGGCTCAGATCATCTTCAAATTCTCAATTGTCAGTGTTTACCCAACTCTAAAATCCTTATTTAATTCCATGAAAAAGCAAAGAAGATTCAGAGGGGAAAGTTCCCTCATAGAAACAACTATTTTAAGAACAAGCCTGATTGTGTTTGACCAAGATCTAAAGGAAGTACAGCTGTAGAAATTTTATTTTATGCTTAGAAACAAAAGGATTTCTGTCCATGTGACCCAGACTTTTGGCTTTCTATCCCTTCTACAGGGACCAGTAAACAGTCCATTCAGTGTTCTTTTTGCCTTTTTTATTTCCTAACAGTCACCACATAGACACATACATAGGTTCTAAGCCCCGTATTCTGGACAACCTTAACTTCCCACTAGGCTTGAGCACTGTTGTCCCTTTAGTTCTGGGCAGGCGAACTGGGTCAGCAGAGAACAGCAGGTGAGATGTGCACAGTAAACACTTCCACAGTGCTTGCCACACACCCAGCATGTTCAAGGCGCTTTAATGTGCTAACTCAATCCTTGATACAATCCTAGGAAGTGGACCGGATTATTTCCGTTTTAGAGATGAGGAGACTAAAGCACAGAGAAGTGGGGTGATGGGGCCAAAGCCAGGCTGAGCAGCAGTACTGAGACTCAAGCCCACGTGTCCCTTCTTGAGGGCTGCTTCACATCAGCCTGTGACACAGGAAATATGACGCCACGCAAATGTGATGGATGGGGACTGCTGGGACTGCTGAATGCAACCTCCACTTTACAACCAGGATTGGAGTTAAAACAAAAAACAAATACACACACACACACACACACACACACACACACACACACACACGGTGTAACAACAGGAAGAGGACTGCACCAAAAGACAAATACCTTTAAAGGGGCAAATTTTAAGAATTGCAGAAGTAGCAGACAAATTCAAAATCAGGTAAGATTTTTTCCCTTAGTTACTTTTTAAAGATTAGAAAATATGCTCTTGAGGTTCAGTTAAAAAACAATATGCCAGGCACAGTGGCTCACACCTATAATCCCAGCACTGTGGGAGGCCGAGGCAGGAGGATCACTTGAGACCAGGAGTTTGAGACCAGCCTGGGAAACAAAGCAAGACCATGTCTCTGAAAAAAGGAAAAGAAAAAAAAAATTGGGCCTGTCTCCCCAGCACAAGGGCACTGAGAAGTGCAGCTGGCAGGAGACACTTTTTCCTTTTGTCAGCTGCACTGCTGCATCTAACATTCATGATATGTACATTATTCGGGGTTGAAATCACTTGCAAGAAATGCCACTGATTATTTTTCTAAGCTCAGTTTCATGCAGAGAAATGAAGAAAAGTTAACTGCACGGAAAGATAAGTCAAAAGTTCTTTATGTTGACATAATTTACCTGAGAGGGGAAGGTCAGGAAGGTCCAAGCGTTGAGTCACCCCTCTGCTGGCTGGCCGCACACTGCTGTAAGTCGAATGCCTCTGTAAAAACCAGGGGGACACCAGCACGGTGAGCTCATAACATCAAGAATAGCACAAACACAGATGTGTGTGTGTGCATGCGTGTGTGTGCAACAGTTCTTAAACACAGTGGAATAACCAGGGGAGTTTTTAATTAACTCATTTATTTGAATAGGTAATACATGCAATAGACACTATCCCCAAAAGCAATGAAAAGGGCAAATAATGAAGAGAAAGTCTCCTTTTCCTTCCCATCTCCCAGTTCTTCTCTCCAAGGGCAATCATTATTAATTGGCTTTGTGAATATCTTTCCTGGAATGTTCTATGTATATTCAAGGATGTGTGTATAAGTATTCTATTTTTAATGGTTAATAGGTATATGAAAAGATGCTCAACATCACTAATCATCAGGGAAATGCAAACCAAAACCACAGTGACACGCCACCTCACATTTATTAGGAAGACCATCATCAAAAAAAAAAAACTGAAAAAGAACAAGTATTGGTGAGGAGGTAGAGAAAATGAAACTCCTGTGTACTGTTAGTGGGAATGTACAATGGTGCAGCCATTACGCAGAACAGTATGGAGGTTCCTCAAAAAATTAGAAATAGTACTACCAAATGATCCAGCAACACCACTTCTAGGTATTTATCCAAGAAAATTGAAAACAGGATCTCAAAGAGATACTTGCACTCTCTTGCTCATTGCAGCATAATTCACAACAGCCAAGACGTGGAAGCAACCCCAGTGTCCACCACCAGATGAATGGACGAAGAAAATGTGGTATAGAATATACAATGGAATATTATTCAGCCTTAAAAAAGAAGGAAATCCTGTCCCATGCTACAACATAAATGAGTTTTGGAGACATTATGCTAAGTCAAATACACCAGTCACTGAAGGACAAGAGCGGCATAACTCTATGTACGTGAGGAATCTAAAGTAGTCAAAATCACAGAAGCAGACAGTGGAGTGGTGGCTCCCAGAGGCCTCAGGGAGGGGAAGTGGGGAATTGTTCCGTGGATACAGAGTTTCAGTCAGGCAAGATAACAAAGTTCTAGAGGACAGAAAGATGGCAACAAGAGACACTGGGGAGTGCTAGAGGAGGGGGAGGCAAGCACTGAAAACCTGTTGGGTACTATGCTCACTACTTGGGTGATGGGATCAATCATACCCCAAACCTCAGCATCCCACAATATATCCATGTAACAAATCTGTACATGTACACCCTGAATCTGAAATAAAATTAAAAATTTAAAAAAAAATTTTTCTAGAGACCTGCCATACAATATTGTGCTTCTAGTTAACAATACTTAAAAATTTGTTAATAGAGTAGATTTCATGGTGTATTTTTTTTACTGCCATTTAAAAAAGCATTTCAGAATGCAAGTAAGCATGATATTATTCAAGGAAAAACCTTGAAAAACACCCTCTGTTTTTCTAAAAACACAACTGTTATCATAGCATTATATTGTTTTGTACACCATTTTGCTTCTTTCACTTACTGTATCTTAGAAGTCATTCTATACCCACCATCACCCACCATCTTGGCAGCTTCCTCTGAGAAGTGCCACAAGAGGCCAAGTAAGTGGCTCTGGGGACAGATGGCACCACCCACCTGTGAGACTCTGGGTTACTTAATTTTCTGTGCCTTATTTTCTTTATTTATAAAATGGCAACGATACTAAACGTACTTACCTCAAAGGGTTATGGGAGGATTAAATGAGTTAAATCCAGTTAGAACAATCAAAACACAGCCCAGCAGATAGTAAGCATTCAGTAGATCTTAGCTATTTTCATTACCATAATTTATTTTACTGATTCTCTATTGATATTCATGTTGATATTGATATTAGGAACAATGCTGCAATGAACAACCTGGTACATTTGCCTGTGCAGGGCCATTCTGAGGCTTTCCAGAACATTATTTTCTCTTAGAGGCTCTACTTCATAGCATATTAAACACAATTCCATGTATCCACATCCCACAAAAATATAATGGTCGTGGTATACAGTTTTCAAAAGTAGTTTTAAATCTTGCTTTTGAAGTTGGCTGAACAAAAGTGACAATATGGGGCATTCCTATCCCATTCACAATCCTGTGGGAAAGCATCCGATATTTCACCATTAAGTATGATGTTTGCTGTAGATATATAATACAGACCCTTTATCAGATTAAAGACTTTCCCTTCTATTCCTACTTTTCTAAGAATTTCCATCAAGAAAGATATTAATCTTTATCGACTACATTTTCCTGCCACCACCTACTAAGATGACCATATGCTTTTTTTTTTTTTTTTTGAGATAGAGTCTTACTCTGTCGCCCAGGAGTGGAATGGCAATGATCTCAGGTGACTGCAACCTCCGCCTCCTGGATTTAAGCCATTCTTGTGCCTCAGCCTCCCAAGTAGCTGGGGGTTACAGGCGTGCACCACCACGCCCAGCTAATTTTTGTATTTTTAGTAGAGATGGGGTTTCGCCATGGTGACCAGAGTGGTCTTGAACTCCTGGCCTCCAGTGATCCACCTACCTTGGCCTCCCAAAGTGCTGGGATTACAGGCATAAGCCATTGTACCTGGCCAACCATATTCTTTTTATACCTTTGTTAATGTGGTGAATTACTCTGGTTGGCTTCAATATTAACCACCTTCCATTCCTGGAATAAACCCAACATGACATGATCTTTTTCATGTGTCTCTGAATAAGGTTTTCCAAGATTTTGTTCAGGATTTTTGCAAAGAGGTTCGTGAGAAAGACCTTTTAATTTTCTTGTCTATTAATGTTCTTGCAACTATTAGGGATCAAAGCTATGCTGACCTCTTTCCTAGTCTCTGAATTTACGTAAGATTGACATTATTTCTTCCTTAAATGTTTGGGAGGTTTCATGGTGAAGCCATAAGGCCCTGGCATTTCTTTTAAGGAAAAGATATAAATTATAGGTGATTGAGATTTTCTACTACTCTCTCCTATGTAAGTTTAGCACGTTACATTTTTCTAAGATTTTGACCATTTCATCAATATTTTCTAATTTATAGCACAAAGTAGTAATATATAATATTCTCTTACTATTGCTTTAATAATTATGAAATCTTTAGTGATGTACCCATTTACAAATTCCTGATACAGGTAATTTTGCATTAGCTTTTCTTGTCAGATGTTTTGAATTTTAATAGTCTTTTAAAAGAACAAACTCCATGCAGAACTCCTTTAAATAGTCTTTTCACTGCAAGTATCCTAGGAAAAAACATCTGGTTTTGTTGGACTCAAAGCATCTTTCTTTTGTGTTCACCTTTGAAGGGTATTTTCACCAGGTACAGCACTTTGAAGCATATTTTCATGAGGTAAAGGAAAGCAGGTGTTTTCTTTCAGCATTTTGCAGATGCCACTGCATTGTCTTCAGGGCTTCCATCATTCTTCTTGAGAAGAAAGATGTCAGTTTTGCTCTTCCTCCTTGGACATTGAGGTATCTTTTTTCTTTTGGGTGCTTTTAGGATGCTTTCTCTTTCATTTCCAGCAGTTTTAACCTCATGTGTCTGGGTGGTTTTCTTTGTACTTATCTCACTTGGGGTTCTTATTGTTTCTTGAATCTGGGCTTGACATCTTTTATCAGTTTTGGAAATTCTTGATCATTATCCCTTCCAATATCACTTCTGCTCTTTTTCTCCCCTTTTGGGGACTCCAATTACACATGAGATTTTTTTATTCCATCCCATATGTTTCTTATGTCCTTTTCTCTATTTCCTATCCTTTTTCTCTGTGCTTCAGTTCAGATATTTATACTGACTTGTCTTCAGTTCTTTAAGCCTCTCTTAAACTGTTTAAGCTACAGCTAAACTTTATTGAGTCTTTAATTCAGGTATTTTATTTTTAAGTCATAAAATCTCTAACAGATTCTTTTTTATACATTGTGGTTTTCTGCTGAAATTCTCTACCTTGTCACTTATTTTGTTGACAGCATTAATCTCAGTTGTTTTAGGGTCTATGTCTAATAATATCAATATCTGAATCTTCCGTGTCTGTTTCTATTGTCTATTTTTTCTCTTGGCTTTTCATCATTTGGTATTATCTATTTGTATGCCTGGTTTTTTGTTTTATTTTATTTTATTTTAAGATGGAGTCTTGCTCTGTTGCCCAGGCTGGAATGCAGTGGCGCGATCTCAGCTTACCACAACCTCTGCCTCCTGAGTTCAAGTGATTCTCCTGCCTCAGCCTCCTGAGTGGCTGGGACAACAGGCACACACCACCATGCCCAGTTGATTTTTGTATTTTTAGTAGAGACGGGGTTTCACTATGTCGGCCACCCTGGTCTCGAACTCCTGACCTCGTGATCTGCCTGCTTCGGCCTCCCAAAATGCTAGGATTACAGGCATGAGCCACTGCACCTGGCCATGCCTGGTATTGTTTAAAGTTACTATATAACGTTGTATTTTTTAAAATGTGGCTATAATTTAAGGATCTAGATGGTGTAATTGTCCTCCAGAGAGTATTTACTTCTGCTTCCAGAAGGCAGTTAAGATAGGGGAAGAATATCTAAATCCAAACCCATGTTTCTATGGGTTTTAAGACTGAAGAAATAAAAGACTTCCTTAAGATATTTAGGGAGAATATTTTAATCATCTAATAGCTAGAAAAGACATTTTAAGGCAGGAAACAAAACAAAATCTTAAAACACAACACAAACATGTAAAATTTCTCTTCAGTAAAAGATAACTATTAATATGACATTAAAAGATAAAAAAGGTAATACAATTACATATGAAAAAATGTTAAAAAGCACAATATATCAATACTTCTTACAAAACATAAACAGACTAACACTTCAAAAGAAAAGCAGGCAAAGTATGTAAGTTTCCACACCGACACACAAGAGATAAATGGCCTATAATCATACGAAGAAGTGCTCCACCTTACTGATAAAGTAAAACAAGATATTATTGTTCACTTACTTGATCTTCAAAAATTATAGACAGTGTCAAAATTCTTGGAAAATAGTACTGTAAGCGGGAGGGCAAACTGAAGGGCAATGTGTCTATCAAGTTTTTCGACATGCTGGAACAGGTCAAATACATTTCCTTTTCTAGGACTCCATTTTCCTTCACTAGGAATCAATTTGTAGAAGATCTCAAGACGGGCTCACTCAACTCCATCCTCATCTCCTTGTAGGGCGACTTATTGAACTATAAGGGACTGGGAAGCTAAAGGGTGTACTTGGCAAACTCCTTTAAAGCTTGGCTCATCAAGTGGCCTAGCTTCTGTCAAACAGGCCCCTTCTCAGAGGATCTGGAAGGTGCAAGGGAGTGTAAGGCTTCCCTTCTGCAGCTTCTCCTGGTAAACATGGCTGGGAAGGCATTCGCTGTTCTGTGGCAGGGGAGCAGAGGTTCTGGGGTCTGTTCCACCGTTTTCTGGTCAGTATGGGGCAGGCACAGAGTGTGCTTTTCTGGCATGGACTGCACCTGTGGCAGTGTAGTCACCAGGCTGATCCTAGATCTTGGTAGCAGTGGCAGTCCTGGGTAAGCACTTAGAGAAAGACTTCCCGATTCTGGCAGAAACAGAAGCTCCTTTAATGGGCCAACTTTCAGATGCTCTGGGAACCTTTCCTGGAAGCTCAGTGCAGCCTAGACCTTTCTCCAGCCCTCAGTACCAAAATCCCTGTATTAAATTCCTTTCTGCTTAACTACAGTCATCTCTGATACTTACAAATGAATCTTGATATACCCTTATTTAAAAAGTAGCCCCTTAAGTGGTCAAAAATTTGTATCAGTATCTTCACTGTATTATTTTTTGTAATAAGTTAAATCCAAAAAAACCTAACTTCTATCAGTAGAACAGTGGCTAAATAAATCACCACATATTATGTAATCTTTTATAAAAAGAATCGTTTCTGCAAATATTAAAATTTGAAAACATATTCCTTCATTCATTTAATATTTATTGAACTTCTACTATAATGTGACCATGTGCCAACCAGTGTTACAGACAAGAGATAAAACAGCAAGCAAAATGAACAAAAATATCTGACCTCATGAAGCTTACATTCCGATGATAAAGTGAAATAAGTATTGGAATAATGCATAGTGCAATCCAATTTACAAAACACATACTCTACACACACACATACACACACGGACACTAATATGTGTAAAGAAAAACATCTAGAGGGATACACAGCAAACCATAAGCAGTGGTTATTTCTGGGGCTCATCTACCTGCATTGGAGAGACAGCAGCTGCTGGAGCAGTCCTCACTGGTATCCCACTTAGGGGACTTCTGGGGGTCTTATGGACAGAAATATTCTGTCCAGCTCCACCTGCCAAGAAAAAACATGGGAACATTTATATGTTGTTCCACTTCAAAATAGCATATACTTGTTCCTGATTTCTTGTTACTTTTTTTGGTGGCTTAAGGAGTATCCGTGTTTAGTGTAATATTTACTCTATTATCCTTTTCTTCTCCGGACTAGAGCTGCTTTGGGGAAACAAGAAGGGAAGATTTAGCTGAGTGGAGGTCAGTCTTAGATGAAGGATAGCTGAGCAAAAAGAAACTGTATAAATAATGAGATGCCTAGAGAAGGAAGGAACAGAAAAGTTCTTGTACAAATTGTTAATTCATTTCCTGTCTTCACAGACATGAAAGGCTTTCATGTCTTTGAATATGTAGAGTCTAGTCTTAATCTAATTTAGGTGCAAACAATTTTAGCAGAGACAACCAGGTACATCCTAGGATTAACTTTTACTACAGTCTCCCAATACAATGGCATGTTTGTTGCACTCTGGGGAAGAAAGATATTGTTACTGTAGACAGATGCACATTCTGTTTCTTCTATTTGCTATGTTTATGTGTACAGTATATGTATGAAGTATAGCTACGCATCTTTCTCATATAGGAAGATAAGCATGACTAAAGGGGAATTGTGAGACCATCAGACAACACCAGGAAAAGCTGGGAACACACCTAGATCAGGAGTGACAGATTAGCACAGGTGCTCACGTACAAGACCAGGTAGAAAAACGTCTAGCAGGTTGCAAGATGGGGATGGCCAGGGGTGCCTCCAAGAGGGCCAGGTGCAGAGATGTGATGTCTCGTTTCCTAGGAGATGAAGTCTCCAGCTGACCCTCATAATTCTCATGAGATGACAAAAAGGCAAATAGTAGTGACCTGAATTTAATGGCTATGAGAGGCAGAAAAGAAAGGTAGCAAGGCAGGAACTGGATGGAAGGAAGCGGTAGAGAGGAAGAGGCTGCATTTGTGTTATTCATGAGCCAGGCTCTCCATCAGTGCCTCCCTGGAGCCTCAGCCAGGCTCCTGCATGCAGTGGCTGCACGTGGTAGGACCTGGAAAGCGCCCTTGTGGTTGTAACAACACAGGGCCAGGGTGGAGTAGAGATAGTAGACATATCAAATGTCGGGCCAAAGTTTGAATTTGGAGCTTTGCTTATAGAAAAAATGATTAAATACCTGGGCGTCCCAAGTCAAATGACTTGATAAGTGACTTAACGGTGGTTGCCGACTCTGGGGGTGTTGGAGATGTTCTGCTAACACAGACACCAGGCCACCGACCAGCAGCATCGACCTCAGAGGACTCTGGCTCTTCATCCACAGGTCTGCATGGCAAAGAGCAAATCAGATTGAAAAGATGGAGGACATCCCCATGGGAGAAAAAGACACAGAGGAAAACAGAACTGATGTGGAGAAAATAAATGAAGCTGGAAGGGAAATTCTGAATTTAACATCCTGTTTTCTCTACCAGTTTGCATCTTTAGGAAATAATGTAGGCATTGCTCTCAATTTTTAGAAGAGCTGTTTTCTTGGGAAATGGTCAGAAATAATTATTTTTATATGTAGAGTGACTTGATATTAGCTCTAAATAAAAAGTGTGTATGGCTACTCTGCAAATTGTGCATTTTTTGTGAAAAAATGCAAATGTTATTGACCATAAATATTTCACCTACTGTCAATGGTGAATGCAGTGGACCGGCTGCCGACATGTGCTCCAACCCCCATGCAGTACACAGAGTTTGGAAAGATGAAATCTCACAGCTCTCCTACAGCTGGGATTTTGGGTGTGATTTAAGTTCCACCAATCAGAAAGACTTGGGCAAGACCTGGAGTGGGACCTGAATCAGAGGAAGAGAGGCAGGGCACCGGGCATTCACTATGTAGACAGAGACTGTAGCAGAGACAAGATGCTATGGTGCTGGCAACTGTGGTGGCAGCTTTCCAACTGGGTGGGCAGCTTTCTGAAGTTAAGGCTCCTGTCCTGGTGGAGGGAGCAGGTTCCCTGGTGGTCCAGTTGTGTGTGGAGACTTTGGGAGCTGCTCCTGGAAGCTCAGCCTTCCCAACAATTCTGCAAACCATTTAACACCTTTCTGCCTAAGCCAACGAGAGTGCAATCCATTATACACAACAGAATCCTGATTCAGACACTCTGACTTCTAAGCATAAGAATGGTAACAGCACTCTAAAATCACACTGCAATTCTGCATGAGGTGAAGCTCCTGCTCTCACCCAAGTTTCCTGGTGTGTTCTTCATGAGGCTTCTAGACTCATAGAAAGCATTCTATGATAGATCATTGACCCAATCCTCAATCCTCTCAATGCATGGCTTCCTCATATAGGGGACTTTGGCATGTCATGTGATCTCCCTGTGAAGGAGCCAAGACAAGAACTCCCAACCTTCTCATTGCTAAATCACTGCTCTCTTCATTGTATCATATTGCCACAGCTGTTTTGCAAGATGACTAATTTATGATAATAGTTCAAACAGAATGTTTCTGGAAGTATATTTCAATAAGGTCGGTGGAAGTTTAAAATAAATCAGTAAATAAAATAGTTATTTACTGATCATTTTCAAATTAATCTAGCTACTACTCATAAGCTTCTCCAGTTGAATTTGTCTTTAATTCTCTAAGCTTTCTTCTGTTGCTCTGTAAATAACATGAATAGAATAAATTTAAGAGAAACAGAACTTAAAACAGTTAAACCACACTGCCTTACAATCTTCACTCCACAGTCCCTTCTTATGAGTGAAAAAAAAAATCAGTAAACTGAAAACTTCATTGGAAGAAATTATCAGGCACTTCAGAAATTGTAGGAGGTTGGGTTTTTAAAATAATTTTTAAATAATTTTATTGAGAGGAACTGGTTTTCATACTTTCCCATACAATAAAATCAGGTGGCAAAAATGCAGAAAGAAAAAGAAATCAGGTTAGGTTTGAGCAGAAAATAATTTCCTCGGTCTGTGCTAGCCATTCTCATGAAGGTCATCAACAAACAAAATGGGCCACCTTTTTTTTGTTCTGAGACAGAGTCTCGCTCTGTCGCCCAGGCTGGAGTGCAGTGGTGTGATCTTGGCTCACTGCAACCTCTACCTCCCAGGTTCAAGCGATTCTAATGCCTCAGCCTCCTGCGTAGCTTGCTGGGACTACAGGCAAGCACCAGCACACTTTGCTAATCTTTCGTATTTTTTTTTTTTAGTAGAGATGGGGTTTCGCCATGTTGCCCAGGCTGGTCTCAACCTCCTGAGCTCAGACAATCTGCCTGCCTTGGCCTCCCAAAGTGCCAGGATTACAGGCATGAGCCACTGCGCCTGGCCACCTTCTTACCAGTCCATTTAAATGACTCAGTACCAAAGGCCCCCAAGGACAATCATTTTAAATAATTCATTTTACATTTCATTCTTTGATAATTTAATAAGAACAAAATGGAGACGCCTACATTCTGCTGAGGTTATTCCTTTCAGTTATCTAAATTTATCTGCAATTCAAAATATCAAATGATAAATTTAAAAAGCAAGGCCACAAGAATCAATTACCTCAGGCTTCAGGTATCCAAAGATGGTATTTCAAACACTAAGTCTACTTGGCCAGAACAATAAGAGTCAGTATGAGAAAACCCTGTATAATTTGAGAAGAGAAATACCCACTGTGTTATGTAACAGTGGTATGTGTGTGTGTGTCTGTGTGTCTCTCTGTGTATGTGAGAGGGATTCACAAAACATAGCCTGAATTGAATAACCAAAGAAAATGGTTATTAAGAATGCTATTGGCTTATTAGTATGTACTTAAATCATAAATGAGGCTGAAAATCCTTACACCAGCCTATTTTAGAATTGGCTGGGATCAATTAGTAACAGCCTCAGCCATAAATGAAGTCTTACATTTCCTCTGTTCCAAGGAAGAATAAAAACTCTGTATTCTATAATGAATATTAAGAAATATGTAAGTATACAGCCAGGTATGTCTTAGCATTAAATAAAAGAAAAACTGCAAGGTACCACTACTGGAGAAACACTTGTTCAAGGCTTGCTACTGCCTCTAAGGCTGATGTTAGGTTCTAAAATCAACCTGCAAAGTAATAATCACACATGTAGTCAAATAAACCATGAAAATAATTTGAGTCACTCAAAAGTACATGCTTTTGTAAACATGACTGTTTACAAACACACCAACTCTCCAGAAGTCTCACATACTTGCATTCCCTCCAGCATTTCATGATTGGCTCTTTCTTCAGTTACATCACACATTAAATAGGTGCTTAGTGTTTAGGGGCCATGCTTAAAACAACAAAAATGAAGCAAGTATTCTACCTGCTCCCAGCATATAAAACTGGGATAATAATCGATAATTTCAGCAAAACAAATATGAATGTGTATAACTCCACTGTATATGCCAAGCACAGTACCATGTGTCTTAAAAGCATTATCTAATTTAATTTTCAACAAAACTAGATATTATTATCCCTTATTTTAGAGGAAAATTTGACCATGGTCACATGATTCATGAATGGTGAAACTGGGGTGCAAATCCAGCTCTGGCCACGCATTTCTCAAATTTTCTATAATGCATAAATGTTCTGTGAGAGATATACAAGGTTCTAGAAATAATACTGATGGTATTTCTTCCTAAATTTTAAGTACATTTAAAAAATACTACCAAGTTATTTCAGTGTTCCTATCTTTATACAATAATCTGCTCTTAAAAGGCGGCAACCCATACTAGAGAACAACAGTTGCAGGCCAGATACTAGAGAACAACAGTTGCAGGCCAGACCGCCTGATGCTGTGTCACACACAGCAGGTGATGCACACTCCATAAGCAGACAGTGTCTCCATGGAGCACAGCAAGGCACATGGCCCTCCTCACTGAATGTCGGTCTGCCTTCCATGCCTCACCTTGTCATTTAAGCACATATACATACATGTCTCTAATTATTTCCCTTTAAAACTTTTATTTAACCTCTCTAATTTGCTGCTTTCCTTGTTATGTTAGAGAACAGAGTTTTCAAATGTCAGTCATGGTCTACAGCATTTACTTCCTAAAAACAGCACTTTATGTCATTGTTCATTCTGATCCAGGAACAGGTGAGCTCCTGTACATGATGATTTTTAAAGTATTCAAAGGTTAACTCCATTTGGGTAGTGTTGTATGGCACCACTGCTACCTTCACAATTGGCAGATTAATATTTGTGAAGAGGGCGGGTCGCATGTCAACCACATGCTCACGCCTGCCGGTCTCTTTACTGAACACCTGAACAAAGCCCAACCCCAGGTCTTTCAGTTAATCTCCCAAGACTCCCCTCTGCCCATCTAGTTTTGGACTATTCACCTGAAGTTTTTTACTTTTATGCCCTGCCTCTGTGCCTTTGCTCATTCTATGCCCTTGCCTGGAATGTAATTTTTTCTAAATACTTATTTTGCATAAAACAAATCTAACAGAAGTTTTTCACTCTATTTGAAGACAGAAATTATGAAGTACTTTGTCTCTTAGGTGTCAAACAATATCTTCTAAATTTCACTTTCAAATTTCAGTAAAAGCATATATAACAATAAAAACAAACAGGATAAGAAAGTAATTTGAACACCAGCATCATAATCTACAAATCCCAACAATAAGAATCAAATAGTAAAAGTCCTGTAGTCGAGTATCATTGACGTGGCTTAGATTCTGAAGAATTTCTGCTAATAGAGAGTACACGGTCGGGGGAATGAAAATACAATACCAAGGGCTTTCCCTCAATTCCCTTCCAAAGAAAATGGAGATATGGGAAAACCCCAACTAATGTCCCCCACCCTAGAGGGCCAAGGCTGGAGAGGAGCATGAGAAGCCCAGAGAGATGCACGGCGTTTTGGCAAAGGATCAGGAACAAGAAGAATTTACATCCGAGAAGGCCAAGGTTGGTTTACCCTAGGCATAAAGGGCAGTAGTGACAAGGGGCAGGATAGGAAGAGCCACAGTGTGCACCTAAAATGGATGAGGGGCACGCAAAGAGATCCAGAGAGCTGGCTCTGCGTTCCAGGCTCACCAGGCAGAGAAGAAACTGGGTACAGGTGAATTTCCCAACTAGGCACTCACCCTTCTCTACTCTACCTGGGCTTCTGTACCTCCAAGTATGTAATACAAATGTACCTTCAAGAGCCTCCCAACACGTTTAAGTCATGAGAAGAAGATCAGAAGCACTGTCAGGCAAAGGCAGTGGATCTGAGCAGAATTCAGACACGGACCTGGGGCAAACGTCAGGCCCTGCCACACCTGGATCTGCTTCAGCAAGAGAAGGTGACAGGCAAAATCATGCCCTGCTCGATGCAAACAGTTCATAATACAAAGTGAAGGGGAAACTGCACTCAAGAGAGGACTGGCGTTTGTAAATTCATGACTGGAAACAGAGTTCAACACTGATACTGTCTGCCTTAAAATTCAATAAAATAAAAATTTTAAATGAAAGGATGAGTTAAAAGTAATATAAGCAATCTAATAATCTATGAATATTTTAAAGCAGAGCTAACTCAAAAGAGAAAGAAATGGGAGCACATCTAGGGCAGGTCTCTCTGAATGTGGATGACATAAACCATGTAAAGGTGGGATTTCAATTCAGTGGACAAAGGATGACTCTGGTAATAAACAGTGCTACCCAGTGGGAGAAAAAGAACCACACCTCACATCAGATTAAATAAAGAGAGGTGGATCAAATGGCCTGCATATGTGTGTGCATCAAGTAGATGAAGACATTTAATAGCACATTTGTATAATACTGGGGAGAAGGAATCTTAAAAAAAAGAGTAAAGGAAAACACTAACAGTTTACATAAAAATATAAAATTTTCTATGATAAAGATAAAGCCATATCACATGAAAAATATGATAAAGGCTCATAATATAGGGGATACAACCGTATCCCTAATAAAATACTGACTTATAAGCTGATGAGAAAAAAACAATCAGCTCAGTGAAAAAGCAGGGAAAAGTTGCAAAACTAGTAATTCTTAGAAGAGAAAATGCAGTGGTTAGTAAACATACAAAGATGTGCTTAGAAAGGGCTGGGCATGGTGGCTCATGGCTGTAATCCCTGCACTTTGGGAGGCTGAGTTGGGAGGATCACTTGAGCCCAGGAGTTCGATACCAGTCTCTCTGTGCAACACAGTGAGACCTCGTGTCTACCAAAAAAAAAAAAAAAAAAAAAAAAAAAAAAAATTAGCTGGACATGGTGGTGTGCCCCTGTAGTCCCAGCTACTCAGGAGGCTGGGGTGGGAGGACTGCTCAAGTCCAGGAGGTTGAGGCTGCAGTGAGCCATGACTGTACCACTGCACTCCAGCCTAGGTGACAGAGTGAGGCCCTGTCTTTAAAAAAAAAAAAAAAAAAAAAAAAAAAAAAAACTCAGCGAAATGCAAATTAAAGTGCTAATAAGATAGTATTTTTTGATTATCCTATTGGCAAAAATATGATCAAGGCTCTCCACTACTGCTCAGGATGTATACAGATGGGCATGTTCAAGAGTGAAATGTCACAGCACTCAGGTGAGTAATTGGAGACATCTATTAAAATAAAAATGTGCATATACTTTAGAGCAGCAATAGTATTTTGAAAAACCCATTCTATAAAAATAAAACCACAACTACATAGGACTATATGAATAAGGACTGCTATTATAGCATTACTCATAAAAAAAAAATTATAACCTTGTTGTGCATTAGTAAGACAATATTTTAATATTCCAGGACATATCCTTCCTATGGAAGGTCATGTTGCTCTTAAAATAAGATAGATTTCTATGTATTGACCTGGAAGGATGCCTATGATATGATAAAATAAAAAGGTGCAGAGTACTGAAAAGAATATAATCCAATTTTTATTAAAAATATGAAAATGAACCCTATACATATTCATGAGTAAAGAAAAATGTACACACTGTTAACACTGATTTCCTCACAGGTGGTACTGAGGGAGAAGAAAGATTAATATTTTTCTTCACACGTCTCCATTTTGTTATTAGTATACCTAAATAATACTTCATAATTAAGAAAAAATCCAATACATTAAATCATCAATCTATTCATATTTAAATGTCAACAAAACACATCTAGACTTTAAGTCCATGCTATATTTTCTGAGACCCTAGAGTTTTAAAAATTTATGCAAAATTAGCATTTTTACTCCATGCCCTTTTGTTCTACTAATGAAACTGTTCATATTCCATGTCAACCTCCTATTTACAACTTACATCCAGCTTTTTTCTACCTCAAATTCTAGTTACTTGATGTGACTTTGAAGTTCTGAAACTGTATTCAGAAAAAAATGTAGAACAAAACGACATAAAGGCCCTGCAGAAACGTAGCTGGTGATTAAAACTAAGCAGCAGACGCTTCTATATAATAACATGTTTATTTTGCACTTCATAAATGCTTACAGATAAAAATATTCAACAGTACCTAACGACAGGTCAAAATATAGGGTGCAAATACAGCAGTGCCTTTTAAGTTGAAGTTGCAGTTTTCTTATTGTTTATACTTGAAAACATCCAGCAAATGAATTTTAAATAATCCTAAGAACTCTGAATCTGAGGTAAAGAGTGCCCAAAATATAAATTTCAGTCCTATTCACAAGTATCTAAGTAAATTTTACAGAGAAGACCTCAATGTCTCTTCTCACGCCAAGCTAATTTTTCTAATGATTCTGTGCTGTCCAGTTTGACACCCCAAAAGATCTTCCTGAGTTTAAAGAGCATTCCTGTTCCTAATTTTCCTTTTATTAGACAGTAACTTTTGTCTTGTCTCATCCTTTGGATAACGTCACTAATGGCTCCATGCTGTGTACACTGTGAACCAGTTCCTCATGTGAGGATTGCAGAAGGTTTCTGCCTGATGGAGGTTGCTGAATTGGATTTGGATCTTCACAAACACACATATTTCCAGAAGTTTAAAATCACATTTTGAATTGTGTATCACTCTGATTTGAACACTAAGTTTCTGGGGTGAGTTTCATCCATGAAACTTTGGTGTAGTTGTCATTCAATCGTTTTCCATTAGATTTCTATTGCCATTGTCACCGTGCTTACCTATCCGGCTTAATAACATCCTTTATGATCAAACTTCTACTTATGTTTAACCCAACAAGATTCTGGAAATCAACCCAAAGCTTGGAGGCACCTTGTTTCAGACGAGGTAATGAAGTCAGACTCCAAGTGAAGGGGCTCAATCAAGACCCCACAGAAGGGGCCAGACATGGGGTCTCAAGCCTGTAATCCCAGCACTTTGGGAGGCTGAGGCGGCCAGATCACTTGAGGTCAGGAGTTCGAGACCAGCCTGACCAACATGGTGAAATTGCATCTCTACTAAAAATACAAAATTAGCCAGGAGTGACGGCACATGCCTGTAATCCCAGCTACTTGGGAGGCCAAGGCAGGAGAATAGCTTAAACCCAGGAAGCGGAGCTTGCAATGAGCCAAGATCGCACCACTGCACTCTAGCCTGGGCAACAAGAGTAAAGCTCCAACTCGCCGAACCTTCTGACTTCTTCGGAATGTGACATCACGCAGATGGCTTCCTATTTTGCCTTGAGTAATGTGAATTCCAAGATGATCAGACACCACGATCAAAAGGAAGCAGAGAAATGAACACCAAAAAGTAGAACTTGGGCCTTAGGTTCTGGGTGCGGTGGCTCATGTCTGTAATCCCAGCACTTTGGGAGGCTGAGGTGGGGATCACCTGAGGTCAGGAGTTCAAGAGCAGCCTGGCCAACACGGTGAAACCCCATCTCTACTAACAATACAAAAATTAGCTGGGTGTGGTGGCAGGCGCCTGTAATTCCAGCTACTTGGAAGGCTGAGGCAAGAGAATCACTTGAACCCGGGAGGCAGAGGTTGCAGTGAGCCGAGATCGTACCATTGCACTCCAGCCTGGGCAACAAGAGTGAAACTCTGTCTCAAAAAAAAAAAAAAAACAAAACAAAACAACAACAACAACAACAACAAAAAACAAAAGAACTCGGGCCTGCGCTGTACCCAGCTCTGCATCTGCTCTGCCACTGTGCCCTTTTCAGCACTCCAGCTGCAAATAACTTTTCATAAGACTTGTACTTTGTTTTTTTCAGAACTTCATTTTATTCTCCAAATAAAAGACAGCTCAATCTTCTGAGGAAAAGTAAAAAGAGGGAAACATCATCTTTGATCATGCAGTAAGCTGATCCCAAAATGTGGACAAAAAGCAGAGACTCGACGGCAATGACTCTGAGAAACAGAGAATGTCACAAGGAGACAACTGGGCTCTTTATAAAGAGGCAATTTCTCCTCTACACATTCCCCCTTTCATCTAGAGATGGCTGCGGCTCCCAATCATGGCAAGAGCTGGGCTGTCTTTCTTCCACCAAATGCTCTGCTAGCTGACAGAGCCCAGGGAGCTGTGAAAATAGAAACGGGAGGGAGAGGCTGTAAAGGAGTTACCTAAGGCAATACAGTCTTAGTTCACAAACGCAAGAATTTCCAGCTTACACTGTCCCACAGGGAAAAGCTAATGTCCAGGATAGGCCAACAGATTTTAAGTCCTACTGTTCCAATTTTTTGGAAGCCAAAGGTTTTCAGACATAAAAAAAAAAAAAAAAAAAGCCAGACTGCAAATGCCTGTACTAGGCTCCTCCACCAGAACTTCTCCAGCAAAGAACTGTGTGGTGAAGCAGAGATGTCCAGGATGAACACCATAGGCCCCTCCAGAATTTACAGAGGCTCATGCTTCTCTCTACTGTCAAGGCCAAAAACCTTCTTGCTTTTATAACTGCAACCTAAAAATCCTAAAGGCCTAAGGGAAGCTTATGTCCACATTGTTGAAATCTGTAAAATCAGGGGTCAGAGAACAGGGAGGCAGACACAGCTCTTTAGAATTATAGACTGTGTGTCTAATGTCATAAATGTACATTTAAACTATGAAAAAAAGAGTACTAGGTGAGGGAACAGATAATGCTAGCTGGAATAAGAGCACATTGAGAGGACCAGGTTCTGCATCAAGGGCCAAATTAAATGCTGGAGACCCCTGTCCATCATGCCGTCATGGGTGCTAAGGTGAGGTCTGTTCAGAAACTGCTTAAGAATCCTCAGGAGAACAGCCCCCCTCCACCTGGGAGAGGGGCTCAGTATCAGAGCATCTGTGGCAAGACAGCTGGAAAAGGGACCTTAAAGAATCTATACCTCCAACTTCCGCCCCTCCCCTCTCCATGGTAGCTGGAGAACACATGCTGAGCGGCTGTGACCCATTAGAGCCATCAGAGCAACACAGAGGGCAGCACAGGCACACACAGTGACACTCAGGCTGACACGGATGTGCACACATGGAGTTAAGCCAATTCCAGTGGAGTCTGCACGTGCTGCGCTGCCACACTGCTCACCTCCAAGAGGGGACAATGCAAGAACTTGTGGTATAGGCAAAATGAAACACATTCGAATCACAGACATTCTATTTAGAAACCAACAGCATTAATTAGGCACAGATATTAAGTGTGTTTAATTATCTCTTTTAAAGACGTTTTCCATGGATGTTTATTGGTGTTATATGACAGACACAGTAAGAATCAGATAAGTCACCCTAAAAGTAATGGCATTTGCTGTTTCAGAACAAGAGGAACAAATGCCACAAACACAGAGGTCTTTCCCTGATGCTGCTTGAGAAGCCTGTGCCATGCACTGCTCACGAACCATGTCTTTCATTAGAAAGCTTGTATGCGGCACAATATATCATTACATTGAGCTGCCTGTGTTTTTTCTGTTTTTGCCAGGTCCCAGGACTCAACTTTTCAGGAAAAAGATGTGACGGGTTCATTTCAGTGAGAGTTTTCATTTCAAAGCCTTTTTCTCAATTGGTAGTTTTCAAAACTGGGAGGAGCCAGAGCTGAAAAAGTTATTATCTTTTCATCTATTACATTATATGTGTCCAATGAAACAGATCACTTTTAGGTCCCTAAAAACACACTGGCTTGTTCACATTTCTGGAAGAGAAAGAGCAGGCTCCCAAGCCACAACTAAGATATGGAGATGCCACTGTGTCAAAGAGGTTCAAGGCATTGCACCAGAATAACTCTAAGGCTGGCACTGGAGTTTCTTACTCTCCCACCAGGGAAAGGTCAGCTAACCAACCAGTCCAGAGAACAGCAGAGCTTAAAGAGACCTCAAAAACGACCCCCTCTTCCCACCTCTTTTAACAGAGGCAAGAGGCAGGGCTGAGAATGAGATGTTACTGGTTGGCTGCAAACATGACACTGGGAATGAGATATTGCTGGTTGACTGCAAAGATGAGGCTACCGCCTTCCTTCCCCACATACCTTAACATCAGTTATTCTGACTCTGAAATAAAAATATCTGTGAAAGTGTAACAGGACCGAAGATCATGGATGAGTTAGATAATATCCCACTGTTTAGTTACTGAGTTCCAGCAATGAATGCTGGTTTGCATTTCTGCCCAGGTGCTTCATCTCGTGCTTATCAGCCTGGCTGCAACCAACCCTGTGAGTGCCCACGGACGCAAACAGAGCTTAAGAACCAGGTAATCTCATGTCTGGATCCAGGTGCTTTTTGGGTGATCTTACCTTCTCTCAGTTGTCCTTGAGGACCTCGTCAGAGAATGCTCTGCAAGTTCTTTGGCTGTGGCTGAACCAAGAATGACTTTTGAGTTCTCACTAGATGACTGTCAAAGTCAAACTGAGTTTCAATCAAGAACTCATTCAGTCAAGATGGAAACACTAGGTGGCTTCCGGAGCTTTGAGGGTGTGAGTTGGTTTCAAGTCTTGCTCATGGGGTAGGTGCTGGAAGTGGCTGAACCACCAGCAACTAACTGCCATATAGTCAACTCTTTACAAGGGGCAGCTTGCCAGAGAAGTGCAAAATCAGACAAGAAACCAGCATCTCCGGCACTTGTCTGACTTCCTGCCAAATGCACTGACAGACAGAAACGTTCTGATGCCTGATTTCAGTACCATGACATGTTCTCATTGGTGTCCATTCTAAAATTTTGAAATGTTTTTTGAGAAGGGATTAAACTGTTAGATTGGGAGGTAGGTTTGCAAATCACTGGAAAATCAAAAAAGAAACATTCTGTGCTTAAAAAAAAACGTGACGTTAAGATTGAAGATGCAGGATGCAGCATAGGGAGTCCTAAACTGGC
Source organism: Homo sapiens (assembly GCF_000001405.40). NCBI lineage: Eukaryota > Metazoa > Chordata > Mammalia > Primates > Hominidae > Homo > Homo sapiens. Next base: position 20,234,112 of record NC_000017.11, on the reverse strand, counting down.
AGGACGTATGCGGAGATTTCCTAGAATATCAGGGTTCACGCTGCATGGTCTGGCCTGTGTCTCAGAATATACATAAGAAACATGGCATCTCATAGAAGAACCTGGCCTGTGTCTCAGAGTATACGTAAGAAACACAGCATCTCATACAAGAACCTATTCAGGGCCACCATAGAAACTCAGGACTTGTCTTTTACCATTTATCATTAAAATAACGTACATGTGAAGCAACACAAGTTCTGACTCGGATTTTCTTCCAATGACAGACAATAGGGAAGCAAGACAGAGGCAAACGAAACAAAAGCAGACACAGAGGCCACCCAGAACGGCCTCACTACTGTTTCAGTAGGGAACACTGTGAAACCTAGTTTTCCTATTCTCCCTCTACCTCCACTTAAAATTCACATCCTTTGGTGTCCAGAGGGAGAGCTCTGTCTATAAAGTAATGACCTTGTCTGGCGCATGTGTAGTCCTAGTTAGTCAGAAGGCTGAGGCAGAAGAATCTCCTGGGCTCAGTAGTTCGAGTCCAGCCTGGGCAACATAGTGAGACCCCCATCTCTAAAAATAAATAACTAAATAAAATAATGATCTCGATATTGATTTTTCAACAGTGAATTGTGGAGCTAGCTATATCTGATCTTCATCCTTCCCCAAAGGCCATTTTATGTAAAAGTTATAAACAAAGAAATAAGGAATTACTTGGAGCAGAATTGACAGGAGAATCACAGCTGAATTCTGAAAAATCTCCTCTTTCCAATGTCATGAAATTCATGATAACCAAACATCAGATCAAAAGGCTCAGGAGCTAGCCACTGATCTTGGAAACATGTAAACACTAGGGCCACCTGATCAACATTCAAAACCCAGGAAATTTGATCTAAAAAGACTATGTTTGATATTTGAGAGACACCTAAAAATTCAAAATCATTTCCTAATATCCAAGAATCTCAAAGTTAAGGACACTGATTCCTCATTGGGTAAATATAATATTAGCTAAAGCAAAAAATGCTGTTTATAAATTTGTCTGTAAACCATCTAAATTTCAGATAATAATTAACATTGCATTCACTTTGGGAATACCTTCCTCTTAAATGTCACTGTTAGTAGAGCTCCCTGGGCTGATACACTGTGTGCTTCTCCCCATCAAGAGCAGAAGGGAATGTCACACATCAGCCAAATGCATGTTTTCTACTCTCATCCTTTTTTAATAAAATAGGTTATGTCAAGGCCTTTTGACGTAGCTCATGGGTGTTCTCAATAAGCAGGCACATCCTTGGGCCCAGAGGAATGTGTCCTTCTCCGGCGGCTCCTCCCCTTGGGAGTGATTCCAGCTTCTCCCACTGCATGGGAGTGACCTGTACAAGGTGGTGGATTCGTATTTATTAGTGTGCACTCCCCTGCATTAATAAATACTAAGATTCAGGGAGCATTCTAGACAGGACTTCTATTCTTTAAGCCTAGCAGGATACTTGGCTAGAACTGGCCCTTCATATGTAAGTGAGGAGCTTAGCAGCCTCTTATGCTGCAGCATGGCAGGGACTGGGTACTGTACAGAATGTTCCTAGTGGTAAGGTGGTGCTAGTAATTCAGGGTGATCTCAGAAAGGAAATAGCAGAACCTGGCACAGACATGAAGAGTCCCATCCCCACCAGGGAGCCCCATACATAGTGATTGAGAAGCAAGCACGGCCCTGGTGCCCACCAGACTCACGGAGGGGCGGCTCTGCTGGTGACCACCCTGCCGTGGCCCTGCACATCCCCCAGCTCCTTCTGCAACCGGGCATTCTTCTCCTCCTCCTCCAGCAGTTTCCTCTTCACGGTGCGCAGCTCCTGCTGGGCCTCACACTTGATGTCATTGGCCACCACCACTGCGGTCTGCAGATCCGCCTGGAACCGCCTCCATTCCTCGGTCTCCTCCTGAAAATGTCAGAGCCCATCCTTATGTCAGACGCCTGCCAGGGCCAGTGCCTGGGCAGGGACCCCAGAGTCCCCGTGTTGGTCACCAAGAAAAAAATGCCATCAGTGCTTGGTGAGGCCCTGCTTACACGGTGGCTCACTGCTAGGAAAAGGCACTGGTGGAATTACACCTTCAGGTTATGAGAATTCTCCATCCTGACACCAAATGACTCCTTTGATTTTACTTCCTGCCAACAAGAATTTACAGTTCCAGGGCCCACCATGCCGTGGAAACGTTCCAAGAGAAAGCAGGATAGAGAGAGTGATCCACACCTCGGAGCGGGTAATTCATAGGAAGATGGTGGTGAAGGCTCCCACCCGCATCTCACCTTCATCTGCTTGGTCAGAGTCTTCAGCTGCCTCTCCAGGTCTGACTTCTGTTCCTCCAGCTTGATCACACTACCTAGAAATAAATAATTCAGACAGGGCTTAGAAAAGCTGTGAGACTCTTAAGAGAAGACACGCTAGGTAGCAAAGAAAGGGGCAGCTCCAGATGCCACAACAGGCATCCAAATCCATCCATTCTACTCTAAATGCAACTTTTAGCAATTTCAATTTACCCTGTAAACCAGGGAATGGACACAAGAGCCTCCTCTGAGATAAAGAACAGGATGATCTGGAAAATATGTGATGTGTATTGAGGTTACAGTCTCAGCAGACAGAATGCACAACCAAATAGCAGCACTACGGGAAGAGGCCTCCATGGCCATGCACACTTGCATACCGAGTCCGGCCTCCCTCGCACTCACACACAATCGTCCTAAGTGTCCTTTATTGCTGTGAGATAGAGGCTTTCACATAACAGAGCACATGAATGCTTATTCCTCCTGTGATTTGTAAAGCACTTTCTAGAGTCATGGGTCTCAATCACAGTTAAGCCTCTAAATCACTGGTGAAGCTTTTCAAAAGCACCGATGTTCTAGTCCCACACTCCAGACACCTGGAGGCAGAATCTCCAAGGGCAGACAGAACCCGGGGATGTGTGCATTTAACATCTTCCCAGGTGGTTGCCTGCCTCTCCCTACTTAAGGACACCTGCAGCCCCTTGTTCTCCTTGCCTCCAATTCTCTCCATCTGGCTATCAGAGTCATTCAAATTTAAATCTGATGGTGTCAGTCACTGAGCTGAAATTCCTCAATAGGTCCTCATGCTCTAACCTAGAGCATTAGCTTTCTATGAAGGATGCAAATCAGAATCACCAGAGTAGGCTAAAAAGATGCTGTGGGCAGGTCCTACCCCAGCAGTTCTAGTTCTAGTGGGACTGAGAGTTTGTGTCTGGAATCAATGCTGCACAGTAGAAAACACTCCCTAACTTCCTTTTATTTTCCAGTCCATTCCTTTCCCATCAGGATCTTATAGGAAGAAGTGATTGGTCTAGGCTGGATTTATGTGTCCCTAGGTCTCTGTGCAAAAACATATCTTAACAATACCTCAATATCCTTTTAAAAAGTTTAAAAGTTTTTCAAAAGATGGCTTGCATTGTTGTCAGTCTTGGATATATGATGATATAACCACAGGCATGTGTCTAAATTTTGCTGTGGACATTAATTATACACTGGTTTTCTTAGTGTGTCTGTGCTGACTTTTAAGGATTTAGGGACAATACAACCCTATTTTCAACAGCAAAATATCACAAAAACAAAAACAAAACAGAACTTGTCTTGACTTTTCTTCTCAATCATGGTGCTGGGTTTGGAAGGATACACTGATGATGATGGCGTCCAGGTTTTCAGTTGTATCCTGAGAACAGCCTGGATGGCACTGACACTGAACGCTGAGGTTCTGCAGTTCTACTACATGTCATGTTCAAGGAGAAATGGGGCAGGTGCTGTCAACTGTCACTCTAACCAACTAGTCAATGTCTGAAATACATAGTCAATTCTAATAATCATGGTAGTTGCAGAGAGTTGCCATGCACACCAAATCAGCAAACACCGAACTATTGTCTCTAGGAAAAATACAGGTTAGGTTCCTGCAAGCCTCTGGTCACAACATTCTCATCAACTAAAATGCCATTTGCATTATATAGACGTATCTGCCAATGTCTCTATAAACAAGCCAGGCTCATCAACCATGGAAACCCACTCTTTCCTTTTTTCCTCTTCCTGAATAACACTTAGCAAGTATTTTTAAATTCTTCTTCAGCCTCCTGATCTGCAGAACCTCCCCTGCCTGCAAGGTTAACCTTTCTCACACTTTATGGCCTTTTGAAACTTGGGAGCCAACCAGCACTAGCCAAGAAGGGGTTAACATTTTCCTGACCCTGGGTGATGTGAACAAATATTGCTTTGGTTTTCAGCCACACAACAATATTGCCCACAGCTTTTTAAAACTGGCTGTCATCTCACAAATCCATGAATTTGGCTGCTTTAGCACATCGCTTTAGCATGTCTCAGGGCAGCCTTATATACATATTGTCAAACTTCTCCCTTTCTCTGATGCACCGTATTGGGCTTTTTTGTTTGGTTTGGTTTTTTTATTTTTTTAGAGATGCAGTCTTGCTCTATTGCCCAGGCTGGAGTGCAGTGGCACAATCTTGGTTCACTGCAGTCTCAGCCTTTCAGGCTCAAGGGATCCTCCCACCTCAGCCTCCAGAGAAGCTGGGACTAAAGGCATGCGCCACCACACGTGGCTAGTTTTTATTTTATTTTATTTTTTTGTCAAGACAGGGTCTCACTATGTTGCCCAGGCTGGTCTCGAACTCCTGGGCTCAATCGATCCTCCTGCCTCAGTCTCCCAAAGTGCTGAGATTACAGGGATGAGGTCACTGCACTTAGCCTGATGCGCTTTGTTGATTCAATAACACCGAACTCACGCACAACGGGACAAGAGCTTGCGTCTGCATGAAGCTTCCCTAATACACGTGTTTTCTCTGTAGGTGCGTCTCAACCTCACTGTGCTTGGGGACAGTGGACAGCACTGCACTCAGGGCCATTTTAAATAGCAAAGTCACCAAAAACAAAAGCACAAAAATGTTAAAAGCATGGTATTAAGCAGACTGTAAAAAAGACACATGTACAGTATGAGAAGGCCAAGTGTCTCTGTCTGACCCGAGTTGGGAACATAAGCACTGGATGACACAACCTTTTCACTTCTCTGTGCATGTCTGAAAATGACTGTGGAAGTGCTCTGTGTATTGGTTTTGGGGTTAAAATACGTTTTATCAAGCAGATGAATTCACCAATGTGAAATCTGTGAATAAGGAGGATCGACTGCATGGGGTAAGGAACTTCTCAGGCAACTGACCAAGCTATTCTTAGTAATGGCTGGTGTGACTAAATGCTTTGTGCATTAAATCTTTTGTTACAAAAGAAAACACATTAGATGTGATAATTTGGTAAGGCTTATTTGGACAAAGAAGGTAATGTTTAATCTCTTTTAAAAATTTCTTTCCCAATTCAAAGCAAACTATGAGTTCATAAATAAGCCATATGCTGATGTCTCTTCAGCAACTAAGTGGCAAACATCTAGAAGTTACTTGATATCCTACCACCAATGGGACACATGCGGGAATTGTTTTCTCCCTTAGACCAAGAGCACACATTGTTCATCCACTCTGATACCTATCATCCATCTCTGTCAGATACAAGAGATAACACAGTGTCAGTACTTGATGACTGGCAAGCAATTTCTTCTGAATAACCTTCTCCTACCCTGCAAAATATCCTTAGGAAGGGTCCCTGTGAACTCTCACAGTCACAGCTAAAGTATCCTAACATGTGGCCTTCAAGCTGATCAGGCTGCCTGGAGACAGCAGCAGTAGCATGGCTCACACAAAACACATCCAGCACAGCCAAAAAACATTTGCAGCTCAATACGGTGGCTCACACCTGTAATCCCAGTGCTTTGAGAGGCCAGGAGGATCACCTGAGCCCAGGAGTTTGAGGCTGCAGTGAGCTACAACTGCACCACTGCACTCCAGCCAGGGTGATAGAGCAAGACTTCTTAAAAAAAACAAAATGAAAAGCATTTCTATTTTTCGCAATCACCTACACACTGCTGACTCATGTTCAACAGCCTGTTCTTCTGTCATCCCAGTTTTCAACTGCTATGATCATTGATCTCTTAATCTCTAGTTTTTAAACTGGAGATTAATGATTGTTTCTTAGGTGACATTCTTCCTAGGAGATTACAGCGCACTCAAATGAGAGACTTCATAAACCCCAGCCAACATACAGTCAAACCCACCCCCCCTCGTCACCCACTGCTGCTGGTTTCTTTAGTGTCCTACTCAGCTCCATTCCACATTTCTCCTGGGCTTGACCTCATTTGCTTTCTTTTGCAGTGGCGCAATCTCGGCTCACTGCAACCTCCGCCTCCTGCGTTCAAGTGATTCTCCTGCCTCAGCCTCCTGAGTAGCTGGGATTACAGGCGCCCACCACCACGCCCGGCTAATTTTGTATTTTTAGTAGAGACAGGGTTTCACCATGTTGGTCAGGCTGGGTCTCGAACTTCTGACCTCAGGTGATCCTCCTGCCTCAGCCTCCCAAAGTGCTGGGATTATAGGTGTGAGCCACCATGCCTGGCAGACCCCACTTACTTTCTAGCTCACTGATGAGTTGATTATTGTGTAACTTGACAGCCCGGTGCTGTTCCACCTGATCTTCCAATTCAAATATGGTTTCTTTCATGTCTTTGATCTCTGCATCACTCTCTGATGCTTTTTCTTGCAGCTTTAGGCTGGTTCTGCTCAGCTGTTCGGCTTGGTGATCACATATCTCCTTCAGGTATGAATAATCCTTTTCCACCTAAAATAAAAGGAAGGTTCCTTGGTCAGTTAACAACAAAAAAATTCCCACAGTGATCTGTACACTAGAAGGCCAAGCCCCACCATGATGCAATATACCCATGTAACAAACCTGAACATGAACCTCTTCAATCTAAAATAAAACATTACGAAAAGCTCCCCACAAGTCAGCAGCAGGCTCACGGACATAGTAGCAAAGACGCCCTTGGCATGTGCTGTTTCTTGCATTCTTAGCCTCAGAAACAGCCAAGGCTGTGAATAGTCAGAGAAACACGATGTATGCTTCCAAATGGCTGGATTCTGTGCCCCCTCCTACAAGCAGGAGGGAATCTGCACGTACTTAAATATTCCTCTTTCCCACAGCTGGGGAGAGCAGTGCTTCCCTGGGAGAGCAGTGCTTCCCTGGGAGGCACTGGCCCTGCACCAAGAGAGCTGCCTGGTGTGGCCACCCCCACCGCACATCTGCTATGGAGCAGCGCCCTCTGCTGCTGAGCTGTGAACAACAACCCTGAAGCCAGGCTAATCTGCACACCCCCAGGTTCCCTTAGAGATAAGATACTTGGGGCTGCAATGCTTCTTTAGAGGAAACTCTAAAGATTCTCTATCACATTCATGCTCTATCACAGCAAAAATGTGATAGAGAATGTCGGCGGAAGGCACACAAAAACGTACATACACAGAAGCAGAAAAGTGGCACGGCACAATCGCTTCATCTGTTCAATTTTTTAATTGTTAAACATTTTAAATACACAGAAAAGCACCAAAAATAATAATCATGCACCAAACAGACTTAACAATGGTTAAATGTTGTCACATTTGCAAAATCTTTTTACTTTAATAAGAATTTTTTAAAACCTCAATCTTCCCTCCTACCTCAGAGAGTAATAAGCATTATCCTAAAATTGGTATGTGGTCAATCCTTGAATGGTTTTTCACTTTTACTATATATGCATGTGTCCATGACAATACATAGTATTGTCCTTTTACACAATGCTACACTATATTGTGCTTTTGCAGTGGATTATACTGTATCTGTATTATTCTGCATTTATAACATGGTAATATGCTTTGTCCTCTACAATACTATGCTTACTATGCTCCTGCATTTTAACTGTGTTTTTGAAATGTATCCACACTGATACACATCATGCTAAGTCATTACTTTAATTGGTGCATAGTATTCCACTGTTTGACTATATTATTTTATTATTACAAAAATGCTGCAATAAACATCATTGTCCCTTTTCTACAGTCCTTTAATTAACATTACTAAATAGCTGTATATTTACCAGGTAATCTGGCGCTGGGGGTGGGGTTTCTTTGTATGAAATGAAATTTTTTTCCAATTACATTTCATGTGCAAAACCTTCTGGCTATAAGCTCTATGGGAATAGGGACCTTGTCTGTTTAATTCACCATTGCACCCCTAGTATCTACACAGCATCACACACAGGAGGCATTTAATGAATATTTGATGAATGATTGAATGAACACTGGGAGGCAGCACTGCAGGATCATTCACTGGGAAATTGTGACAAAGGATAAGGAAAGGAGGAGAGACCTGGAGACAGAACAACATGGCCAAAAAGGATCCTCCAGCAATGGCTTCCCTGCAGGAACACCAAATGGAACTGCTATCCACGTAAGAAAGCATCTTCATAAGAACCAAAAATCAGATGAACGATCACAGTGCCTGGTTTTAACACATCATATCAAGGAAAGATGCACCGGAGAGGGGAGGAAAGACCGTCTTGACTCTCCAACATCCCCTCTCCCTCATCCCTTGGCAGCAACCACATGGTAGAGAGACAGCATCTGTGCACCCCGGGGGAGGGAAAGCACAATGATTGTGAGATTGCATTGGAATTTGGTGCTGTCCCATCACAGCAGAAAGCAACACAGGACAGAATTCAGCCAGCACCCATAAAAGGAGCATTTAGACCAGCCCTAGCCAGAGGGGAATCTTCCATTCCAGTGAGAATCTGAGTTCTGGCAAGCCCTACCTCTGTGGGCTAAAGCACTTTGGAGTCCTAAGTAAATCTGAAAGAGGCTAGGCCACAAGGGCTGCAATTTCTGGGCAAGTCCTGGTGCTGTGCTGGGCTCAGACAGTGGACTTGGAGTGCACATGACCCAGTGAGACACCACCTGGAGCAGCCAAGGGAGTGCTTGCACCACTCTTCCCCCAACCCCAGGCAGCACAGCTCACAGCTCTGGGCGGAGAGGGAAGAGTAAAGAGGACTTTGTCTTGCAACTTGGATACCAGCTCAGCCACAGTAAAATAAAGCACTAAGCAGATTCCTGAAGCCCCCATTCCGGGTCCTAGCTCCCAGATAACATTTCTAGACATAGCCTGGACCAGAAGGAAACCCACTGTCATGAAAGGAAGGACCCAGTCCTGGCAGCATTCATCACCTGCTGACCAAAGAGTCCTTGGGCTTTGATTAAACATCAGTGGTACCCACACAGTACTCATCATGGGCCACACACTGTACCGGCTTCAGGTGTGACCCAGTGCATTCCCAGCTGTGGTGGCCACAGGGAGAGATCCCTTCTGCTTGAGGAAAGCAGAGGGAAGAGTAAAGGGGACTTCATCTTGCAACTTGGGCACAGCTCAGCCACAGTAAAATAAAGCACCAAGCAGGCTCCTAAAGTCCCCCATCTAGGCCTTAGTTCCTGGACAGCATTTCTAGACCCACCGTGGACCTGAAGGGAGAGATCCAGACCTGCTGACTAAAGAGAACTTGGGCCCTGAATAAACATCAGTGGTGCTGCCACAGGCTTGGGGTGGCGGTGGCCACTGGCAGAGATCCCTTTGGCTTGAGAAAAGGAGAGGGAAGGGTAAAGGGCTTTGTCTTCCAACTTGGATACCAGCTCAGCCACAATAAAATAAAGAACCAAGCAGACTGCTAAAGCTGCTGACTCCAGGCCCCAGCTCCCAAGTAGCATTTCTAGACCCACTCTGGGCTAGAAGGGAACCCATCACCCTGAAGGGAAAGATACAAGCCTGGCTAGATTCCCCATCTGCTAATTAAACGGCCCTTGGGCCTTGAATAAACATCAGCAGTAGCCAGGCAATAGTCACCACAAGTTTTGACTGAGACCCAGTGCTGGGCTGGCTTCAGGTCTGACCCAGCACAGTCCCAGTAGTGGTAGCCACAGAAGTGCATCACCCCTGCTCCAACTCCAGGCAGCTCAGCATGAAGAGAGAGACTCTGTGTGTTTAGGGGAAAGTAAGGAAAAGGAACAAGAGACTCTGCCTCATAAACCGGGAAATTCTCCTAGATCTTATCTAGGATCACCAAGGTGATACCTCAATGAGTCTGCAAGAATCACAGCATTACTGGGCTTGTGGTGCCCCCTAATGCGGACACAGCTGCAGTGACCAAAGGCTTAGATCCTAACACTCAATTCCCTTTGAATATCTGGAAAGTCTTCTCAAGAAAGACAAGTACAAACAAGCCCAGACTGTGAAGACTGAATAAATACCGGACTCTTCCATGCCCAGACATCTATGAACATCCACAAGCATCAAGACCATCCAGTAAAACATGACCTCATCAAATGAAGTAAATAAGACACCAGTGACCAATCCCAGAGTGACAGAGATGTGATCTTTCAGACAGAAAATTCAAAATAGCTGTTTTGAGGAAGCTCAATGAAATTCAAGATAACACAGCGAAAGAATTTAGAATCCTTTCGATATATTTAATAAAGAGATTGAAATAATTTTTTTTTTTTTTTGAGACAAAGTCTTGCTCTGTCGCCCAGGCTGGAGTGCAGTGGTACTTTCTCGGCTCACTGCAACCTCTGCCTCCCAGGTTCAAGCGATTCTCCTGCCTCAGCCTCCTGAGTAGCTGGGATTACAGGCAGGCGCTACCACGCCCGGCTAATTTTTGTATTTTTAGTAGAGACGGGTTTCACCATGTTGGTCAGGCTGGTCTCAAACTCCTGACCTCGTGATCTGCCCACTCCGGCCTCCCAAAGTGCTGGGATTACAGGCATGAGCCACCGCACCCGGCCGAGATTGAAATAATTTTTTAAAAATAAAGCAGAAATTATGGAGCTAAAAGTTTATGACATACTGAAGAATGCATCAGAGTCTCAACAGCAGAACTGACCAAACAGAAGAAAAATTAGTGAGCTTGAAGACAGGCTAATTGAAAATATACAGAGGAGACAAAATTTAAAAAAAATAAAGCACACATACAAGATCTACAAAACAGTCTAAAAAAAGCGCAAATCTAGTAAGTTATTGGCTTTAAAGAGGAGGTAGAGAGAGAGATTGGGGTAGAAAGTTTATTCAAAGGGATAACAACAGAGAACTTCCCAAATCTAGAGAAAAATATTAATACTCAAGTACAATAGGTTATAGAACACCAAGCAGACTTTGCCCAAGTAAGACATTTTAATAAACAAATTCCCAAAAGGCAAAGATAATGAAAAGATCCTAGAAGCAGCAAGAAAAAAGAAACAAAGGAGCAGACTTCTCAGTGGAAACCTTACAGGCCAGGGAGAGAGAGGCATGCCATATTTAAAGTACTGAAGGAAAAAATGTCAAACATGACAGAGAAATAGAGACTTTCCCAGACAAACAAAACCTAAGAAATTTCATCAACAGCAGACAAGAAATGCAAATGGGAGTTCTTTGATCTGAAAGAAAAGGACATTAACAAACAAAAAGAAATCATCTGAACATACAAAACTCATTGGTAACAGCAAGTACACAGACAAATACAGAATATTTTAACACTAATTGTGATGTGTCAACTACTCGTATCTTAAACAGAAAGACTAAAAGATGAATCTATCAAGAGAAATAACTACAACTTTTCAAGACATGGTATAATAAGCTGTAAATAGAAACAACAGACAACAACAAAAAGTTAATAAGACAGAAAATCAACAAAGAAATATCAGACTTAATCTGCACTATAAAACAAAACAAATGGAACTAACAGACCTTTACAGAACATTTCATCTAATGGCTGCAGAATACACACTCTTTTCCTCAGCACATGATTCTTCTCAAGGAGAGACCACATGTTAGGCCACAAAATAATTCCTGAAACTTTTTTTTTTCGAGACACAATCTCGCTCTGTCTCCCAGGCTGGAGTGTGGTGGTGCGATCTCGCTTCACTTGCAACCTCCGCCTCCTGGGTTCAAGCAATTTTCCTGTCTCAGTCTCCCAAGTAGCTGGGACTACAGGTGCATGCCACCACACCCAGCTAATTTTGTATTTTTAGTAGAGACAGGGTTTCTCCATGTTGGCCAGGCTGGTCTCAAACTCCTGACCTCAGGTGATGTGCCCGCCTCGGCCTCCCAAAGCGCTGGGATTACAGGCTTGAACCACCACGCCTGGCCCTGTAACTCCTAAAACTTAAAAAAAAAAAAAAAAACTGAAATCATATCAGGTATCTTCTCTGACCACCATGGAATAAAACTAGAAATCACAAAGAGGAACTTTGGAAATTATACGAATACATGGAAATTAAGTAATACACTCCTGAATGACCAGTGGGTCAATGAAGGAATTAAGAAGAAAAAATTAAAATGTCTTAAAACAAATGAAAATGGAAACACAACATACCAAAGCTTATGAGATACAGCAAAAGCAGTACTAAGAGGAAATCTTACAGCAATCAGCGCCTACATCAAAAACAGAGAAAAACTTCAAATAAACAAACAATGCATCTTAAATAACCAGAAAAGCAAGAGCAAATGAAACCCAAAATGAGAAGAAACAATAAAGATCAAAGCAGAAATAAATGAAATTTTAATGAAAAAAATACAAAAGATCAACAAACAAAAAGTTGGTTTTTGAAAAGATAAACAAAATTGACAAAACTTTGGCCAGACTATGAAAAAGAGAAGACCCAATTAAATAAAATCAAAGATAAAAAAGGAGATATTGCAACCAATACTACCGAAATTCAAAGGATCATTAGAGACTACTATGAGCAACTATATGCCAATAAATTGGAAAACCTAGAAGAAATGGATAAATTCCTAGACACATACAACCTAACAAGATTGAATCATGAAGAAATCCAAAACCTGAACAGACCGGTAACAAGTAACGAGATAAAAGCCAGAATAAAAAGTCCCCCAGCAAAGAAATGCCCAGGACCCAATGGTTTCACTGCTGAAATTTACCAAACATTTAAAGAAAAATACCAATCCTATTCAAACTATTCCAAGAAATAGAAGAGAAGGGAATGTTTCCAAACCAATTCTGAAAGCAGTATTATCCTGATAACAAAACCAGACAAAGAAAGATACATGAAAAAAAGAAAACTATAGGCCAATATCCCTGGTGAACATTGATGCAAAAATCCTCAACAAAATCCTAGCAAACCAAATTCAACAAAATATTTAAAAGATTATTCATCATGACCAAGTGGGATTTATCCTAGGGATGCAAAGGTGGTTTGACATATGCAATGTGGTATCAACCAAATGAAAGGTAAAAACCATATGGTCATTTCAACTGATGCTGAAAAAACATTTGAGAAAATGCAACATCCCTTCATGATAAAAACTGTCAATAAACTGGGTACAGAAGGAACATATCTCAACATAATAAAAGCCATATACAACAGACCCACACCTAGTATCATATGAATGGAGAAAAACTGAAAGCTTTTCCTCTAAGATCTGGAACAGGATAAGGATGCCCACTGTCACCACTGTTATTCACACACAGTACTGGAAGTCCCAGCTAAAGCAATCAGACAAGGGAAAGAAATAAAGGGCATCCAAATTGGAAAGGAAGAAGTCAAATTATCCTGGTTTGCAGATGATATGACTTGATATCTGGAAAAAACTAGCCTCCACAAAAAAAAAAAAAAAAAAAACTATTAAGAACTGATAAATTCAGTGAAGTTGCAGGATACAAAATCAACATGCAAAAATCAGTAGCATTTTTATATGCCAACAGTGAACAATCTGAAAAAGGAATCAAGAAAGTAATCCCATTTATAGTAGCTGTGAGTAGAATAAAGTAGGAATAAACTTAATCAAAGAAGTGAAAGATCTCTACAATGAAAACTATAAAATATTGACACCAGAAATGGAAGAAAACACACACACAAAAATAAAGACACTCTATGTGTAGAGACTGGATAAGTCAATATGTTAAAATGTCCACACTACCCAAAGCAATCTAAACAGTCAAAGCAATCCCTATCAAAATACCAATGACATTCTTTATAATTTTTTTTAAATCCTAAAAGTCATATGGAACCACAAAAGACCCAGAATAGCCAAAGCCATCCTGAGCAAAAAGAACAAAACTGGAAGAATCACATTATCTGACTTCAAATTATACTACAGAGCCATAGTAACCCAAACAGCATGGTACTGGCATAAAAACAGACACATAGAATAATGAAATAGAATAGAGAATCCAGGAATAAATCCATACATCTACATGAACTCATTTTCGACAAAGGTGCCAAGAACATATATTGAGGAAAAGACAGTCTCTTCAGTAAATGGTGCTAGGAAAACTGGATATCCATGAGCAGAAGAATGAAACTAGACACCCCCCCCATATACAAAAATCATATCAAAAGGATTAAAGACTTACATCTAAGACCTCAAACTATGAAAACTACTAAAAAACCAACAACATTGGGGAAACTCTCCAGGACATTGATCTGGGCAATGATTTCTTGAGTAATAGCCCAAAAGCACAGAATACCAAAACAAAAATGAACCTATGAGATCACATCAAGTTAAAAAGCTTCTGCACAGCAAAGGAAACAATCAACAAAGTGAAGAGACAGCCCACAGAATGGGAGAAAATACTTGCAAACTACCCATCCGATAAGGAATTAATAACCAGAATATATAAGGAGCTTAAACAATTCAATGGGGGAAAAAAATCTAGTAGTCTGATTAAACAGTGGGCAAAAGATCTTACTAGACATTCTTTAAAGACATACAAATGGCAAACAGAAACATGAAAACATACTGAATGTCACTGATCATCAGAGAAATGCAAATGCAAGTCAAAACTACAATGAGATACCATCTCACCCCAATTAAAATGGCTTTTATCCAAAAGTCATGACTTTTATTCAAAAGTCATGAATGACAAATGCTGGGGAAGATGCAGAGAAAAGCAGACCCTTGTACACTGTTGGCGGGAAAGTAAATTAGTACAGCCACTATGGAAAACAGTACAGAAGTCCCTCAAAAAAACTAAAAATAGAACTACCATATGATCCAGCAATCACACTGCTGGGTATACACCCAAAAGAAAGGAAATTAGTCTATCAAAGAGATATCTGCACTCACCAAGTTTATTGCAGCACTATTTACAATAGCCAAGACTTGGAATCAACCTAAGTATCCATCAACAGACAAATGGATAAAGAAAATATAGTCCATATACACAACAGAGTATTCAGCCATAAAAAAGAATGAGATCCTGCTATTTGCAACAACATGGATGGAACTGGAAATCATTATGTTAAGTGAAATAAGCCAGACATAGAAAGATAAATTCATATATTCTCACTCATTTGTGGGAGTTAAAAATTAAAACAATTGAACTCATGAAGATAGAGAGTAGAATGATTACCAGAGGCTGGGAAGGGTGGTGGGGCAGGGGTGGAAACAGGGATGGTTAATGGATACAATATAGTTAATAAAACCTATTATTTGACAGCACAACAGGGTGACTACAGCATTGCATACCTGTGTCAAAATATCTCAGGTACCCCATAAATATATATACCTACTATGTACCCATAACAATTAAAAATTAGAAAAAAAGAATAAGGGAGGGGGGAGGAAGGGACGGAGGGAAAGGACAGGAGAAGAGAGAGAGAAACAGCCTGGGAAACAGCCAGAGAGCCCTGCCTGTGCTCAGGGGTCAGCACTGCTCTGTGAAGCTTGTGTTTTAATTATAAAGGCGTGAGACTCTGGATTGTAATACAAAATAGATCATTGCAGGTTGTGCTCTGAAGCTTGAAAGCTGCTTAAATGCATCAAGATGACTAAGGACATATATTCTGGAGCCAGACCGCCAGGGTTTAAACCCCAATTCTAGTGAATCAAGCCTTGTATTCCTTAATCCCTCTGCCTCTGTTTCATAATCTAACAATGCAGGGTTGGGGGGTGGGCAGTTAAGTGAAATAATGACTTGGAGAGTTTATCATAGTGCCTGGAACATGTAACAGTAAAAGTCAATGAAAGTCATTCTTTCTCTCACAATTGCCCTATGTATTATATATACAACACTAGGTAGTAATATAATACAGGTCAGTTTGACCAAGAAAAATCACAATACATGAAAGACCAATATATACTTAGCAATAGCTACTTTATTAAACAGAAGCTGACTTTACTATTTTTTAGTTTTTTTGGAGTCAAGGGACAAGGTCTTGCTCTGTTGCCCAGGCTGGAGCACAGTGGCACGATCACGGGTCATTGCAGCCTCTATCTCCTGGCTCAAGCCATTCTCCCCACTTCGGCCTCCCTCAGAGCCAGGACTATAGGTGTGCATCACAATGCCCAGTTCATTTTTTTTTTATAGGTGGGGTCTTGCTATGTTGCCCAGGCTCCCGGGCTTAAGTGATCCTCCCATCTTGGCCTCCCAAGTGCTGGGATTACAGGCATGAGCTGCTGTGCCTGGCCAGAAGATGAATTTAAGGAGAAAAGAAGTAATGCATTTTAGATCCTGGAAGGCTGATGTCTGAAATCATTTGAAAAGCAGCAATAGAAGGTGGCTTTTGAGTCTTGCATCCTGGGGCAGACTGTGGCCTTCTGCATAACTACCTGGCTGCATGTTGTAGAGTCCTCAGGCTAAGGGCCTGTCACCTGGAGTCTAGAAACATGCATGTGGTTTGGCTGGGACAACTGTGGGCCAGGAATTAAACTGAGGATGTAACGAGGCAGCCTAGAGGTCGAGCACCCTGAGCAAAGCCTCTGCTTGCAGGTGAGGCTGCTGTCCCTCAAAGGCTCTGCGCCAAGTTACAAGCTAGGTAACTCGGCATGGGGGAGGGGACCTGCAAATCAGCAGTTGTTTCACATGCACACATCACTACATCCTTCTTGGATGTTGGAATAACTATCTCAAGTTTAACAATATATTCCAGAAAGCTATTTACAAGAAAAAAAAAACACACACACACACACACAATAAAAAAACTGAAACCCTTAAGTCATTTCACAACTTCTCACAAGGGCTTGCTACATAATAACAGGCAGATATTTTTATATTCATTTTACAGAATAACATATGAAGAGAGGGAGAAATTAAATCACTTGAAAAGAGTAATCCAGCATGTATCAAGTGGCTGAGACCAAAGCCTACCCTTCCACGACTGCAGGGGATCCAGGCCCTATTCACATTGCTGGTCTCTCTGCTGGCCAGCTCCTTTGCATTTCCCTTGAGATTTTTTTTTCTTTTTTTTAAGACATGGGGTCTCGCTATGTTGCTTAGGCTGAACTCCGGGGCTCAAGTGATCCTCCTGCCTCAGCCCTCTGAAGCTGGAACTACAGGGAGACCACCCAACATGTCTGACTGGCCAGCTCCTTAGAGTTTAACTTCTCTAGGTCAAGAATCACACTCTTAGACACCCAGCAATGTGATTTTCAACGTTTCCCTTGAAAAAAGGAATCACTCTCATGCATCTCTCAATTTCAAAGATCAACTTTCTGTAGATATGGAGCCAGTGGAATTGCACTATAAATAGAGTCAAACAAACTTCCCAAGAAGGGTTCCTGCAGAGAGGACAGAGAAAGCCACTCCTTTCCATCAGGTGCCCAAGGCATATGGCAGCAGAGGTTCCTACGCAGGGCCCAGAGGATAAGCAGGCAGCTCTGAAGTCAGACCCCTCTAGAATCCTATCAAGGGTCACCTCCTCCACCCACCCCACCCCCACACCATGCTTGTCAGACACATGTAAAGGAAAATAAAGTCTCAGGACCCCCAAACTCCTTACTCGGAAGATAAAGTTAAGCCTGGAGGCTGAGTCATGCTACTTGCCATCCTCTCCCCAAAAGAATCACTGTCACTTCACAAGCTTGGATCAAAGAATTAGATTAGACATTAACCAGCACCCTAAGGAAAGGCAATGGGCCTCGGGCATCTCCAGATGAGTGCTCCTGCAAAGAGGAAGTGCTTGGGGGTGGGGGGGATGCTCTCCCCGACTGCAGATATTAAGAGCACTCCTATGCTGGTGGCAACACACACATCTAGATTCTCCTCTCTCGGAGGGGTAAACAACTGTTTGTGATGGTTTGACCAAGGGTAGGGTTTGGTCTCAGCCACTTGATACATGCTGGATTGTTCTTTTCAAGTGATTTAATTTCTCCCTCTCTTCATATGTTAATCTGTAAAGTGAATATAAAAATATCTGCCTGTTATTATGCAGCAAGCCCTTGTGAGAAGCTGTGAAGTTACTTAAGGGTTTCTGTTTTTTGATACCAGATAATTTGACAATACTGAAAAAAGATCTCTGTCAGGGCATCTATATAGCTTTCTTTAGTGTGATGAACAAAAGCAGAAAGGAAATCAAGCTAGAGATATCTAAGAACCAAGCTCTTCTCCTACACAAAGCAGCCATAAGAATAGAGACTGTAGACTAAAGAGAATAAGGAATTAGGTTTATAGATTACCCAACATTATCAATATATAAAGAACAAAGAAAACAGTACATTCAAGTAAAAGCATTCTGTGAGACAAAATGCGGCTCAAACATTTCAGTGTTAGTTATTTTTTGTAAATTTTTATAGCAAAGACAGTATCTTGAAGAATTATGCCCTGGCTATGAGAAATCATTTAATCTTTCATTCAAATAGTTACATGCCAAAAACATGGTACTATAGAGACATGGACAGAATGAGATCACTATAATAAGTTCTGAGTAAATTCCAGTAACATTAAAGTTGTACAGACAGTTTTATTAGAAAACAGAACAAGTGGAGAAGAAAGATACCTGACTCATAAACCCCCCATAACTGCCTCTTGTGTAAGTCTGTCATTTTACTTGGCTTTTGACTTAATCTGTTTATTATATAGTGATTATATAGTCCATTCAATCAAGTTTTCTCGAGTGCTTAAAAAGAGATCATCTACCAGGGCAGAGAATGGTCAAGAATTCAGAATCGCACCTGCTCATCTTCAGAGTCGCAACCTCCTCTGACACTGTGGAGGCTCCTCACAAACCTCAGCATATGTGAAATGCATTCATGGAACATCCTGTCTAGACATATTTCTACAGCTTCTAAAGGTACTGGAGGGGCAAAGAGAGACCTCAGGCACGAGGCCCCGGCCTTGGAGGACTCTTGGCCTGGAAGGGCAGAGGCTCCCGGATCTCCTCTGTGGCTGCATCGGCAGTTGCTGACAGCAGCCTGGGCTTGCAGGCCTGGGTATCCTTGTTAGCTCCAGCAGATAACGCTCCCTTCTCAAGCCTGCCCCACATTCTGTGTTTCCTCTCCCAGGAAGCAGCACAACCGCACATTCAATCCTACAAGCTGGAGATCTATGAATAGGCTGAAATGCCTTCCTCCTGCCCGTCCCTGACATCAAATCAGTCACCTGACCCTACTGAGCCTCCCTTCTACACATCTAACATCTAAATGTCTTTCCAGGCCGGGTGCAGTGGCTCACGCCTGTAATCCCAGCACTTTGGGAGGTTGAGGTGGGTGGATCACTTAAGGTCAGGGGTTTGAGACCAGCCTGGCCAACATGGTGAAACCCCGTCTCTACTAAAAATAGGAAAGTTAGCTGGGCGTGGTGGCAGGTGCCTGTAATCCCAGCTACTCAGGAGGCTGAGGCAGGAGAATCGCTTGAACCCAGGAGGTGGAGGCTGCAGTGCGTGAAGAGATGCACCACTGCACTCAGCCTGGATAACAGAGCAAGACTCCGTCTCAAAAATAAATAAGTAAATAAAATGAATGTCTTTCCAGCCCTCATCTTCCCACCCAACTCACTCCCTGTTCTGTCCTTCATTCTTTCTCACCTAACTGTGGCCCAAGTCATCTTTCTCAACAGTAAATGTGATTCCATAACTCTTAAAATTCCTCCGACCAAAAGCACAAACCACCAAAGAAAAATAACTAAATTCGACTTCATAAAAATAAAAATTAAACAATTTTGTGCCATAAAGGGCATTATCAAGACAATGAAAAGATAACCCACAGAATGAGAGGAAATATTTGCAAATCATTTATCTGGTAAAGGATTTGTATCCAAAGAATAGAAAGAACTCTTCAGCACTCTGGGAGGCTAAAGTGGGAGGGCTGCTTGAGGCCGCAGGGCGTGGGTTCCATGTGTATAAAACATCCAGAAGACCCAAGTCCACAGAGCCAAAACATAGATTTGTGGTTGCCAGGGGCTGGGAGGGAGGCGGTCTTGGAGGGTGACTGCTGTGGGTTAAGATTTTTTTACGGGGTGATAAAAATGTTCTAAAATTGATTGTAGTGATGGTTGCACAATTGTGTGAATACACTAAAACCCACAGACTTACGTGATTTAAATGGATCATATCTCAATAAAAGCTGCTATTTAAAAAAAAAAATTCTTCAGAGACTCCCACTGTCTTGAGGATAAAATCCTAACTGCTTGGCTGGTGTCTCCACCAGGCCACTTCCACTGACCACCCTGTTCACTCCAACAAGGACAAACTACCTGCATCACTTCCTTGGTGGCCAGGCTTTCTGGCCTTAGGACCTGCTGTTCTCTTCTGGCAGCATTCCCAGAGTCCCCACCCCATACACTCAGGGGTCAACTCACCCCCTCTCCCCTCAAGACTCAGGTAGAGGTCAAACAAAATAACATTTCTTGATGACTCAGGTTTTCACTGTGAATTTCTCCATTGTATTACAATCAGGTAAAACTCTCCTAGTTCAACAAGGCTTTCAAAGGTGGTTTTCTTCAAAGGGCTTTGGCCTTAAGATGACAGTGACAACTATTAGTCTTAGGTCTGCTTTAAGTGTTTTTCTGTCTCTTCTTTGCTTTCAGGTAACTGGGCAGCAGTCTAAATCAGTGATTATAATAAGAGCTCTGGGTACGTTGGCTCACCCCTGCAATCCCAGCACTTTGGGAGGCACTGAGGTGTGGGAGGATCATCATAAGTTTGAGATCAGCCTTGTCAACAGAGCAAGATCCTGTCTCTATGAAAATAAAAATAAAAAATTGGGCATAGTGTTGCACACCTGTAATTCCAGCTACTTGGGAAGCTGAGGTGGGAGGATCACTGGAGCCCAGGAATTTGAGACTGCAGAGAGCTATGATCGCACCACTGTACTCCAGCCTGGGCAACAGAGCAAGACCATGTCTCAAAAAAAAAGAAAAGAAAAAAAAGAATAAGAGCTCTAAGGTCAGACCCAACTTTGAATGCTGGCTTCATTTCATCAATCCATTAGACTAATAACTTAAATCATTCTGTTTGCTCAAATGAAAAAATACTAGACAACAGAATCAACAGCATAAAATTAAGATAAATAAGATTAAATGATGGAAAAGCTCTGAGACTGCTTAGCACATACAAATAGCCCAAAATATTAGTTGCTGTTATTAAAATATAATAAACTTTACTTTTTAAACATATTAATATAATTATAGCAGCCCCTCAATTCTGCTGCAAGTTTCTCTGACATTCATTCATTCGTCTGAAAAGTATTTACTGAACACCTAATAGATGGAAGGAATTGCAATGCTAAAATTACATATAGTTTAAAAGGAAATAAACTTGGAATGACAGCTTGAGTAAATTTACCATGAGTGATACAGACTGGCTGCCTCCCCACCTAAATCTCATCTTGTATTCCCACATGTTGTGGGAGGGACCCCAGTGGGAGGTAATTGAATCAGGGAGGCAGGTCTTTCCTGTGCTGTTCTCCTGACAGTATAAGTCTCACGAGATCTGATGATTATATAAGGGGGAGTTTCCCTGCACAAGCTCTCTTATTTTGTCTGCCACCATGTGAGATGTGCCTTTCACCTTCCACCATGATTGTGAGGCATCCCCAGCCAAGTGGAACTGTTAAGTTCATTAATCCTTTTTTTCTTTCCAGTCTCAGGTATGTCTTTATCAGCAGCATGAAAACGGGCTAATTCAATGAGTAAGAAAGTGGGGTGTTTCTGTTCTGGCATCTAGCTTGGGTACTGCAAAACTCCCTCTGCTCGGTTCTTAGCCCTGTTGTGAATAGACACTGCTGATAATCATCCATAGTTCATTCTTATTGGCCTAAAGTTGAATTATTATTATTTTGGCCAATGCTGCTCCACCAAGGGAGAGGAGGAAATGTTAGTTTATTTACACTTCAGGTATAGTGGAGAAAGGCTGTTAGAAAACTCAAAGATGAGGGTAAACATCTGTATTTCACCTTTAGGAACTCAGAGGCAAGCTTCAGAAGCAGTGGCTGTACCCTGGTAGGGACCTTTCGAAGCAACAAGGCCCCACGCAGGTACTTCCCAAGAACTCGGACTGGAGAGAGAAGTGCTGGGCAACACCAGGTTCGCAGATGAGTCCTGAGGTCATGTGAAAGGAAGAGACTGCTTAGGCCTCACCTCACAAAAGGCATTAACGTGTCCAGGAGAAAACAAGTCCATCGCAGGGAAGCAGGGTCAGGCAGGATTGGGAAGCAGCCCCCTGTGGAGTCACAGGTAAGAGCAAGGGGTCGGAGCCACAGGTTCTGTGGATCTGCCCAACTGGCAAGACCACCCTTCCTCAAACTATCTGACTGTCTCCACCAAACTTCTGCCCCTTTTCAAGGGGCTTCAAGAACAGAGACCTGGGGGTGTCGGGAGAGGACCTGGCAGACATGCCATGAGTTCCGGGCCACATGCCTATCACATCCCACAAAATAAAAGGCTGCACAGGCATTCTGGCTTTGTAGTTTAATCTCTAGAAGATTCCGCTCCTAATGCTAAACTGGCTCTGCACAGCCAGGCTGAGGCCTGTGGCAATTTTCCCCAGGCCACAGCCCCTTGAGCAGAGGCTTACTGGTGCAACAGCTGTGGGGCTCTCCCCAACAGCCTCCACAGGCCTCCTCGACTTCCACATCCTCATGGCTTGCCCAGGGGAGCTGGAAAACAGGCCCTGTTGACAGGAGCTGCTGACAGGCCTCCTTCCCAGCATGAAGCCACAGGCCTCTGCTCACCAGAGTTGATATTTGGTGCCAGTGGGATGCCTTATGTGTGAGCTGAAGATGACTGAAATCTCCATGTTTTCAGCTCAGTAACCTTCCCACCTCTCCAGCAGCAGCCAGTGGCTACTCAGGCAGCAGGTTCCCTCAGCTTCCCTGCAGGGCCCCAAAGAGTTTTGCCTGCACATCTGAATCCTCTGAGGGCCAGGGTGGGTCAGGCCATTCCCATGAGTGACCTTGGCTGAGTGACAATAATGTCATTTACTGAGATGAGTCTGAAGTTCCATGGGACAGGGCCCCGCAGAGCTGAATGCCTCGCTGAAGACCCCATAACTGAGGCGGAAAGCTTCAGGAGGGACCAGGTAATGGTCAATGGGGTGGGGTCTCTTCAGGCCGAGAAAACCCCCTGAGCAAACATGACTGCCAGACAGTCACTGGCCCGGCCAGGCCTGGCATGGAGGGAGGGGTGGGAATATGGCTGGATGTGGGGTGGGACTGCAAGTGGAGGTGTGGTGGGAGCTGGGCACTGGGCGAAGCCATGTGGTGCCCCAGGCAGCACCGGAAGGCGCTACATGATCAGATCACTGTGAGTACTTTGTGGGAAAAGGTGAGGGAGTGGAGGCCTGGTGGGGCAAGTGCCCATCCCCCACCAAAAGCCACCCCCACCTTGTTTCTTCCTAACAGAATCCCAATTTTGTTCAAGAATCAGGCTGCAACTGTGATTTCAAGAGAGGTGGCCTGGGGGCACTGTGTGACGCAGTTCTCACCAATCAGATGTAAAGGTAAAGCTCTGGGAAACCCTCTCCCCATAGGACCCAGATGTCCAGGTGACATGCCTGCCCCAAGTCGCCAACAGGTGGACCAAGATGCTTGGCAATGCTGAGCTGTCCTGTACCCCTGGCAGGAGGTCCAGAACCACAGCACTGCCAGCCACAGCCTGGGCCTGCATCATGGGCAGCCACAGCCAATCTCCCACCCTTGGGGCCGGGGTGGAGGGAGTGTCCCCTGGCTCAAGCCGCTGACAGGAGGGCAGTTTCTCATATATCAATACATCACCTGGATACACTTCCAACCCACCTGACTGTTTAAACCAGGTTTCCAGATCTCTTAAGTCCTTTAAGGCATCCTATTCCAATGTCACAGCTACAGGATCATCTATTTGCCACATATTTCCCTCAAATTCTGGTTCTGCCATCTCTGACCACTGGCCACTCTAAATCAGTTTGGCTCTAGGACCCACACAAGCAGAACACTAGTCATTTCACCTCTGCTGACTCCCGCAAACCATTCATGCCAAGGGGTTATTTATAATCTCCTTACTCTTCTGGAAGCGGACTGAAGTTTCTGCAGAAAGAACTAAGATTCTAAGGATACCACCTATAAGCTTCAACCTCACGGGAATAAATAGATAATTTTCTTTTAAAACTTCTAGGTTTCAAGCCCAGAAAAGATATTCTAACTTGAAACCAAGATCCCAAACAACTGAAAAGGTAAAAAAGTAAATTAAAGCTGGGTCATGTTATTGTCTGGAAAAACAACAATCCCATACAACTCCATGCTGCTTGCTAGCTAGGGCAAGGATAGGAGTGGTGGCTTTGGGTTCTGTGGAAATCAGACCCGTCCTCAAAGTTGTACAGAAGTATGTCATGTGACTACAGATTAAGCGGCCATCAAGATGCATATGGGGTATATCAGAGAAGTTGAAAAAAATAAAGAAATCAGCAAACCAATGAAGAAAAAGAAATGAGAAGAAAAAAAGCCTACAAGATAGTGTAGAAATCCTACCAATTTTCCATTTATTGTTTGAGGAAGACACCTACCTCCTATTTTTAAAAAAGTACTTTTCAAGGCTTTTTATAGGTTCTTTTGACGGTATCTGGGTTGCTTGAGTAATCTTAACTTGAAACTTACATAGATTTACGGAATCTATTAGATCATAGGATGGTTTGGCACCACTTTCCCCTTTTGTAAATAGCTTATTGTATCCTTTTTAATAATATTCACCTTTCGCCAAGCATTAGAGTGGATGAATGCACTGCTCATGGGGTACACGTTGTTGCTTGGTGCTCAACAGGACAGTTACTCCGATACCTGCTGAAGGCAGCTATATTTGGAAGTTCTCAGCAAAAAGTCAAGTGAAACCACTGAAAACTGAAGAATTAGGATTTACCCCAGGAATGCAAGCATGATTTTACACTAGAGCACCTTAGAAAATCTGTTGTTATAACTTGCCTCACTAACAAGTTAGAGGAGAAAAAAACTTGATTACATAAAAACTATCAGATCACGTCATTAGCTGTAGAAAAAATTCAATCCTCATCCTTTAAAAACAAGCCAAGTAGTCAGGCATGGTGGTGCCTGGCTGCAGTCCCAGCTACCCAGAAAGGCTGAGGTGGGAGGATTGCTTGAGCCCAGGAGTTCAAGGCTGCAGTGAGCTATAATCGCCACTACACTCCAGCCTAAGTGACAAAACGAGAACCTGTCTCTAAAAATAAACCACCAAACAAAACACCTCTTAGCAAATACTTGCATAACATAATAAAAGGTATGTACCAAATGCCTACAAAAAACATACATCATAATTAAATGTTAAATGCTTCCCTTGGAATTAGATACGAGACCAGGATCCATCCACCGTCACGCTTCTATTCGACATTGCACAATGTAAAGGGGCCTGCCCAAGGTCACATCATTGCTCACTGGGTAAGTCAAGAGGACCCAGTCCAGCATGTTAGACCCTTCATCATAGTTTTGTGCTAAAACTTCTCCTGTTATCCTTTGGACATGAGTCTCTTAAGTATTATCATTTAAATTCATGGTTGTTGGCAGATTACTTGATAGTCTGTGGTAGAGATACAATCAGTATTAGTCCATTTAGGAGGTCTATGTTTTGCTTTTTCTACAGTAATGTAAAAGGGTAGGAAGATTAGTATGTTACAAGTCCACTGCAATTACAAATCAGTCTCTGTGCACATAAGACAGCACAAAATCACAAACCTAGGGTCTTGATAGATATACAAGAAACCCTATGTGATAGCATGCCCCCATCTTTACCTCAAACTCTCACCTAAAAATACTAGCTAGGACCTTTCCCTTCTTACTATCAGTATTTGATACTTCTAGTTAGCATGCAGTAAGATGTAGGATACATGAATAATAACAGTTTGATTTTAAACATATATGTTGTGCCTTGCACTCTACAGAAAATGCACACTTTCCTTTAAATTACATTTAGTTTATTCCAGAAGATTCCAGATTTTATTGCCTCTATTTACCAAAGCTATAACTTTAAATGCTTTCATTATCAACCAAGGATAAAAAAAAGTTAAATGAACAAAGAATTTTAGTCAAGAAACCAAAATGTACAAAAAATAAGACAAAAAAATTAATAAAGATAAAAGTAGAAACAAGTTAATCAGAAACAGATTAATAGTGGAATAGATAAACTAATCCAACTGATTCTTTGTAATGGAATGTGGACAGACATACTCTACTCTTCTGGATAGGAAGACAAAATATCATAATCATATCAATGCAAGTTTTTATGCATGCTCAAACATGTATAAACTGAGAAAAGGCCTGAAAGGACATACAGCAAAAGGTTAGCAGTTTTTCTCCAAGTGGTGAAATTAAAGGTAATACTTTTCTTTTTTATACTTTTCTGTACTTTTTAAATCGTCTGTAATAAAAATATTTTATGATCAGAAAAAAATAAGCTATTTTTAAGATGTCAAATTATTTCTCACTGATATGCACATTTAATGTAATGCCAAACTACCAAAAACACAGAGGGACTGATAAAGAACTTCAAGAAGGTGCACATGGGAGATAAAACATTTTGCCAGAGAGTAGTGAGTAATCTTAAAGTAAAAAAAGAATAATCTTACTCCACAAGATATTAAAACCCAATGCCAAGCCTGACTAGTAACCTCTAATGGAATTACTTCCGTACTTTCAATAAAATACCTACAAATTTAGAATACAGACAAAGAGAGAAACTCCTTAACATGACCCACCACTAAGCTCATCAGATGGCCAAATTGCAGAATCAGGCTGCAACAGACTCATCTTAAGACAGACGAAGCAGTGGAGAAAAATCTCCCTGAGAGCTCATGGCATAATTTGCTCCTTGAAACAATGACAACCCCTAAACTAAGGTAGGAAGATGTTTTGAATCTCTCTTGCCAGTAGATCCCTAAATCAGACCCAGAACTTGGAGGGAACAAGAAATAGGAGGCCATCTCTCTGCACCTCTCCAGCACTGCTCTGGGAGGTGGGCAGAATATCATAAAATCACCACAATTCTTGCATCAAAAACAAAATTACAGGCTGATTAAAGTGTTGAGAAAAGTTATTTGCTCTTGGGCTATGGAAGATCTTCCCAAGCAAAAAAGGTTAAAAAAATGAAATGATTAACAGATTTAAATGATATAACAATGTAATACCAAGTGCTGGCAAAGGCTCAGGAAAGCTCATGATCTCATGACCGCTAGGATGAATAAACTGGCATAATATTTCTGAAGGGCAATCTGGCTGAATGTGTTGAAAGTCTTTAAAATGTTTATACTCTTTGACTCGGTAAGTCATCGTCTAGGAATTTTTCCTAAATAAACAGTAAGATAGATATAAAAAAGTATTTATAATATTGAAAGACTGGAAAGACCACAAATGTTTGACAATACATGTATGTTCAACAACAGGGTAAATATGAAATATTTATATTAAAATAGTATCTGGCCTTTAAAATAATGTTTAAATGAATATTTAATGATAGGAATATGCTGAGAAAAGTTTTAATATTTCTAAAATGTCAAATGCAAAAAAAGTTAATAACATGTACAGGATGATTATAAATTTGTGTAACTTGTATGATACACATACACACACATATATCTGGAAGAAAACACCAAAATAGTGGTAATATTTTAGTTGAAAATTGGGAGTGATTTCATTTTCTGTTACTGGCAGCTAAAAGCATGCTGACAGACTGGCAAACTCCCACTCAATCTTCAGAACTCAGCTCAGTTGCTATTTCTTCCAGGAAGTCCTTCTGTGCTACGCCCAACCCCCACGTTACACCAGATGCCCCTCCTTTGCACTAGACTAGAGCCTGGGCATAGGCTGTATGATATTCTTTTATCACTGCATCATACTCTGATTTGACTCTACATCCCCACATTTTGAACCGCCCATAATCAGAAATTTGGGTGTTTCCTTTTTGTATCCCCCAATCCCAACCTGTGTGCAATCTAACAGGCCTTCAAGCTGGAATGCTGGCTTCGTGAATGAAACAGACTAAGCAAATGCTTCTCTGTGCTCTGTGAATTTAGAGGTTAAGGGCAGAAATGTGAACAAGGATGAGCAAATACCAGTAAAGAGCTGTCTCTTCTCACCTTGGCCAGCAGACTGGAAACATGTTTAATTTCACCGTTTGCCTTTAGTAATTCTTGTCTGAGCTCATTGCAAGACAGTTCCAGTAGATCTTTCTCTGCTCGGGCTACTTTCAACATTTCTTGAACTTCGCAGCTCTCTGCCGTCTGCTCCACAGCACTGGCCTCTGTGGCTTTCTGCTTCTCACCCTGCAAATGAGACTTCAAAGATCCATTCTCCATTTTTAGCCCTTCCAAGGTAACTCTACACTCTTCCAAAGTTTTGGCCATCATGTTATTATTATGCCGTTCCAGTTCTAGAAACTCATTCAGTTTTTCATTTTCTTCCTTCAGACGTTTAATCATTTCTAAAGCTCCTTGGTTTTCTTCCTCAACCTTCCGCAAGCTACAGGTCAACTGCTGCTGAATGTTGAGTAGCTTCTCTCTTTCAAAGCGGCCCTGTTCAAGAATACCTGTGCACTTCTGCTCCAGTTCAATAATTTTTCCTTCCTGAGTGGTGGGCTCTTCATTCTTTACTCGCTCTTGTAAAAGATTCATCAGCTTCTCATTTTCTTGACTTAGCTGCTCTGCCCTCTCTCGATGCTGATGAAAGGATGTCTCTAAAATCGTCTTTTCATCCACCAGCTTCTCATTTTCAGCTGTCAATTCCTGTACCATTTGTTGCTGGTCTGATAATTCTTGTAGAGTAGCCTGTAGTTCTTCTGCAGTGCTATGGTGGTTTTCTTCCATCTTTTGTATCTTCTCTGTGAGGGAAGCCAGGGACAATTCACTTACGCTGTTTGGGGAACTCCCAGCAGTAGAACACTTTGAACTCTTAAAGGGGTTACTGGTGGAGGACAGGGGCCTTGAGGGTGTCTCTGCTGTAATGTGCTCAAAGTCGGAAGCATCTGGCGACAAAGAAGCTTTGGTAACATCGCTACTTGAGGAGCCTGATGTCCGTAATGCATTTCCATGTATGTTTTTTTTATACTCATCAATGTCACTGGACATCTGATTTCCAGTTGGGCTTCCGAAGCTTGACTCTTGAGTTATGGATGTTGGGCAGCTGCTGTCGCCAGTGTGACTTGCTGCCCCTTCTGAATTTGGGGAGTGCTCAAGATAGATCAGTTTCTCCTTCAGGACCCGGTTTTCTTCCTCTAGATCGGAAAGCTCTTTCTGAAAGTTCTTGTTCTTCTCCTCAAGAGCTCTTATCATAGGTTCCGTGTCACCTGGGGAGACTGATGTTCCATCGACATTTGGGCCCAAAGCATCAGTCCCCTCAGCGTTCAGAGTCCTTTTCTCTTTGTATTTCTTTAGTTCACTTCGAAGCCTGTTAATTTCACTATCTTTTGCTTTGGCTTCTGCCAAAAGTTCCCGAACTTGGGACTCAAGCGCAGCCTTTTCTCCACCTTCATTCTCTTGCTTGGGCTTTGTGGAAGGGGTCCTCAGGTGTTTCGTAGGAGTGGGAGTGTTGGAAGAAGTTGGACTGGACACTGATTTCCTGGGGTTGGAGGGACCACGTGGCACAGACCTCTCTCTTGAGACAGTTACTGAAAATTCCCGTGGGGCTGGAATGCCTGTCCGTTTAGTTGTTGTAAAGGCCCCTTAAAGACAGAAGAAGAAAAAAATGAAAAAATAAAGCAAGCATTCTTATAAACAAAACCCAAATGACTGTAAATCACATGGCACAGTGGACAGTGGCTGTCGCTCTTCATCCATTTCCTCCTCCTCTAGCTAATTACCCAGTTCTGACTGTGGTTTCTGTGCTTCCTCCCCACAGCCCTATACTTTGGGTGAGGCTGACTCCAAGCCTGAGCTACTCAGGATGACCCCATCCCCAGCCAGTTGCTGGTTCACGCATGGGCACACAACTCAATTAAGATCAATGTGACAAAGGGAAGGTTTTCTGGGCAAGCTATTAAACACCACGGGACCAGAGTGAGAAAATGTGTAGGTGTGGGAATGGCTGGCAACCACCCTGCCCTTTCAAGAGGAAGGTGGGAATGCAGATGGCAGAGAAGGAAGAAGGAAACTAAACTCTCAATAGCATTGTTAAGTTGCTAAATCAAATCAACCCTGAAGTTTGGCCTATAGCTGGCCTTTCAGTTAGGCAAGCCAGTAAATACCCTTCCTATAAGTCACCTTGAGCTGGGTTTTCTGTAACTTGCAATTTAGTACATCTGCACTGATAATGTTGGCAACAAAAACAATGGCCTTTTGACAAAATACAAGTTCTTTGTGAATTTCTCAATAAACACTTTAAAAAACATCATTAACATATTTTGACAGCATAAATTTGATTAAGAAATCAGAAGATACAGATAATACTGAGAGATGGATCTGATACAATGACATATCACTTTTGCCGTAAGTGGAAATGATGTACTCATTTGTGTACATGGAGAAACAAGAATAAATGAAATAAGAACATACCTATGTTACTTGACATGATATAGACATAATACAGAATACTTGTAACAGCAAATGTAAGGTGTAAATAATTCTCTTTTATTTTCATCTGTACTATATCACAGACAATGTAAAAACAATTCTAGGGGTGAAACCCAGACATCAGTCTCCATTGTGCTCTAGAATTGAAACCCACCTCAGATGTTACAGTGTAAAATAAAATCCTGGACTTTTTTTTTTTTTTTTTTACAAACTGAAAGACTATTTGATGAGTCAAGGCTGGCTGCTGTCACTTACACAACTCTACATGCTTTCAGTGAGAGGTGTAATGAAGGGTCCCAGAAGTGGTCATCAACCTGTAGGCCTCTACAGTGTAGGAAGGGCACGGGAGGGAATGTTCCCATAGACTGGCAGCAGCCCCAGCGCTAAGGCAGGTTCCACACCTAACAAGATGGGCAGCTGTAAACCCACCACCAAGACTATTTCTGAGCCCTGAGCAAACACACACCTAAACATCCTGAATCCTGATGACATAAAGGCTGATGGCATTCATTACTAAACATCTAACAGCTGAGCTCTTTTGAAACTTTGACCTAATAAAGGCTGAACTGTCAAATTAATATATAGAAAACTATGGTTTTTAAATTAACTTCTTCAAATTAAGTTTCTGGAAAGCCAAGAGTATATCATAGACTTTTAATATAGTTGACCCCTGAACAACTTGGAGGTTAGGGGTGCCAACCTTTCATGCAGTCAAAACTCTGTGTATAACTTTTGGCTCCCCAGAAACTTAACTACTAATAGCCTATTGTTGACCGGAAGCCTGACTGAAAACATAAACAGTTAACACACACTTTGTGTTATATGTATTATATACTGTATTCTTAAGATAAAATGAGATAGAAAAAAGAAAATGTTATTCAGAAAACCATAAGGAAGAGGAAATACATTTGCAGTACCATACTGTATTTATCAATACCATAAGTTTACATGGTCTGTTTGCAAAATGAATCATCTGTCTGAAGCGACAGGCAACCATTCCTCAATCTAGCAAGCAATTCAATGCTGTCAGGGGTTTTATTGGCTTCTAGGGAGCACTGCCAGCATCACTAGTGGCACTTTGTATGGGTCCCATAGTGTTATTCAAGGTTTGTGGTACTGCACTAAACACAACAAAACATACTCAAGAATCTCAAGAGGTCACTTTTTACTGCGATCTGAGGTGTACTGGAGAGAGGAACTGCTCCCACAGAGATGATTAGCATCACAGTACCTTCCAAGCAGCTACCCCCAATGCTTGAGCGCACTGCAACAACATCAGGAAGTGGCTATAGAATTGTTACAGGAGTACTGTATGTACTACAGTTAATTGTATGCAGTTATAATACTGCATCTTTATATTTGTTTACATTTCTCTCAACTATGAATAGCACCATGTACAGTCTGTGTGTGCATAAGTTTAGACAAATTTTAACTTTTTATAATAGATTTGTGTATATTTTATGGTAGTAAATGATAAAACTGATTATTAGTATCTACATGTATTTTATGCATTCATGACATATGTAACTTTTTCTCAATTGTTTTCATATTTCTAGACTACCCAGTTCATCTGAATTTTTTTCAAACTGTTGCAACTCTCCAAATAATTTTCCAATGTATTTATTTTTTTTAAGTCTCCATATAAATGGACCCACACAGTTCAAGCTAGTGTTGTTCATGGGTCAGCCTTACTTATAGGTGTCACAGATACCTAACCTGCATCATACTACACACTCAACGAGGAAAAGACTTATTTAATTATTCTTGTGAAATAAGTATTAAAAACCACTAAGCACTAAAATGTTTTAGTAATGCTAGTTCTCTAGAATAAAGTCATTGCAGCAAGGACCGTATTAAAAACTGGAAGATAACTAAAGTTTCACCATAACTCTAGTCAGAACAGGCAAACCTGAGAGTCCAGGACTGATCATCACACTGGCATTTGTTATTCTTAATAACATCACTAAATTAAGGCTGACTTTTTCTTTCTTTTTTTATTTTTTTGAGATGGAGTTTTGCTCTTGTTGCCCAGGCTGGAATGCAATGTGCGACCTCAGCTCACTGCAACCTCTGCCTCCAAAGTTTAAGTGATTCTCCTGCCTCAGCATCCCGAATAGCTGGAACTACAGGCGCGAGCCACCATGCTCGGCTAATTTACTGTATTTCGTTTTTTTGTTTTTTTTTTTTTAGTAGAGATGGGGTTTCACCATGTTGGCCAGGCTGGTCTCGATCTCCTGACCTCAGGTGATCTCCCCGCCTTGGCCTCCCAAGTGCTAGGATGACAGGCGTGAGCCACCGTGCCCAGCCACTTTCTTTTTTTTAAACCTTCAATTGTTTGTTGGTTTTGAAGCTGGAAAAATTAATATAGAACAGATCAAGTCTGCTGTTATTTCCAGCTACAGTTTAACACCTTCCTTTTGCTGCCAAATTGCAGTCTGTTCTCCCCATAAGTGTTACTTCTGCCTTATCTATACTACTAGGAATTTTTAAAAAACCATGAAACTAAAGTATATTTATGAATGGATGTGTATTATGAAATGTACAATCCAGCCATATTTTTGTTATATCTATTCTTTTTCCTTTTTTTTTTTTTTTACTATGTCTGTCTCTGTTTTCCAAAAGATTCTTCCCATCTCTGTACACCTCATTTCAGAAACTGTTACAGAGCACAGGTTAGGTTCAGAGTTGCTAAAAATTCATCATCAGACCAATGATGATGGTCTTGGTTGTGCACCCACCATGTGAGCCCAGGCCTCCAGCCCAAACACACCTCCTCGTGGGTACTGACAGGGAAAAGTAAAGAGCAACAGCCCTACAGCTTACGACACCTCCTTGAAGCAGTGGGAGTCAGACCTCACTGCTAACCAAAGCACTCTGAAGTCCTGAGACTGGCCATGCTTCCTTACACAGCACCACATAAGGGACAGTGGAGAGAAGGGCCAGTGGAACAGGGATTGGCTCAGCCAGCACCATTGGATCTTTTGTGCTGCTCCCACCCCGTCATCACTTATGTGTACCATCCTCCTGAGGCTGGCTGATTCCAAGAAGTTAACATAAAAGCAAGCTCCATCTCATAATTATGAAGATTAACACAATCATAAAGAAGAAACATGTTTGAAGTGTGACATTTTTTAAATGCCAATGAAAAATTATACTGTGGTCAATCACGAGTACATCAAACTAAGCATTCATAGAATTCATATAAAATAAGCATTCACAAACTATAACAGAACACATGATATTGAGAACAGCTGAGTATTAAGCTGGTTGGTCTGTGAGTAATGTTACTGTTTCTCTTTTATGATTACATCTGTGCAATAAATTAGAAAACAGGAGTTAGCCAAACTGTATATGAAAAAAATGCACTAATCATCAGGGAAATGCAAATTAAAACCACAATGAGATATCACTTCTGTTAGAATGGGTACTACATTTGGGAGGTCAAGGCGGGTGGATCACAAGGTCAGGAGATCGAGACCATCCTGGCCAACGTGGTGAAACCCCATCTCTACTAAAAATGCAAAAATTAGCCGGGCGGTGGTGCCACAAACGCCTGTAGTCCCAGCTACTCAGGAGGCTGAGGCAAGAGAATCACTTAAAGCCGGGAGGCGGAGGTTGCAGTGAGCCAAGATCACGCCACTGCACGCCAGCCTGGGCAACAGAGCGAGACTCTGTCTCAAAAAATAAAATAAAATAAGACACAAGATAACAAGTATTGGTGAGGATATGGAGAAAAAGGAACCCCTGTACACTGTTGGTGAGAATGTCAATCAGTACAACCATTATGGAGAACAGTATGGAGTTTCCTCAAAAAGTTTAAAATAAGGCCAAGGCAGTAGGATCACTAGAGACTAGGAGTTCAAGAACAGCCTGGGCAACAGAGTGAGACCCTATCTCTACACAAAAATATTTAAACATTAGCCTGGGAATGGGGGCATGCACCTGTGGTCCCAGCCACTTGGAAGGATGAGGTAGGAGGATCACTTGAGCCCAGGAGTTTGAGGCTGCAGTGAGCTGAGATTACACCACTGTACTCCAGCCTGGGTGACCAGAGAAAGACCCTGTCTCTATTTAAAAAAAAAAAAAAAAAAAAAAAAAAAAACCAGCACGGTGGCTCACGCCTGTAATTCCAGCACTTTGGGAGGCCGAGGCAGGTGGATCACCTGAGGTCAGGAGTTCAAGACCAGCCTGGCCAACATGGCAAAACCCTGTCTCTACTAAAAATACAAAAATTAGCTGGGCGCCACAGCACATGCCTGTAACTCCAGCTACTTGGGAGGCTGAGGCAGGAGAATTGCTTGAACCCAGGAGACGAAGGGTGCAGTGAGCTGAAATCAGACTACTGCACTCCAGCCTGGGCAACAGAGTAAGACTCTGTTTCAAAAAAAAAAAAAAAAAAAAAAAAGCTACCATAAGATCCTGCAATTCCATTACCACATATGTAGCCTAGAAGGCAACAAAGCAAAAGCCTTCAAAGTTCGGAGGGAAAATGACTTTCAACCTAGATTTCTCTACCCAGATGAACTATAAATCAATCACAGAGGTAGAATACATTTTAAAGCATGCAAAAACTGAGAAAATTAAACTGTTAATACCCTTTCTAAGGAAGTTATTTGAGGATGTGTTCCAGAAAAACAAGGGAGGAAACCAAAGAGGAAGAGAAAGCAGTGGCTCTATTACAGGAAACCAGTCAAGAGAAGTCTCAAAATGATATCCATGAAACAAGTCTGAAAAATTAGTCTCTGATTCAAGAGGACAAAGTGCCCCTCTTAATAAAAGGCAAGGGTTAGAGGTCCAACTTATGAGGGATAGAGTCCCTTCTAAGATTTAGGGGGTTAGAGGCCCGTCTCAGTAAAGGCCTTCTTGGGTAAGAACAGGTTTGGCACTATGGGATGTTAACTGCTATTCTCTTTGGATTAATCTGCCTTGCACTCTTTGCTAATGGCTGTGGGTGACAGAGTCAGGTATGTACAGGACTATGGGACATGGGGAACTTTTTCTTCCCTAAAAGGGGAAACTTAAGAGCTGATGGGATGGCTGGAAAAGATCCCTTTGCTACTGAGGAGCAGCCACCTGAACTTTTCAATGTCACTGCAATGGGTGGGTCTTTCTCTGACCTCCCTGATCATTTCGCTTTCCCCACCCTGCTACAGGCAATGCTTTTCTCTCTCTACTTTTCCTTTCCTATCTTTTCTGTTACTCAGGGCAACCACCTTGCCCAGAGGCCACGTAAGTCTGAGGCTGGATTAAAGATGACGGGGCCCATTTGGGGGCAAATTTAAGCCTCACCAGTTTGATATTGGGTGTTAAGCAGAGTGGCTAATGTCTATGTCTTATCACATGTATTTTGCTCTGGCCAGAACAAAAAAAAGTAATTTTCCTTTATGATGAGGCTTGGCCCCCAGGGCAATGGTGCTGCAAGCCAGATCACTAGTGCCACTCAGGGAAAGGGAACCCAGAAGCCTGGCATGCTGGCCAAAGGGTAAGAATTTCTTGCCAGTCAGATTTCTAGCTTCTCACTCTCTATGCAAACAGTTGAATGAATGGGGGGAAAAATCAGTATTTATCTCCTCTGTAATGTTTTGATTAATGCAAAAAAAAATTCTAAGGCTAGTCTTAAGCTGGTGTATTTTGTGCTATGAATTTCTTTTTCCGTGTCAAGGGGTGCTTTAGGATAAAACACGGGCTTAGAATACCTGCAGGCCCACTTTTCAAGATAAGCCAGCAAGCTAGCTGGTCAGTAACAAACTTGGCTACAGATCCCTGAAACAAACAAAAAAGTGGATGAAGTCTCCACCTTGTTTATGTCCTTGGGAGCTTGACCTTGTAACCATGTGGCAGTACTTTTGGTCTCTGCCTTCCAGGGAACAGGAATTTTAGGGTTCATGTCATAGTTAGATCTAAAAATCATATTAGTTAAAAGCCTTTGCAAGCTCAAAATTAACTACTCTAAATTCCTTCTAGGAAAGGAAACAGAGACTGTCCCGTGCTGTAGCTCAGAAGCCAGGGTTTTGCACTTTCACAGTAGCAGTTCGGGTTTGATTCCTTCCCTAGGAAGTCGTTTCTGGTTTAATATCTGTGTGACCTTGTCTATTCTCTTCTCCTCCATGGACTGTCTTAAATTTTCCTTTCTCTAAGCACCTTGGAGGTTACCTTAGGTAAAGTTCAAAAGCCAGAAATATTGGCTGTTTGGCATAAAAAATTCTAAAAAGACTTTGTTAAAGAGTGCTATGGTTAAAATCAGTTTAATTAAAAGCAGATATTCAAGCTCTAACAGCCTGAACTCCTTGGGAAAAACAGGAGGCACCAGGGACCCCCTTTCCTGGCCCTGTTCTTCCAACGGCTCCACCTTAAAGCCAGTAATCCAATTAAGAAACTTAAAAACTGGCAAATGAAAAATCTTACAACTACTGTAGTAATATTCTTCTTTCTGGGTAGCTATATACATATTATGTGTAATGTTTATATAAAAGAAGTCTAATTGGCTGAAACAAAAATAAGTGCTTAAATCAAATATTTTGAAAGCAAAACAAAAACTGTAATGCCTTTTAGTTCATGTAATCTTAGTAATCTTCGGGAAATACAAACAGCTTTAAAAATTACTGATAAAATAAAAACATTCAGTCTAAATTATGCAGGTCAGATATTAAGTTTGTTAAATGCTTTAAGGTCATAAACTGTTTAACTTTTAAAAATTGTTCAATTTACCTGCCTTAAAGCCATTAGATTCTAGATAAGGCCTGGGGACATGTGGAATTGGCCATGCCCCCTAGCTATACAAAGATGATTATAAAGAAAGATTTTATATAAGAAAAGATCTTGGTATGGTAAATTCTTCTCCTAAAATAAAATGGTTGTTTAAAAGGAGGGATGTTTAGGGCAAGTCAGAAAGTCCAAGAATGTCTCAGATGGTCTGTGTAAGTCGTGAAAGGATTTTTGAAAGAAAATTTATGCAAGAAATGTTGCACAATTCAAAGGTTGTTAGGCCTCCTAAATGCGTCATAAAATGCCACTATGACTCTTACTGTATAACTTGCCTGCTTAAGTAAGGTAAGGCCTGGGGACATGTGGAGTTAGCCATGCCCCCTAGCTATGCTGGAGAGTCAGCCCTTATCTGCACTTCTGCCTGGCGTGTCCTAAGGCTAGGCTCCACACCTAATACACAATTAAAATTGCTTACTAACCAGGGTTTTCACCAAAAATAAAAGTTGCTAAAAGTTAACATTGTAACATGTAATTGAGACTATTGAAGAAATAGTTTTACCTGTAAGGTGTGTAAGGAAAGTAGAATATATTTTTGGTAAAAGATTATAAGAAGGCATGGGAATATGGGTTTTTTGCCTAAAGGGTTAAAGAATTGCTTTAAGTTAGAATAAAGCTAAAGGTTTGAACAGTTGTGGAAGGTTTGTAAAAAATTAATTGTAAAAGAGATTCTGTGTGTGGACATTGGCTAAATTAAAGGGGTATTATTCAGTTTTTCTATAAATTAAAATTGGTTTCTTAGAGCAAATTAAAATAGCCAGTGTGTGGACATTGGCTAAATTAAAGGGGTATTATTCAGCTTTTCTATAAATTAAAATTGGTTTCTTAGAGCAAAAACCTGCTTATGACCTGCTCTTTAACAAAAACTTGTAAAGGGTTATAAAAAGTTTATGAGAATCTTACCTTATGGTCAAACTGATTAAGATTGGAAAGATTTATTTATTTATAAGGTTTTATTAAGAATTGGCAAAACTCTATCTCTACTAAAAATACTAAAAATTAGCCGGGTGTGGTGGCTGGTGCCTGTAGTCTCAGCTACTCAGGATGTTGAGGCAGGAGAACTGTTTGAACCCGGGAGGCAGAGGTTGCAGTGAGCCAAGATAGCGTCACTACACTCCAGACTGGGTGACAGAGCAAGACTCCGTCTCAAAAAAAAAAAAAAATTGGGTTTTATATCTATAATGCACTAATACAACAGTGACATTTGGCTTATTTGATATAAAAATCATACAGGAAGCATAATCGAATGTGAAATGGTGTTTTGCTTTCTTTGGACTATATTTACATAAATGTGTTATTGGTATATTCTAAAGTTATGGGAAACTCCTATAATTCTAATATTATTTAGTGTGTTATTAATAATTATAATTGTTATGTAAAATTCTGTGTATCACAGAAGTAACAAAATTTCCTTATCAAATGTGGCTTTAATAGTGGCTGTCCTAAAGCTTTTTATCATCCAGAGATGACTGTCTTGTTTTAATCTCCTTTAGAAGGTGGTTTATAATCAATTATAGAACTCTAACAGGTGTTCTTCAATGCATGTTTTCTTGTAACTTTGGAGAGCGTAACAACAGAATAGAGGAAAAACTTTCAGGACTCTCATGGAGAGATGAAATGTTCATGAATATCAAGCAAAACAGGAGTTACCTAAATTCACTGAACCAATAAAAAACGGAAGTAATATTTCAAACTTTGCATAAAACACTACTGATCCTTTGTTTTTCAGAGTCAAGGAAACTTTCCTTTTGAGCTATTTATATTATAGCTCTTAACAGTTTATATACTCCTATGCACAAAATTCTGAGCATATTTGTTTCTCTCTACCTGATTTCTCCAGAATTTGGCAACTAGTTGTGAGTATTCTTAACTTACAGCAAAATAGTTATTTGCAAAGGTGCAATAAGAATCTGTTTTCTTGGCTGGGCATGGTGGCTCACACCTGTAATCCCAGCACTTTGGGAGGCCGAGGCGGGTGGGTCTCGTGGTCAGGAGATCGAGACCATCCTAGCCAACATGGTGAAACCCCATCTCTACTAAAATACAAAAAAGTAGCTAGGCGTGGTGGCGCCACCTGTAGTCCCAGCTACTCAGGGGGCTGAGGCAGGGGAATCGCTTGAACCTGGGAGGCAGAGGTTGCAGTGAGCCAAGATCATGTCACTGCACTCCAGCCTGGTGACAGAGCAAGACTCTGTCTCAAAAAAAAAAAAAAAAAAAAAAATTCGTTCTCTTTTCTAACAGAACACAATTGGAGAAATTGGTTATGTTACCAAGGTTTTGACTGGAATGGTGTGTTTTCCTTTAAGGAATTAAACTTGATTTATAGAGCCAATAAAAGCCTGTGTGGAACTGGCCTCACACCTTGTCTACAACAGTCCCTGTTCAAGGTTTCTGACTTGGGGTAAGTAAAGAATGTCACTTTCTCACAGGTCGAAGAGCCCCAAGTTATCCTGGGACCTCAAAAAGAAAGGAATTTACCCAACTCATAGGTATTTGAGGGTACAAACCCATGATGGGGCTCAGCTTTTAAAAAGTCTTATCTGAGATCCCTTACAAAACAGAGTTCCATTAAAGTCAATTAAAAAGCCTATGTGAAAAATAATTATTCTTGCTGCACTTTATACAAATTATCAGGCCAAGTATAATAAAACAAATCAGTCTTACCATAATTTGTCTTTCGTAAAAATGGAAAACTGGAGAGAGAAATATGTTTCAAGAACTATGGTACACCTGTTATTAAATTCTAGTCTCATCTGTTTTTCAGTTTGTTTCTGCAATTTAGTCTACACCTGCTTATTCCTGTGAACCTACCAGTGATCTCTGACTGCTGCTCAGAAGAAACAAGAGGGATGGATAATGTAAAAATCTGGATTAGTATTCTAATTCTGGGCACATTACAATCAGCTAACAACCCTATATCAGCTTAATTCCAACAGTTGCCCAGTTCATGGAAAGTCTTCTAATTTAGTTTACTTGGAATAACTTTACTTATTTTGCTTTACTCTTGTGGAATATATTGCTGTTATACTTTTTGTGTAGGAATACAGGACAAGCTTACTGAATGTTTTCTTAAACTCTTATTCATCTTCCAGATACCACCCTCTGTCGAAACTCAAGAGTTATGAATGGACCTTACCATACTGATGCTTTCTGACTCTGCTCCTCTCTACTCTGAATGTAAGAGACCCTAATAGTCAGGCAGGAATATCATCACCTCTATTCAGCCTGAAGGAGTTATAGAAGATGAATCTTCATCCCTCCGCAACCCTTAGGATTAAGCGTTCTCTTATAAAAGGGAGGGGGGAAATGTCAGAGGCATGTGAACCAGAACAACTCCATCTTGAATAGGAGCTGGGTAAAATGAGGCTGAAACCTACTGGGCTGTATTCCCAGTTAAGGCATTCTAAGTCACAGGATGAGATAACAGGTTGGCACAAGATACAGGTCATAAAGACCTTGCTGATATAACAGGCTGCAGTAAAGAAGCTGGCTAAATCCTACCAAAACCAAGATGGCCACAAGAGTGACCTCTGGTCGTCCTCACTACTACACTCCTGCCAGCGCCATGACAGTTTACAAATGTCATAGCAACTTCAGGAAATTACCCTATATGGTCTAAAAAGGGGAGGCATGAATAATCCACCCCTTGTTTAGCATATCATTAAAAAATAACCATAAAAATGGGCAACCAGCAGCCCTCAGGGCTGCTCTATGGAGTAGCCATTCTTTTATTCCTTTACTTTCTTACTAAACTTGCTTTCACTTTGCACTGTGGACTTGCCCTGAATTCATTCTTGTGCGAGATCCAAGAATCCTCTCTTAAGGTCTGGATCGGGCCCCCTTTCCTGTAACAAAAATAGTCACAAAACAAGAAACTTCATAAAAATAAGCTGTATAAGACAGATAACAAAATCACAGCACATAACTTCACTCTGCAGGGCACAATATATATGTAGTCACAATAATATCCATACTACACACAGAACATGCAAGACTATTTTCTAGAACATATGAATACTGTCATCCTTGCTAGTGAAAAAGGTAAAGTACAGATGAAAGAAACTGGGAGGTAGAAGAGAAAGCAGAGAGAGTGGGCAAAAAGGATGGCAGCAATAATATCCACCCTCACCTTACAAACAGGGTGTCAAAGATACTATATACAGTTGACAAGACAAGAAATAAAGATGAAATACATTACTAAAAGCAATAACCAAGAAAGAAACTAAAAACAGTGATATTATGACACTAGGAGAGGGTTGCAGGGCCATGTGTTAAATCCTCATCTATCATAAGAGGAATCAACAAAATTGGGGAAAAAAATAGCAACATCAAAAGAATGAGAACACAAGCCACAGGCTGGGAGAAAATATGTGCAAAAGACATATCCGATAAAGGACTGTTATCCAAAATATACAAAGAATGCTCAAAACTCAACAGTAAGATAATGAGGGCTCGGTGTAATGGCTCACACCTGTAATCCCAGCACAGCACACTTTGGGAGGCCAGGGCGGGAGGATCACCTGTGTCCAGGGGTTCAAGACCAGTCTGGGCAGCCTTGAGACCCCTGTCTCAAGGGGTCTCCCTGCATAGTGAGACTCGTCTCATCAAAAAAATCAAAAATTAGCTGGGCATGGTGGCTTACACTTGTAGTCCCAGCTACTCAGGAGACTGAAGAAGAAGGATCACTTGAGCCCAGGAGGTGAAGGCTGCAGTAAGTCATAATTGCACCACTGCACTCCAGCCTGCACAACAGAGTGAGACACTGTCTCAATAAAGAAAAAAATGGAAAACGAAACACCTGACTAAAAATGGAAAAACACCTGAATAGACAACTCACCGAAGAAGAAATACAGATGGAAAATGAGCTATGAAAAGCTGCTCTACATCAGACAGTGTGGCAATTCCTCATGGATCTAGAACTAGAAATACCATTTGACCCAGCAATCCCATTAAGGGGTATATACAGAAAACCAAACATCGCATGTTCTTTCTCATAAGTAGGAGCTGAACAATGAGAACACATGGACACAGGGAGGGGAACATCACACACCAGGGCTTGTCAGTGGGTGGGGGGGCTAGGGAAGGGATAGCATTAGGAGAAATACCTAATGTAGATGACAGGTTGATGATGGGTGCAACAAACCATCATGGTATGTGCATACCTATGTAACAAACCTGCACATTCTGCACATGTACCCCAGAACTTAAAGTATAATTAAAAAAAAAAAAAAAAAAAGCTGCTCCACATCATACATCCGTAGGCAATTTCAAATTAACACAAAAGTGAGATATCACTACACAACTATTAGAATGGCTACAATCCAAAACAATAAGAACACCAAATACTGGTGAGGATGTGGAGCAACCGGGACTCATTGCTGGTAGGAACGCAAAATAATTCAGCCACGTTGGAAGACAGTTTGGTGGTTTCCTAGAAAAGTAAACATACTTGTTCTCTATGATCCAGCAATAGCACTCCTTGGTATTTAGCCAAATGAGTCAAAAACATATGTCCACACAAAAACCTGCACATGGATCTTTACAGCAGCTTTACTCATAACTGCCAAAACTTGGAAGCAACCAACTGTGGTACACCCAGATAATGGACTATTAGTATCATCCACCCCTTAAAATGAAATAACTATTAAGCCATGAAAAGACATGGAGGAACCTTAACTGAAGCATTTACTAAGTTAAAGAAGCAGTCTGAAAAAGCTACACACAGTATGATTCCAACTATGACATTCTGCAAAAGACAAAACTACAGAGACCGTAGTTTTGTAAAACTATGGTCCTTTTGCTTGCTAAAGCAAAAAGATCAATGGTTGCCAGGGGTTGGGGGGAGGGAGGAATGAATAAGTAGAGCCAGGCACAGGTGAGCTACTGTGCCTGCCCATTCATCCCCCACCCCCAAGGGAGGGAGGCAAGGTGGGAGAATTGCTTGAGGCCAGGAGTTCCAGACCAGCCTGGGCAAGACAGCAAGGCCCTGTCTCTACAAAAAACTTGGATACATGGCATTATACATTTATCCAAACCTACAGAATGCACAATGCCAAGAGTGAACCTCAATGTAAACCACGGACTCTGAGCAATGTTACATCGGTGTGGGTTCACTGATTGGAAGATGTTGATAATGAGGAGGCTGAGTGTGTTTGGGAACAGGAGTACACTATAGGAAAACTTGTACTTTTCACTCAATTTTGCTGTGCCTAAAACTGCTCTTTAAAAAAGAGTGTTTATTTTTTTAGAAGGCAGTAAAAGCATAATAAAGTGTTTACCTTTGAGAAGAGGGACAAGAAATGGGAAGGGGTAGGGCAGCAGGGCAGCAGCAGTCTTGCTTTTCATAATAAGCTCCTTGTCCTGGTTCATTATTTTAACCCCTGTATATACTACTTTGATAATGAAAATTAGGAAAAAGAAATATGAATGTTTATGAGTACAGTGTGGAAACAGGCAATTAGCAATCCGTCAGCTTTATAGGCAGCACTGATCCTTTGGACTTAGAACAAATGAGATAACAGAAGTTTGAGGCAATTCAGCAAGCAGATGCACAGCCATAAGGAACTAAGTCTGTTATCAAATCTTGGGGCCCCACCTTGACTATGACAGAAAAGTAGTTTTTTCCACAGCTGGACTGTCTTTTGGGTCGTCTCAGTGGTGTGCTTTCTAGAGATTCATACCTAACTTGTACTAAAAGTCAATAGAAATTGTCTTTGCAAATCAAATGGAGGGAAAAAAACACAAAAGAGTCCTACACTCATGCAAATGAACCAAATTACTCACCCATTTTACTTCCTTTGTTAAAAGCAAACAGCAGTGTCAATGTGTAAAGATGATTTTTGTAAAGGGATAAACATTTTCTATCTCATCTCCATTTTACTTTTTTTGGGAAGAATGCAAA
Organism: Homo sapiens; assembly: GCF_000001405.40. Taxonomy (NCBI): domain Eukaryota; kingdom Metazoa; phylum Chordata; class Mammalia; order Primates; family Hominidae; genus Homo; species Homo sapiens. The sequence goes on along the minus strand of NC_000017.11, from coordinate 20,189,822 downwards.
ATTAATTTTCCTCACACTCCACTTGCTCAGCAAATTGGATTAGAATTCAAAATGCTTGTAAATCTACTCCTCCTGTTTCCCAAATACTCATGCTGTACCACGGCCACTATGAACAGCACTCCAGAAAGAGGGGGACAATAAAGCTTCTGAACAAAAGCCCCCTAACACTAAGAAGGGGCTCAGGCCTGGAGAGGACACAGTGACCGCTCTGTGTCAGGATGCAGGGGAGATAGGGCAGCAGACAAAGCCTCAGTGTTTCTGAGGAGAGATAATGGTATGGTCTGACTAGCTTCTAGCAGGCGGCCCACACAACCAGCTGCCATTAGTCATCTCCAGGAGAAGCCAGAATGCCAAGCAGCTCTGGGAGGGCAACTCCTGACAGGCCATTTGAAAAGTGCAAAGCAGGCAGGGACATCAAATTTCCATTGAAACTGAAGTGGCTGGAGGAGCGCTTCGTCCCAGAATTCTCTCTGCATACTGCGCCTTAGCTTCCTTGCCCATTGTGTAGGCCAAATGAAATCCTCATTGCCTAACTAGAGAGCTTGGCACCTCTGAACAGAAATCTCCCAGCAGCACTGTGGGAAAATAAAGCCCACAGTCTCCAGGCACCAAACACTGAGAATAAGGAGGAGCTGAGGGTGCAGGCTTTAGTGAACTAAAAGATCTGCCATATTCACGTGCAGCCTTACTTTCAGGACAGATGGGAAAAGCTAACCTCCAGGTTACGGAGGCTCGATGCAAGTGAGAACCACCTAGTCTAGTCTAGATCATAATCAGGCCCTGACTTCCTACAGTTATGGCTCAGGTGTACCTCAGTTATACCTCACAGAGATCACTGAGAAACTTCCAAGTTCTACCAGGAAAACATAATAAATTCACCTGAATTTGTAACTGGAGAAATTAGATAATTAGATGGACTGGGCACGCAAAATCCTGTTTATTTCTATTAATATCACTTTGGGGGTGGGAGTTGTTTTTTCAAAGCACCCATGGGTCAAAACACACAAAGAAATTTAAGGAATCGTCCGTATCCTTTGAATCGGAGTTTACTATGTAGGAAGGATAACAGCACTTTACCTTTGTGTAGCACTTTGGTTTTGTAAGCACTTTCACATACATTAACTTGAGGCACACAAAACTCAGTTCATAAAAGTATTATTATTGTTATTTTACAGATAAAGAAACAAAGTCTGAGAGACTTCATAATTTGCCCAACGGTCACATCATAAGTATATCTTCTAATACAAGCCGGGCACGGTGGCTCACGCCTGTAATCTCAGCACTTTGGGAGGCCAAGGCAGGCAGATCACCTGAGGTCAGGAATATCACCTGAGGTCAGGAATTCGAGATCAGCCTAGCCAACATGGTGAAACCCCGTCTCTACTAAAAATACAAAAATTAGCCAGGCGTGGTGGTGCGCACCTGTATCCCAGCCACTCCGGAGGCTTAGACAGGAGAATCACTTGAATCCAGGAGGCAGAGGCTGCAGTGAGCCGAGATCACACCACTGCACTCCAGCCTGGGTGACAAAGTGAGACTCTGTCCCAAAAAAAGAAAAAAAAAAAAGGATGTCTTTTGATACCTAAGGAAATACAAAATCACGTTATTTCAGAACTGGAAGAAACAGAAATCATATAACCTAATTTTTCATTCAAAGTGGCATCAATAGCATCCAACTTCTGTTGCCATCTACTAAAGTCTCATGTTCCAGTTACCATTGAATATTTTCAGTAAAAGGAAAC